>NT_187660.1:2130300-2443002 GCF_000001405.40 Homo sapiens | reverse complement strand
AACTAGAAATACCATTTGACCCAGCCATCCCATTACTGGGTATATACCCAAAGGATTATAAGTCATGCTGCTATAAAGACACATGCACACGTATATTTATTGCAGCACTATTCACAATAGCAAAGACTTGGAACCAAGCCAAATGTCCAGCAATGATAAGACTGGATTAAGAAAATGTGGCACATATACACCATGGAATACTATGCAGCCATAAAAAATGATGAGTTCATATTCTTTGTAGGGACATGGATGAAGCTGGAAACCATCATTCTCAGCAAACTATTGCAAGGACAAAAAACCAAGCACCACATGTTCTCACTCATAGGTGGGAATTGAACAATGAGAACACATGGACACAGGAAGGGGAACATCACACACTGGGGCCTGTTGTGGGGTGGGGGGAGGGGGGAAGGATAGCATTAGGAGATATACTTACTGTTAAATGATGAGTTAATGGGTGCAGCACACCAACATGGCACATGTATACATATGTAACTAACCTGCACGTTGTGCACATGTACCCTAAAACTTAAAGTATAATTAAAAAAAAAAAGAAGTGTTGTCTGGGATGTGGAAAACTTGGAACCCTCATACATGGCTGGTGGGAACATAAATTGGTGCTGGCACCTTAAAATGTCAAACATAGTTATGACCCAGCAATTCCATACCTACGTATATACCCAAGAGAAATGAAAACGTATGTCCATGCAAAAACATACATGGATGTTCACAGCAGCATTATTCATAATACCCCACAAGTGGGATATTATTAGCCATATTTAGTTATAAAATAGCCCAAAGTGGAAATAACCCAAATGTTTATAAATTGATGAACGGATAAATATAAAATGTGTTCTAGGCAAGGTGCGGTGGCTCATGCCTGTAATGCCAAAATTTCGGAGGCTGAAGTGGGAGGATTGCTTGAGGCCAGGAGCTTGAGACCAGCCTGGGCAATATAGGGAGACCCCATATCTACAAAAAATTAAAAAATTAGCCTGGTGTGATGGCATGCACCTGTAGTCCCAGCTACTCAGGAAGCTGCGGTGGGATGATCACTTGAGCCCTGGAGGTGGAGGCTGTAGTAAGCCATGGTTGCACCACTGCACTCCAGCTGTGCGACAGAGTGAGACCCTGTCTCAAAAAAAAAAAAAAGTGTTCTACCTACACCATGGAATATTATGTGGCAATAAAAAGGGAATGAGATACTGATACATGCTACAACATGGATGAACCTTGAAAACATCATACTAAATGAAAGAAGCCAGTCACAAAGACCACATATTTTATAATTCCATTGATAGGAAATGTTTAGGATAGACAAATCTATAGAGTCAGAAAGTAGATTAGTGGTTGCTGGAGCTGGGAAGAGGATGGGAACGAAAAGTGACTGCTAATGGGACTGGGTTTCTTTTTGAGGTGGCAAAAATGTTCTACTTAGGTTATGCAAATTGTTCCACAATTCTGTGAATACAATAAAATGCACTGAACTGTATACTTTAATGGGTGACTTATATATGAATTACATCTCAATAAAGCTGTTTTTTGAAAAAAAGGTCACAGAGCCCTTAACAGTTTTGTAGAAGTGAGGGGAGATGGACATGGCGGAAGGCCCTGGACACATATTTATCCCCTTGTGTGGCTACTTGCAGTTCCCGCCAAACTGCACCCATCTCTTTGTCCCCAGAGGTGAAGTCCAGTGGACCTTGGTTTTTCACTTCAAGACCAGTTTTGGGGTCAAGGCTATTTCAACATGGCAGGTAGTAAGAGTTTAATAAATGCTTGGTGAATGAACCTACATTGCATCAATGTGCAGGTCACCAAAAGTACTTAAGGCTGGAGCAGTCTCCAGGGCTGGGGAGGGGATCTCAGCAGGTTTTGAAAGGAAGGGACAGAACCTAAGAGCTTCTAAAATGTTCCTTCAGAAGAACCCTGAGTCCAGAGGAGAGTTAACACATCCCTAACATGCAGTAAGAAAAGTCTCACATTTTTTCTTTAAATTCTTGTGCTGTATGCATCCTACTCTATATTTCCAGCTTGTTTTAATTTAAAAATACTGTAAATTGCCATTCAGTAAAACGGATGCTTCAGGGAGTTGTGCTGTTTATTCCTGCATCCTGGAATACCTGTGGGTGTATGCTGCTATGTTGCCTCAGAGGACCTCAATCAACAAATACCCTGAGTGCCCACTGTGTGCTTGGCAGGAGGGGTGCTGTTGCCAACACAGGATCTTCCCTCATAGGACTTTCAGTTGAGAAATGAGTGCATAGCCCCGAGGAGCAAAAAGAGCTCGGTGGAGAGGACAGAATTATGGGGGGGCAGAGTTTGGAAGCTCGTAAGAACATTGCCTTAAATGAAGACCAACATATATGCTCAGTGTTTTACTAGCAAAAAGTTGAAAACTGCCTAAATGTCTAATAGTGGAATGGCTAAACAAATTATGGTGTTACCATGTAGTACGATATTCTGTAGCTATTTAATAATACAAAACAATAAAGGAAAAGGCTTATGATGAAATTTTATGTAAAAAATCTTCAAAAAAACTATGCATAGCATGGCCTCAACATGTAAAACATACTCAGAAAAAATACCAGCATAGAATGCCCCAAATGCTAGTTGACTTTGGAGGGTAGAATTATGGGGGGATTTCTCTCTCTCCCCAAATTTTCTACAGTAAGTCTGGGTTATGTTATTAATAAACATCACATCTTTGATGCAGGAAGGCTAATGTGCAGCTGCATGTGGGGGCAGGGCTAGAGATGAACTTGGAGTAGGGGCTACAGAGTGGACCCGGGAGGAAGGGCTAGAGATGGAGATGTGGGTGCCGTCTTCCTACAGGAGAGGTCAAAACAAACCCTGAGTGGGCACTGAGGGAGCCCATGAAGAAACTACAGAGGGCTGAGGAGTCTTGGAGGGCAGGAGGAGGAATTGGAGTCAGGGATGTGGAGAGTTCAAGTGTCATGGAGCTGGGCAGAGATTCTAGGCAGAGTAATATCTAGAAATCCTTGGAAGTCAAGGAGAGAGGTTGAAAGAGGAGCCCTCAGTGTAAAACCTTGTCTCCTTCCTAGAGTGGTGAGGTTAGATTTAAATGAGATATAGGAGAGTGATTAGCTATACAAGCTCTGGAGTTGGGTAGACCAGTTCAAACCTCAGTTTCAGAACTTACAGCTAAGTGACCTTGGAAAAACTTTCTAACCTCTCTGAACCTGTTTCCCCATCTGTTAAATGGAAACAATAAAAACCATTAGGTTATTTTTTGGATTAGATGAATAATGCATGGAAAGTGCTTTGCATAGTGCTTGGCACATATATGTACTACTATTTTTTTTAAGAGATAGAACCTTACTTAGTCACCCATAGTTCATGTAACCTCAAACTCCTGGACTCAAGTGATCCTCTGTCACTTCAGCCTCCACCATGCCTAATTAAAAAAAAAAAAAATTTCTAAAGATAGGGTCTTGCTATGCTACCCAGGCTGACTGTGTACTAATTGGATGATGTCTATTATTATTGGTTTACTACAGTTGTTAATATTATGCAAAATATCTTTGATCGATAAAGAGCTTCTCCTGGTCCTTTGGGCATGGCTTTCTGAGGGGAAGACAACCTCTGGGATGCTCACCCTGCCCTCTTCCCCTCTCATCCCCATCTGTCCCCTCTGCCACCATGAGGAACATTTTCAAGAGGAACCAAGAGCCTATTGTGGCTCCTGCCACCACCACCGTCACGATGCCCATTGGACCCGTGGACAACTCCACCGAGAGTGGGAGTGCTGGGGAGAGCCAGGAGGACATGTTTGCCAAACTGAAGGAGAAGTTCTTCAATGAGATTAACAAGATTCCCTGTGAGTGTCCCTGGTGGCTGAGAGGGTGGGGCAAGGCTACAGTCTGGGATAGGTGAAGAAGGGTGGGGATACCACTGGGATGCGATTGGCTGGGCTCTTTCCTAACGCTTAGATTTTTGGAGATCCCCTGCAGGAATCGGGGAGGGGAAAGTAAGGTCTGCCATTAATGTGGCAAACAAGGGGATTTATGTGCATCAACTTCTAAGGGAAAGAAAAATTCTCATAACTTAAAAAACTTTCTAAAGATGAAACCAAAAGGCGATGAAAAATTATGAAACAGAAGTCACTATTCAAGTTTGCCAATAATACTTTGAAATTTATTTTGGAAGATAGAAAATAAAAGCCCTCTCTGCTTTTGAATTTCTGGCAGAGGCTGTATAGGAGACACCAGAGATGCAGATTAAGGGGAACCAGCCACACTGGTGGGAGATGGTGCTTCAGAACCACAGAGAGCAGCCCAGGACCCAACTCCAGTTGGGTTTTGCAAAGCCCGGCAGCAGTCTAGGTCTAGACTCAATCTTAAGTCCACTCCATGGACCCACAGCTGAAGCGGCAAATGGAAACCACCCAGAACCTTGTGGACTCCTACAAGGCCATTGTCAACAAGACTGTGTGGGACCTCATAGTTGGTTTCATGCCCAAGACCGTCATGCACGTCATGATCAACAACGTGCATGCACCACCTCATAGGGGCAGGGGGCTCCTGTGGCACTGGGGATGCAGGTGGCCATGTTGGCCTGGGGGAGATGCCGACCAGCCCTATGGGACCAGGTTCAGGGAGGGAGGCACAGTCCAGACCAGAGCTGTCTCATAGAACTATAATGTGGGACTAGGGACAGTGGTCCATGCCTGTAATCCCAGCACTTTGGGAGGCCAAGGTAGGAGGATAGCTTGAGCCCAGGAGTTCGAGACCAGCTTGGGCAACATAGTGAGACCTGGTCTCTACACAAAAATTTTAAAAATAGCTAGGCTTAGTGATGGCACATGCCTATAGTCTTAGCTATTCGACAGGCTGACATTGGAGGATCACTTTGAGCCCAAGAGGTTCAGGCTACAGTGAGTGGTGATCTTGCTCACTGTACTCCAGCCCAGCAACAGAGCGAGATCCTATCTCCAAAAAACATTTTTAAGAAACTGAGTAGACAGGTGTCCTGGTGGCATGATAGGTCCTGGGTCCCCTCCCAGATGTGTGACCTTGGACAGGTGACTTTTCCTCTGGACCTCAGTGTCCCTATCTGAGTGAGAAAAGGGCGGTGGGGTGGCAGATCTTTGAGTCTAAGCGGTGTAGAAGCCGCGTGTGCAAAGCCATACTCAGGGCTCCAAGTCCAGCACACTGTCCCAGCACAGGCATCAGGCCAGCACATGCATCAGGTCCCAACCTCCTTCCCTCTTTGCCCCCTCTCAGACCAAGGAGCTCATATTATCAGAGTTGCTGTCCAACCTGTACTTGCATGGGAACCAGAACACGCTGATGGAGGAGTTGGCAGAGCAGGCACAGTGGCGAGATGAGATGCTGCGCATGTACCACGTGCTGAAGGAGGTGCTCAGCATCATCGGTGACATCAACACAACCACCATCAGCACGCACATGGGGGCCCGTGGACAGCTCCTGGCTGCAGGTGCAGAGCGTCCTTGCCAGACGCAGGTACCAGGGCTGGCCCCTATGGCCCCAAGTCTCCCCAGCCCCCATGGCTGAGCCTGGGGGCTCTTGGAACAGGCTCCGTGCCCAAGCTGGCAGATGTGGGTGGTCTCTGGAGCCATCAGGGAGCTCGTGGTTTATGGTGTAAGGGCTGAGAGCTTGGAGGGGGTTGTGTGTGGGGCTGTACTCTGAGGTGGCCAGAGGCCCAGGAATGTCATCCTGGGCACACCATGCCTTTTGTGCTGTCTGAGCCATGCTGCCAGGGTGGGGCATCCAGCTCCCAGCCTGGATGCCTTGGAGTGCTGAGGGCCAAATCCACTGCAGAGCAGGGGTGATAGGGTCCCACCTCCTCTATCTGTTGGCAAAACAGTGGTGATCTAGGATAAAACCTCGAGAGTCCCATACACATGGTCAACCCAAAACACACCTCACAGGTCAGGTAGGGGCACACAGCCCCCTTCCCTCCCTCCCAGGTACCATCACAGCTGCTAGCATGTGACTGAAGGCAGGGTCCCTGGGCCCCGCTGAAGCACTACCACCAGCCAGCGGGCTCACGCACCTTGGCTTGTTGCTCCTAGAGATTGGCCCTCCTATTCAGCCGAGGGGAGCCCAGTGCCTGCTGGCCCAGCTGAGCTCTGCCCAGCAAGCCCACCCACCTCCCTTGCCATGGTCTCCGTCTCCTTTCCCTGGGAGGAAGGACCCAGCCTCACCTATGGGACCTGCAATCTCCAACAAGGTGAGGCTCCCCTCTTAGACTTATAAGTTTATAGCCAGTGGCATCTGGCTGCCTGCCCACCCTGCCTCCCCCAGGGTCCCTTCAGAGGGTCCTGAGCTTCCTGACCACCCAGAGGGGGCTCCGGCGATCACTCCAACCATCCATCCCATTTAGCTTCATCATCCTTGTTCGAGCAATTTTCCTTCTGTCAGGCCTGGTGGCTGTTATGTTGGGTTCCCCAAGGTGAGAGGTGGCCCTAGACCAGTTGGTTGGAAGACAGGTTGGAAGACGACTTGGAAGACAAGTTGGTTGGTGACCAGAGAAGAGGGAAGCCCAAAGGGGCCGAGCGTTGGTCTGACCTGTGGGTACACTGCCTGGGTGCAATGGAAGAGGCCAGCATGTGTGGGGTGGGGAGGGCCGCCACAGTCCCCAGGCACTACCTGTGAAGCTCCGGCTCCTCCCTCCATCTTCCTCCCCTTTCCCTTCCAGCCCCTCTTTTCCAGGAACCTTGCCACACCCGCACCTGCGCCCTCCCCTCCCTGGCCCTCCCACAGCTGCTGTGGCACACCTGTGCTCTGCACTGGCCTCACCAGCTCTCTCCTCCCTTTTCTCTCTCCTCTTTTCTCTCTGCTTTCTCTCCAACTGCCAGCCGATCAGGTCACGCAAGTCCATCCCATCCTGAGAGCCCCACGCCCCCCTTCGACCTCTAAACAGATCCCTTCTCTTCTCGGAGGCCTCCCTTTCCAAGCCTGCCTGGGCGGCTGTTCTGTGACTTGGCAGTGGCTCCCCCAGCCCCAAAGCCAGCCCCCTTCATCTGTGACTTAGTCTGTTGTAGTGGTGAGCTGACACGTCCAGGTGTGACTGTTGTGAAACTTGTGCCCCCCTCTGTGGTATGCCCTCGCATTGTTCTATAAATATCTATAAATACCCATACACACACACACACACACACACACACACACACACCCCTACACCTACATGTGGCCAACGGCCTCGCCTCTAGTGCTGGGAATCAGTCACCGTGCTGTCCTCTTGGAGTCTTGTGGCCCAACAAGAGAAAGCTGTCCCGACATTGCCCCTCCAAAGTGCAAGACCTCCGGTGAGTCTCCCTGTCACGCCTGGCCTATGGAGAGTCAGCCCCCGCCATCCCTCCCGCCCCCCCACCAAGCATGGGAGTGCTGTGCAGGCAGCTGAGTGGCCTGACAGTCTCTACCAGTCCTGCTGTCCCTTGGCTGAGAATCAAACCCATTTCTGGATGACGGGGAAGTGTGTCCTCTGCTGGCTGTGTTCTCTGTGGAGCTCAGGGGAGGGGAAAGGCCAAGCCATTTCTAGGGTGCTGTTTGGAGGGGTGAAAAGGCCATACCCTTTCCAAGGGACACTTTTCCTGGAAAGCCCCTGGAACTTAGCTGGCTCTTGTCCTGTGAAGCCGGCTCTGGCCACCAGGGGGCAGGGCCACGAACTCAGCCTGAAGGGAGCCTGCCGGGCAGCCGGCACTCTGGAGGGACAGAGAGAACAGGCCACCAGGTGCAGACAGGGGAGGGAGGCAAGGTGACGGAAGGGAAGACGCCTGGGGTGGGTGGAAGTCAGTGCCCTTAGGTGCTGGTACCTGTCTTCCTGGCCACCGCTACAACAGGCTTCTGAGCCTGTTGGCTGTCAGGGCTGGACTGCGCCCCATAGGCACCATGGCAGTCCCCGTGGAATCCCCCAGGCGCCACTAGGCAGCATACAGGTAACACGCCTGGAAGGTCCCTAACAGCCTAGCTGGACATACTCAAGACACTCTGGGGCTCCTCGTTTGGTGGCACAAACTCCAGGACCCAGTGAGGGAAACGGGAACACACCAGGCCGAGCAGTATGGCTAAATCCATTTATTCCAAAATAAAAAGCAAAATAAACAGGAGTCGCATCACCAGGGAGCCACGACCCCATCCCCGCCTCCTTCCTCTGTCCTATGCTAGCAATAAATAAGTTTCCCAGCCACAAATAATTATTACAACCTCCTCCCCATGTGCCGGCTCCAACCTCAGCTAGGTATGACACAGGGGTGGCCCTACCCTCTGGAATATACAAAACCTTACACAGACACAATGTGTACACCGGGGAACGGGGGCCACCCCAGCAGCCCGTGCCCTCGCCTGGTCCACAGTTAGCCCCACTGTCCTACCTCTCTGAATAAGAAGGGAGCCCCCCTGAGGGAAAAGTTGCTATGGTGAGAGTAAGGGGGACATCAGGCCTCCTCCAAACAAACCAACTCCACCAGCCTCTGGCTCTTAAATAACAATCATCATCATCCAGAAATTTAGGGACTCAGCCCTGGTCAAGGTGGCAAAGGGTCTGTTTGTCTTTCCCCATTAGACAGAGGTCTTGTCCTGCTACCCTAATTGTAAAGGGGTGCCTGGGAAGGGGTGGTAGGGACATGGTGGCGGTGGAGACTCCGGCCCCACTTCTCCAGGCTTTGCTGACAGGGGCCTGCTTTTAATTTTTATTTTTATTCCATGACTTTTTAAAAAAGAATCCCGTAACTTCTTTTTCATAACTTTTTTGGTAACTTTTCATAATACTGTTTTCTACTTTGTTCCCACAAGTTTTTTTGCCACAACGTTTTTACATTTTTTATCCCATAACTTTTTCACCCCATAACTTTTTTTAATCCCATAATTTTTAAATCTTGTGTTCTTTTAAGAAACACTTGCATAGTTATATCACAACTTTGTAAAAATGAAACACATTATCTCGTGCCAAGCATGCCCAGCATTTGCACAGTATCAATACCTTTAATACTATAGTTTTCAAGAAACACAAAATAAAATTTTAAGGCAAAAACAACACATTGAAACAATTTAATAATTTATTACATTACAGTGGCATCACACCAGCAGTCAATAAGGCCACTCTAGGGAAAAATCTTTCAGTATTTCCATGACACATTCTGTTTACAATAATTCATAAACTGGTAAAATTCATTCTAAGAAAACTTGGCAAATAAAACTTTGGACTGGAATTGGCATTTCTTTCTCTGCTTTTCGTTCCCACCATTTCTTTCTTTTATACTACAGTATTCATATTTTAAAATGTTTTAAATTATTTCAGAACATTAAGATAGCAGTTACATTTTTTAATAGTTATATTATTTTAAAATGACTAAGATAAAGTTTTAGAGAAACTATATTATGGATAGGGCTGATTTACATTTTCAAATTTTCTAAAATCGCTTTGGTTTTAGAGCTGATTTTTTTTTTCATTTCTGGAAAATTATCAGGTTGAATCAAATACTTTTAAAATGATTATTATATATTGCCATCTTTAAATAGGTGTTTTGATTCTTCCTACAGACATTAAAATGTATTCAGTGGAACTCACAGTTTAAAATTCTATGTTTCTGATGAACTCTAACATTCCAATGTTGCCTTCTAAGCAAACTGAAAGCTGCCTTATACTGAATGAGGAAGAGCACAAATACTCGGCTGAATGAGGTATCGCAAAAGACTGCATGCACTTTGGAGAAAGACTTAAGTTATTGTCATACAATTTCCATTCTTTTTAGCGTTTTCTTAAGTATATGACAAATGCCTACACAAAGAGTGGTATTTCAGTCAATATAGTAAATTTATTTTCCAGACTGACCTTCAGCTTAAATATGCCAGTGTGTGATTTAATCCATAGGCACCTCATGAACACATTATTGTCAGATTGGTTACAGATGCTAAACGCTATCCGAAGGTCATTCCTAGTCACTGATATTTATCAGGGTAAAAGTGAAGTGATTTCAACGATAAAAGTACCTTTGCAATAATTTATCAATGTATTAGATAAACCCAGTTTCAGAATGATAAAAGAAAAAACGTTAGACCAAATAATGTGGCTGATTAACAGTGGTCCGATTTCTAGCCCGAGGGTTTAAAATGCTCTTAAAGTAACTGTCTTTAAACTGAACTCAAAGAATGCAAAAGCGGCAAGTTCAGAAAATAAAAGGCGAGAACAGGACTTTAAGTGCATTTTAAACCCACGGGCTACAAATCGTACCACTGTTAATTAGCCGCATTATTTGGTCTAAGATTTTTTCTTTATCATTCTGAAACTGGGTTTATCTAATACATTGATACATTCATAAAATTTGGAAGAGTCAGTGGAAGTCACAAGGACCGAATATTTGCACTCTTTCAGTGAATGCCAGCAAATCTGTTATTCCATCGGTAAAATCGTATTGTTGCTCTCCTGTTAATGTCATATTTATAGAAGTATCATGAGGATGCCAAATGCTAAAAATGGAGATGATCTAGTAACTAGAAATCCCCACCGCAGGGAGCACACACACCTATCTCCCTGCATCCTAACAATGTGATGTGTTTTGGAACACAGACATTAGAACTTCATGAAGTTTTAACTGTTGAGTCTTTCCCAAGCATCATCAAGTTACGATTTAGGCAATATATAACTGAAATGTATTCATTCATCATGCATAGGCACAATCACATAAATATCGCACAAAATATGTCCCGAACAGAAACCCAGAGGTACAAAAACATATTTCACTTTGTAAAGAAGTCTGTGAGAAAATATAACTCTGTGATTGTATAGACACGTTTCCTGATAATACATTGACATTCACGAACAGTAGATTGCACTGCAGTTTGTACACATTTTAAGTTTCATAAACTTCTCCTTGATTTTCAAAGAGAGTACAATACCATCTACTAAAACTCCTTTTTGTTTCAACTAAGTATCTCACATATATTAGTTTATAATAATGTTTCTATTATTTTTTAAAGTGTTTTCCATTCAAGGAAAAAGAAGTAAATTCCTATGTCAGAGTAACCAAGGTGGTTGAAGAATAGGTATTAGCCAAAGAGGTCTAGATGGTAAAATCAATCTTCAAGCCTCAAAGAATCTCCGTGAACAGAGAGGAATGCCAGGTGTCACACAGCTTTCCTTCACTCTAATTCATTCTTGACTAGAGCCTGTATGCCTGTTCCAGGGACGTTTGAACTCATAAAGGATTTCTTATGATCTTCACTAAATACATTAAGAAGAATGCCAACCAGTGCCCTTTTGTGTACTGGGACATGTAGTCATGTGATTAAAACAGGTAACATGAACTCTGACTTTAAAATGTATTGTAGATACAAATGCTCTAAGCTAGGAAAGGTTTTCCACATCCACAGTCAACGATGGGAACCTTTCATTCCTCAGAAATAAGCCCTTTTTAGGTCATCGAAAAAGAGTACAACTGCTGCAGCTCATGATGCAATATCTTCATGAGCCCAGAGCACATACAAATCCTAAGGGAACCACCATAATACACCGCTAATTCCTGGCACCGGAACAGATGAAACACACTCTATCCTGCACATACCTGCCAGAGGAGGCCACTTTCCTCTTCTGTGAGATTTAAAAAGCTCCCCCAAAAGGTTATCACTCCCATCACCAATACACAGAAAATGGAGGAAAGGCTGTTTCCAGTTCTTGGCCTTTAAACAACTCTAAATGTCAGTACTCATAGTGGCGTATTACAAAGTAATAAACAGTGCACACTTGGGGGCAAACTACATATTGAGCTAAGGAAGAGCTCACTGTGATTAAGATTAGATCAAACAACAGCAGAACATAGGCAAATTTTGTCTGAATGCTGTAGTGAATATACATGCTGCAATAACATTAAAAAAGCATGGCAGCCTATTCCAAACCAAAGAGAACAGTTTTGGGCAAAGAGTGGGTCTTTGTGTGTTTGAACTCCCACCACGTAAGGGCAAACTCGATATGCACGCTAATGACCTACAATTATGAAATTAAAAAAGAAAAATGCTAAAGGATGCCAGAGTGAACATCAGTGAGAGCCACAGACACCCACTCTCTTTTAACTTTTTACAAATAAACTTAAACTATAAATTAGAAACACAAATAATCATGAGTGAGTCTAACATTCAAAGGAAGTAAATGAATTGTGTAGGAGATTAACCCCATAACTTGGTTTCTTATTTAAAAATTTCTTGAGCAGCTCTTTGAGGATGGTGATGTTTATCTCCTTCTTCTTGGCAGCCAAGCCCAGCACAAGAATGGCACACAGCAGTTGCTGCCCAAGCCTGGGTGCTCCTCGTGGTCCTGCACGATCGGCTGTGCAGTAGGCTTGTCAAGGAGAGGATCCTCCCTGGCCTCTCCTTGGGCAGAGGAGGTGAGGCTCACCTCACGAAGATCTTTGGAGAGAGGGAGGCAGGGATCTGAGCACAGTGGGAGCCCCCTCTTCCTGCCTGCCCACCCCACCTGAGGGCTCTACTCACCACCATGCTTGTCTGCAGCCCCAAGCTCCTGGGGAGCTGGGGCTCCTGGACCGGGCTCATCAGCAGGGTTGTGGGCAGCGGCCAGGAATTTTCTGTGCCCATTGTTGTAGTTGCTGTAAGCCGCAATACCATCTGCTGCAGCTCCAGCAGCTTCACCTGGAGGGAGGGGTGCTCAGCTGCCATGCCGCTGCTTGCGCCCACCCTCACACCCACCCCCACCCCCACCCCCACAGAGATGTTGCACACCCTACCTTCATCTCCTCCCTGAGCTCCAGCCTGATGGTGTCCTCCTCCCAGTGCCGCATCTTTGGCACAGCCCCCTGGTTCTGATAAAAGGTGATGGGTTTTCCTGCGGGAGGACAGGGCTCAGACGCTGGGGCCCCTCCGACGGCCCTGTAGCTCCCCCTGCCGTGCCCTGGCCTCCCACTCACTGATGGCGTCTGTCTCGCCAGTGGTGGATGAAGCAGAGTTCTTTTTTCACCAGCTCACTCAGGTCTGCCTTCTCCTTCAGGTGGTCCATAAAGCTGCTCTGGAGCCAAAATATTGCAGTCACATCTCGGCAGCGACCTGCCCTCAGGTGGCATTTTCAAGTCATGGAGAAGGCGGAGGTGAGTCCTGGCATGGGCCAGCTTCTCCGTGACTTCCTGCAGGGCCCAGTGGGTCTCCCCACTCACAGACTCGCCCCCAGGCCCTGGGGCTCCAGGGCCTCTGGCTGCCTCTGGCTCCTTCTGGGCTGAGGCCACCGGGTGAGCCAGGCGCTGGCAGCACACCCTCTGCTCTTTCACCTGCTCTTGTAACTGTGCCTGCTTCTCCTGGGCACTAGCTCCAGCGGACTTGAAAAATGCCACCTGAGGGCAAGATGTGAGCATTCTTCTAGGGGCATACACAGAAGAAATGGGGCAGAGAGGTGGAGCGCAGCCCCTTCCCTTGGGGCCTCAGAGAGTGCACCTGTTGGCCACAGGTGAAATGGTGTCTGACCACTGGCTCTCGGAAGGGGTGAGGGTCCAGAGAAATCAGAAGGCAGGGAAACGAAGAGCATAAAGGGGTCTTGGAGGGACCACAGAGAAAGGTGGCAAAATGGGTGCAGGGGGGAGTCAGGCTCACCATGGCCTCCCTGCTCTCCGGGTCCTCTGGGACACTCGGCATGGGCCGAGGTGCCTCCTCCCCCTCACTGTCCAGATGTTCTCCTCCGTGTCCTGTGGGGGGTGGCCAGAGGGGTCTTCAGACAACCCAACAAGGGAGGTACTGTGGGCCCACCTCTACCTCCACCCTCACTGTGTAACCCTGAGCCAGCCCCTCCCCAGAGAGGAATGAGCTGTTGTTCTTTATTTTTACTTTTAAGAATCAAGATCTTGCTATTCCGCCCAGGCACACTCCCACTACTGGTCGATGTGGGAGTTCTGACCTGCTCCCTTTCTGACCTTGGCCAGTTCAGCCATCCTTAGGCAACTTGGTGACCCCCCGCTCACAGGAGGTCACCACACTGATGCCGAACTTAGTGCAGGCACCCGGTCGGCATAATGACCAGCTGTTCTAAAGGTCTCTTCCAACTCCTCAATCCTATGCTGCTAGCAGTCCCCCCTTCCTCCTGGGGCTCTCTCCTCTTCCTCTGAGCAGTCTCCCGTACCTTCCCCAGGGAGAGCCATGAGGCTCAGCTGGGCCGTTAGCTGCTGGTTCTGCTGGCTGGCAGCTTCCAGGTGCTCCTGAGGGGCCAGGACAGAGTGAGAAGGGGTGGAGTTTGCCAGGTCATCCCCCTCACAGCCCCATCCTCGGCAGCTCCCTCCCCTGGGTCTCCTGCAACTTTTGGCAGGCCATCTCAGCCACCGCTTTGCCCCAAGCTTCCTGCTGCTGCAGCTGGTTCATTAGCTGGGTCTGTTGCAGTCACTGCCTGTACAGCGCCTCCTTCTCACAGGTCAGCTGCTGATAGGTGGCCACGTACTGCTGCAGGTGACCCAGGTAATGGTCTGGCTGCTGCTGCAGACTCTGAGCCTCTTGGCTCTTCAGCTCCACCTGCAGGAAGACCCTGGGTGTGAGGGCACGTGGTGGCTGGTTTCCAGATTCTGGGCCCATTAATAGGGTAGCGAGGGCACTGTGGGGCTCTGTCAGCTGCCCAGGCCCCTGTCCCCTTACTCCAGGCCTAAGTGACTGCCTCCCTTTCCTAGAACCCCATGCCTCCTTCCCCAGCCTCAAATCTCATACCCTCTTCTCATTTAATCCTCAGCACCTCTGTAAGGAAAATGCTAACTTCCCTTTGAAGTTAAAGAAACAGAGACTTAGAGATGCAAAGTACTTGAATGGTGACCAGTGGAACCGAGGCTGGAATCCAGTTTTAATCTAAGGAGTCTTTTTGTTTTGTTTTCAGACAAGAGTGTCACTCTGTGGCCCAGGCTGGAGTGCAGTGGTGCAATCTCAGCTCACTGCAACCTCCACCTCCTGGGTTGAAGCAATTCTCGTGCCTCAGCCTCCCGAGTAGGTGGAATTACAGGCATGCGCCACAATGTCCTGCTAATTTTTTTTTTTTTTTTTGTAATTTTAGTAGAGATGAGGTTTTACCACATTGGCCAGGCTGATCCCAAACTCCCGACCTCAAGTGATTCTCCTGCCTCAGCCTCCCAAAGTGCTGGGATTATAGGCATGAGCCACTGCACCTGGCATAAGGAGCCTGTTATACCACTGTCTCTTCCTCTGTGATTGGGGGCTCCATGCCTCTAGCTAGGATGATGATGTCCAGACCTGAGAGGATCCCAGGGCTACCCACCTTTAAAAGTCAGAGGCAGGAAGCAAGAAACAGGACTGCCCTGGGGGGTGCTGTGGTCACCAGCCCCCAGGCTGGAAGCTGCCTCTGGCCTCGTACCTCCCCTCCCCAGAGTCTGCTGCCCGCCTCCCAGCCCTTCTTGGATGGGGTGGAGGTTTCCGTCTCCTTCACCTCGCCAAGCTTCTCCTGTAGCTCCTTTACTTGCTGCTCCAACTGCAGTGCGTTCTTGTTCTCATTGTTCTGGACAGAGAGAAGCAATCAGCAGCCACCCACTGCAGCTGGAGACCCCAGAACTTGGTGTCTGCCTCCCATGGCACTGGGAAGGCTGGAGGCAGGTTAGAAAAATCACTCCCTCTCTCCCACAGCCACCTGGCTCACAGGTGCCTTTAGAAGTAACATTTCATGTGAGGGCTACACTGCCCCATTTTAGAGGTGGGGAAACAAAGGCCCGGAGGGCTAGGGAGGAGGGCAAGCTCCCCAGTTTGGGCAACGCACCGGCTCCTCGAAGACGCTCTGTGGCTTGGCCAGCTGCTGAAGGCTCTTGTGCTGCTCCTGAATCCTCTCCTCCTGCTTCCGAAGCCTCTCTTCCTGCTCCTGAATCCTCTCTTCTTGTCGCTGGTTCAGGAGACTTATGCGCTGATTCTTTTTGACCTGGGCCTGGAGCTCTCCTGCCACTCTCTCTAGTTCCTTCCTCAGGTGCTGCAGCTCCACCTCAGAGGGCACTGCTGGGGGCTCCGGGGGCAAGGGTTCAGCTGACAAAGGAAGCAGATAATAAGGGCCTCTGGATTCTCGGAAAAGAAAAACCCTCCTCTTGGCGCACAGCTCCTCTCAGGCTCCTCAAACTTGGCCTCACTGCTAATGATTCCTCGCACCCAGATGGTAGCCAGTCTTCCAAAGCACTTTCAGAGAAAGAGCACTGCGGGTGGCTGACAACGGGCCCTCTTTCCTGATGGGGACACTGAGACACTGAGACTCATTGAGATGACAAGACTCGCCGTCTCCTGGCACAGATCTCTTTCCCTCTGCCTCAAAGCCCTTCCATCCACCCACCTCCCTGGGGCACTCTAAGCCACCCTCACAGCCCTCTGATGCCAGTCCTGCTCCTAGGTCATGCCAGCCCCATCTTACCCATCTGGTTTTTGAGTTTGGACAAGCTCCTCTCCAGCTCCTCTACCCGACGCATATCTTGCTGCTTCTCTTTCTTTAATGTGCAAATCTGCCCAAAGCACAAGGGGAAAGGGCCTTGGAGAGAGGGGCTGGTGGCTGGACAGGCTGCCCTCTCCCTCTCTGCCCCCACCTCCACAAAGCCCAGACCCATGACCACCTCTGGCTCTACTATTCCCATTTTACAGATGACCAGAAAGATCCAGTGACCTATCTAATGTGGGGGGGCTGAAGGGTCAGATCTCACCTCCTGCGACATTTTTCTCATCCTCTGCTGCCACCGGGCCCTCTCTCCTTTTAGATGTTCAGAATACTCATCTCTTTCTAATTGGACTTGTTGAAATGACTCCTTCAACTGCAAGAATGGGCACAGAACTTAGGAAGGGCTGTCACTGGTCCTCACCTGCTCCTGGCCACCTGGGGTCATCTTCCTTCCACATAACTCCCTCAGAAAACCTCACCTGTGTCAGCTGCACTTTCAGTAGTGTCTCCTCCCGCATGGACTGCTCTAACTTCCACTCCGTACGTGCTTTGCTGCGGCTGGACAACTGGATGGTGAAGAGTGAGAAGTTTCAATCTGGAGAGCCTGGGCATTTCCACACAGTGCCCCTTAAAAGGGCTAGGGCTAGGCCCAATATACAACTCGGTCAGTAAAGATCAAGGCATTTCCAAGCCCGTGGTCTGGTTTTTAAAAGAACTCAGTAAAGTTGGAACGGACAGGGAATGAGATTGAATTTATAGCTGGCTAACAGAGGCCCAGAGAGATCAGATAATATTGCTATTGTTATTACTGTTATTATTACCACTGTTTGAACCTTTGTGGAATGCTTCACCAGGTACCGTGCTAACAATCCCATTTAATCCTCGCAACCACCATAGGAGACAGTTACTATGATTCCCTCTATTGTGGAGATGAAAAAACATGGAGTATTTGAGGTTAAGTGCTTGCCTAAGTTCACTTAGGCAGAGCTGGGATATAAACACCCAGGTCTATCCAATTCTCTAAGCCCGTTTTTCTTGCTGGGGATGGGGGCACAGATAGGAAGGGGAAAATTAATCTTTTGTTCACTTTTTGAAAGGATGATACATTTGCATAGTCCAAAACTCAGAAGGTACAGAAGGGAAGTATCTCCCGGCCATCTTGTTGCTCTCTCCTGACTTTTTTATGAACCCTTGCAGACATGTTTTATGTATATTATCACAGTATGCACACACACACACACACACACACACACACACACACACGCACACACGTTTCCTCTTTCTACAGAAATGGTAACATACTAAAGGTACTCTTCTGTACCTTCACAGTACAAGTACCCAATACCCCACCTAGGACTAGGACTTGCCCAAGACCACAGACAGGTAAGGGCGGGGCAGGCACTTGGCCTCCAAGCTCTGCGTCCAGTGCTCACTCCACACAGTGACCCCCAACTCACCCACAGCAGCTGACTCAGCCCCAGGCTGCCACTAAAAACCATACAAAAAAGTAGCAAGAAATGGCCATGCTGCCTTCTGGGCAGGACACTCCATCCTGCAGAAGGGACCTTTAGGCTCACTCCTCCATCTGCAAAGCCAGGCTCCCAGGGGATGGGGCAGGTGGTTGGACTCACCTGGTTTGCCTTCTTCTTCTGTGTGGCCATGACATTAGAGAGAACACTCTCTAACTCTCCTTTACGCTGCAATGAATGTTGCAGGCGGACAGCCAGATCCTTGGACTTTTCTGTAATGAGAGAGTTGAGATGGGGCCCAAAGGACTCCCCCTGAAGACCTGTCAAAGTGCCAGGTTGAAGGATGACAGGGTGCCCAGATTCCCACCTTCAAAGTATCTGAGAGAACGTTTCATGTGGTACAGGTCCGTATTTAGTTCCTCTTTCTGTATGTTCAATGTCTGGATTTGAACCTTTGGGAGAAAAGCCAAGCAAGTGCTGAAAGAGAAGGAAAGAAACCTTCTCCGGAGGACAGGAGGAAACTGCACACCCTCCACTCACCTCTAGCACCCTTTTGGCTTTCTGTTTCTTGTTGTTTGCTTTCTTTTCCTGTAGGAAGAGGAAGACAGAGCTCTTACCAGGGGGAGGCAGAGATGGCACAGCAAGAGACATGCCCCCAGAATGCCACCAATGCCCCAGGACAGGCCCACCCATGGGACCAGGTTATCAGGGGCCCTGTGGGGATGGGGTGGAATCTGAAGGGTGAGCCTTCATCCCCAGGCTGGGAGTGGGTGAGACGAGACTGGGGCCTGTATGTCTGAGTGCCCCCCAAACCCAGCAGTCATGTTGCGAGGAAACGAAATCACGTTACTTCTTCCAGCTGATGTTCCACTTGTTTCTTCTGTTGTTTCTGTGGGGAGAGTCAAATAAGGTGGTGGAGGGTGGCCCCCTCAACTCTATTCCCCAGACCAGGAAGCGGTAGGCAGGGGCCAGGAATGGATTTTAAAGGCAAAGTTCTCAGACATAATGGGAACACGAACCGGTAAACTCTCCTCAAGCTCCCAAGGACAGAGGATTTGGGTCTTTGTTGGCTTTTGCCCACAGCCACAGAACTCAAAGTCTGAATCTGGAATCTCTTGAGAGGACAGCAATATAAACCTCTAGAGATGGAGTTTCAGAAAGGCCCCTCCTTCTGGCAGCTTGTGATTTAGAGAAGTGGGTTCATTCAATAAACATTTACTGAGCATGTATGGGCCAGGTACGGTTCTTTACAGCAGATATAGGATGGAAAAGGACAGACAGGAGCCCTTAGCCCTGAGGTTTCCGTTCTAGGGGGCCTTTAAATCTCAGACTCGAGAGCTAACAGAGACCTTTGATACTCACTACCTCCTCTGGAAACACGAGCCCAAAAAGGAGAGGTGGCTTGTCCAGAATCAAAGAGCAAATTAGGGACTGAGTCATGGCAGAAATACGGGGCCCTTGACAACCAGTCAGGCTAGCACTTCCCCAAGAGGCAACAACCCCAGGGCGTGTGTAGCAAGGACTCGAGCAGGGGTGTCTGGAGAGGAGAGAGTCGGCAAAGAGGGCAGCAAAAGAAGAGCCATGCTGCATGCTCTGGGGTCCCTCCAGGTGAGGCCTGGGCACCCAAGCTCCCTATTTGTCCCAGGCACCAGGGACCCCCAGCCCCTTTCTTCAGGGCCCCAAGGGGAAACTGGAGCCCAGGATTGGCAGCGTGGAATCAGGGGACCCCAGTGGACTCTTACCAGAGATTTGATGGTGTTCTTCAGTTGACTGATTTCTACGGACCTTGAATCCAGGACTACTGCTCGTTCTTGGCACGGGCTCTGAGGTGCATGCAGAGAGGAGGAGGTGGAGCAGGAGTGGGGGGAGAGGTAGAGAGAACAATCATTAGGGCTGGGGTGTGTGGGCTGTCTCAGCTGGCAGAGGGGCACCCAGTCCCACCTGGAGGAGGAGGTTGGAGGGTTGACCCGAAGGGTCACTGCACCTCCGCCCAGAGCCTCTTACCTCCAGATCTTTCAGGGTAGCAGATGATGTAGGGCCTTCCCTGTGGAAACCTGTTGCTGACTACAAGAGATGAGAGTGCACATGGAGATGTTCTGTCCCCCACAGTGTCTGAGCCCTCTGACTTCCTTTCTTCCCCATCAACTGGCAACATTTTCTTTTCTGCCTATCTTGGACCTTTTGTCCCATAACTCCTTTGTGCCAACTTCTCTCATGGTTCTTATCTCCCCACCATCCCATCCTGGGGCCCCTTCAGTGACTCCTGATGGCAAGTGGCTGTTCTCATTGTCCTGGTTTCCCCCTGAGACTGGGGATGAGGAAAATCAAACCATATCCTGGGTGTTCTGAGTGTTTACAGCAGGCCATGTACTAGGGATTAACATAAAAACAACAATAACAAATCTCATTTAAACTTCACAAATGGAAGTGAAACAATAACACCTCTATTATACAGATGTGAAAAGAGAGGCCCGATGAGGTCTAGCAACTTGCCCTAAATCATATCCCTAGCAGAGCAGATGGAGAGGCAGGATTCAAACCCAGAATTCCTTTTTTTTTTTTTTTCTTTGAGACAGAGTCTTGCTCTGTCACCAGGCTGGAGTGCAGTGGCATAATCTTGGCTACTGCAAGCTCCACCTCCCAGGTTCACACCATTCTCTTGCCTCAGCCTTCTGAGTAGCTGGGACTACAGGCACACGCCACCACGCTTGGCTAATGTTTTTGTATTTTTAGTAGAGACAGGGTTTCACCGTGTTAACCAGGATGGTCTCGATCTCCTGACCTCATGATCCGCCTGCCTTGGCCTCCCAAAGTGCTAGGATTACAGGCGTGGGCCACCACACCCGGCTAAAGCCAGAATTCTTAACCAGTACCCAGCAGTCCATCCACAATCTTAAGAATTACCCTCTATTGCCCCTTGGGCCCCCTGTCCCCAGAAGCCTGGTCAGCCAAGACTCACATCCCTAGGTGGCTGGCAACCACCAGAAGTGGCTTTCTCAGGGATACTGCCATTTGTTTTCCTGTTCCTGTTCGCTCCTGCTGGAACTCTAGGGCTGTTTTTCTGCCAATATTCTTTTAACTGTTGGAAAGAAGAGCAGTAATACTCATGAGAACCGTCAGCCCCTACAGCCACATCCTCCTTTACAGTTTTTACAAAATACACTTACACACCATCTGATTTAATGACACCAACAACTGTACAAGGTGTTGTCACACTCATTTAGTGACTGAGAAGGATTGATATCATGGCTAGAAAAAAAAAAGAAAAAGGCAATACTGGAACTTTGAAACTCAGTCTTCTGACTCCAAGCTCTGAGGTTTTGCCAAGAATCAGCAGCTGCCAGGGACCAAAACCAGAGGCAGAGGTAGAAAAGTAAACATTAAGTAGGCAGGAACTGTATGCCATGTGGTTTAGAGTCACACATCCTCACACGTCTGTTAGTGTGAAGAAGTGCACCAGTACCTCTCAAACTCTTATATCAATGTGTCCTCATGGCAGAAGGCAGCCTTTCTCTTAAATCAGAATTTATCAGAAAGAGGACAACCCAAGCCTCATTTCAGAGAGAGGTCTGGTATACTCTTAGAAACCTATGTGACTGTCATCCCTAAGTACATTCATGTTTTTTCTCTTGATCTCAAGAGAATCAAGGGAAACTGATGCTTCAGAAAGATGTCCCATATTTATCCTGTGGCACTCAAAGTACCCAAGGTTGAGATAATATGAGGAAGATTCAAGGTGTCAAGTTCAGTTTCCCAAGATCTATTCCACAGAAGATGAGCAAATGTCACTTCAGAGACCACTGACTGAAGGAGAGTCTGGTCCCAGAACCATGGAGAATTAGAATATGAGGTGGAGAACTCAGAAAAAAATGTTAAAATCTCTCTGGAAAGTAGAAGCCTGGGAGAAAACCAAACCAAACCCATTCTCTCATTGCCACCCAGAGATACTGTCAACGTTTTGAGTTCATGGGGGAAGTGTAGGCTTTTCCCACCGTCAACATCTGTAAGGGAGTGAGGCAGCCTGGAACCTCTTGCTCCTAGGTCCCATAGTCTCCATTCCCCTTCCAGCTGGAAATTTGTGCTGTGACCAGAGGAACCAGAAACGGGGTGAGAACGCTTAGGGGACTGGGTCGTAAGATCAAAGGCCAGTCTTGCAGTAACAGCAGTTACTAGGTGGACTGTGACATCACAACATTCCACTCCTCCTGGTCGGGGGGAGGGACCATGTCAGCACCATGTCCAAGTCGCTGCTCCACGATGGGGGAGGGAAGCACAGGGTTGTGACCCAGCTCCTTGGAGACGCCAGCACAAAGAACCCAGGGAGGTCGACCTTGAGGCAGCAGGAGGGGAGGGCACAGTCTGCAGCAGGGAGTCCCAGGAGTCACCAGTCCAAAGTCACCCAGGGATGACTGGCGAGGGTGGGGCCTGGCTCCTTGGAGATGAGAGCCCAAAGAGCCCAGGGAGATCAAGCTTGGGGCGGCAGGAGATGAGGGCCCAGTAATGGAGCGGGAAGCCCCAGGACTCACCCACCCAAAGTCACCCTGGGGTGATTGGCGAGGGCAAGGACTGGGCTGCTTGCTGAAGGGGTGGGGCTGACTGACAAAACTTTGGTGGGGGTAGCCCAGAGGCACCGGGGTAGGGGGGACCAGTCCAGTGTGCCTCAGGAGTCGTATAGACTCTGGCAGGGGTCTTGTCATCAGAGGGGATCTGTGGCTGGGTTGAGGGGCTATGACCTAGTGCGTTTTTACCTTTTTCTTGGCTGCAGCCAATTTGTTGTGTTGAGTTTCTTCTGCCATCACAGGGTGGGGAGGGAGGCAGGGTTGGGGTCACAGCAGCAAAATCTCAATGAGAACCGATCAAGGCCTCCAGTCACCTACCAGGCAGCTGTGTGACTGAGCCAGAGGAGGCGTAACCAGGGCCCCAGTAGAATGCGGAATAGGGGCGTGGCCTTAATGCTCCAAGCCCATTGGTCAATGAGAAAGATGAAAAGGAAAGGGGGCGTGGCCAGAAAGCAGTGTGTCCAGAGGGACCTGTGGCTCACAAGGAAAGCTGCCCATGGCAACTGCTCTCCCCACCCACTCTAAGAGAGGGGAGAGGCCTCCCACTCTGGAAGACAAGAGGGGCCGGCTTTTGCTTTAAAAGCTTTAAAACTTTAAAAAATATATGTGTGTATACTTTATATATATGTGTGTCCGTGTGTGTGTATCTATGTTTTTCTCCATAGCTGTCTTCATTATCCAGCTTCTATGCAAGGTCTATGATTTTGGCCTATATTCTTCATCTTTGATTACAGTACAAAAATTACCAGTATTACCTTAACTGAGATACAGATCCTATAAAAATGGAAAATGCATAGCATGCTTGATGATTAATGAAGCAGACTATATTATCCAACATTCTAATAAGATAAAATAATCACAATGATTTCTCTTTTTTGGAAAAATGTTTCTTTTATTCTCCTACGTTTTCATTAAGATTTTTTTTTCTTAAACAAGAAACATGTCTAATATCTGTAAAAACACAAAGCTTTTGGGCCGGGTGCAGTGGCTCATGCCTGTAATTCCAGGACTTTGAGAGCCCAAGGTGGGTGGATCATGAGGTCAGGAGATCGAGACCATCCTGGCTAACACGGTGAAATCCCATCTCTACTAAAAATACAAAAAAGGCCGGATGTGGTGGCAGGCAACTGTAGTCTCAGCTACTTGGGAGGCTGAGGCAGGAGAATGACATGAACCCCCGAGGTGGAGCTTGCAGTGAGCCAAGATCATGCCGCTGCACTCCAGCCTGGCTACAGAGCAAGACTCCATCTCAATAAATAAATAAATTAATTAATTAATTAATAAAAATAAAAAATTAATAGTAAGAGCAATGTGAACAAAAGTTGTAATAAAATAATTTAGAAAATACAAACTATTAAAAAATAGATTTTAAAACTTGTGCAACAAAGTCAAACAGCACCCAACGAAAATGTATACCCTTACATGTTTGTTTAAAAAGCAATTTAAATTACATTGATCCACTAAACTGGGAAAAGCAAAACAAACAAAAAGGGGGAAATAATTAAGACATAAGGAAAAAGGAAAAAGAAAAACCACTAGATTTAAAAAATAAAACTGAAGGAGGATTCTTTCAAAAGACTGAGATAATAAAACAGTCAAGCCTCTGATAAGTAATCAAGATAAAGAAAACTTTGAAGAGAAAAGGGCATATAGCCACATGTGAATATGATGCAAAAAGTGAAAACTTTACACATCTTTACAACACCTTAGAAGTATGGATGACATGTTCATTTTTTTTTTTTTTTTTTTTTTTTTGAGACGGAGTCTTGCTCTGTCACCCACGCTGGAGTGCAGTGGCGTGATCTTGGCTCACTGCAAGCTCCGCCTCCCGGGTTCACAACATTCTCCTGCCTCAACCTCCCGAGTAGCTGGGACTACAGGCGCCCGCCACCACGCCTGGCTAATTTTTTGTATTTTGGCTTAGTAGAGACGGGGTTTCACCATGTTAGTCAGGATGGTCTCGATCTCCTGACCTCGTGATCCACCCGCCTCGGCCTCCCAAAGTGCTGGGATTACAGGCATGAGCCATCGCACCCGGCCAAAGTGTTCATTTTTTTTTTTTTAAGAACCTACAGTTATGAAAACTAACTGGAAAGAAATGGGTTTTGGGAAAGATTGAGTACATTTTTGTGATGTTCAACATTATTTTTTCTTACAGTTTTAAAAACACAATTGATATTTCTATCAATTTGACTTAAAAAAATTAAGAACTATATTAAAATTTACCAGCAGAGGGGAGTGAAGGAACACAAAGCAACTTTCAGTTTAGGGTAATTTTTGGGCATAAACAGGGCAGCAATGTCCTCAACTCTATTCTTCTTTATTAGCCAGTGAATCCATGTGAGCTCATTAAATGTTATTAACAGCTCAGTCTATAATGGAGGGCAAATAAAGAGACTTGTAGGTCACAAAGGTATTGACTTTTGATCAGAAGTTCCAGGGGGCGAGAAGAATGAACTAACTCCATGCATTCTTTTTTTGTTTTTGTTTTTGTTTTTTTTTGAGACGGAGTCTTCCTCTTTTGCCCAGGCTGGAGTGCGGTGGCTCAATCTCGGCTCACTGCAAGCTCCGCCTCCCAGGTTCACGCCATTCTCCTGCCTCAGCCTCCCGAGTAGCTGGGACTACAGGCGCCCACCACCACGCCCAGCTAATTTTTTGTATTTTTTAGTAGAGACGCGGTTTCCTCGTGTTAGCCAAGATGGTCTTGATCTCCTGACCTCGTGATCTGTCCGCCTCGGCCTCCCAAAGTGCTGGGATTACAGGCATGAGCCACCGCGTCCGGCTCCATGCATTCTTATGGCCACATTTTTCCAGTTTGAAGTTTTATTTTCTGAGTTTCTTGAAACAATTGTGAAATCAGTTTTATTACACTAAAATCACTGTATTTTCTTATTTTTGGATATCTATTTAAAAATATTCATTTAGAATGACATTCCAGTGAAATACATTTTTAACGGCTGTTCTATGTCACAGGGATAACAATTTGACTTTCACAAACTGTATTTCAGACGTACAAGGTCTTCATTTTGATGAAGAGGGGCTGTGGGAACGTAATCTGATGCCTGTTCAAAATGTACCAGAAGTGCACGCATGTGTATGCAGGCATGAGCGCACACACACACACACACAAAACCCCATTGGGATTCCATTTAGCACACACACACACACACACACACACAAACCCCACTGGGATTCCAGTTAGCACGCACACACACACACACAGACACACACACACAGCCCATTGGGATTCCAGTTATTTACCTCGAGATGGATGCTTGCTGATGTTCCAAAACCTCTTTAGGTCTTAAGGCAAAGGGCCTTTTGAATGCAAAAACCCTTACCTAGATGGAATAGACAGCAGCAATCATTGTCAACAACCTGAAATATATATTGAGTAGTTCCCATGCTAGACATTAGAGACATAAAGATGCAGAAGAGGCCATCGCCTTAAGGGAAATAATCCCGTTCAGACAAATGAGAATACATTGTGTAATGAGCTATCTCTTATAGAAAAGATGAAGACCAATCACCAACAGACCAGAATTCCAATATTTCACCAACTTGTAATATTATTCCAACTTCTCCTTCACATTCACTTAATTCTCATAGAGCAGTAACCAGAGTTTTGTGTTCTTTTTCTTTTTCTCTTCTTCTTCTTTTTTTTAAAAAACAAAGTCTTGCTTTGTCGCCCAGGGTGAAGTGCAGTTGTGCGATCTCGACTCACTGCAGCCTCCACCTTTTGGGTTCAAGAGATTCTCATGCCTGAGCCTCTTGAGTAGCTGGGATTACAAGCATCTGCTACCATGCATGGCTAATTTTTGTCTTTTTAGTAGAGACAGGGGGTTTTATCACATTGGTCAGGCTGGTCAGTTTTGTGTTCTTACTAGAGAGTTCTACTCTGTTATGTCAGAGAAGGAAAATGTCTTTTGATTTCATTTCAATGAAATGTCTATTCATTAATTACATCTTCATTGGCATTTCATACAGGATTAAGACTATCTTCTTTGCCTTAATGGTATACTGTGTGCATTGTTCCTTACCCATCGTAGCAGCTTTGAAGGTCTTTTATCCATATTGGTATTTTCCAGTACCAGAAAACCAAGTCTTGAAAGAAGGACTTCATGTCTTATCCATGGACACGCCATGGTTCCAGAATGTGTTGTCAGTTGATAAGATAGGCTTGATTTGTTACTGGTCTTAATGAGGGCTTTAGGTCAGCACACCAGGCAATGTAGGAGTTCTGGGACTGTTAGGGAAGGCCTGATGGAGAAAATGGAATGTTAGCTGGGCTTTAAAGAGAAAGTAGAAATTAGATCACTGGGGGAGGGGGTAATGTAAAAAACATTCCAGGTAAGAGAAAGTGCTTAGCAAGTAAGAAAGCATCCAAAATATTAGAAAGTACCAGGCTGGTGCAGTGGCTCACACCTGTAATCCCAGCACTTTGGGAGGCCAAGGCAAGTGGATCACTTGAAGCCAGGAGTTCAAGACCAGCCTGGCCAATATAGTGAAACCCTGTCTCTACTAAAAATACAAAAGTTAGCGGGGCATGGTGGCATGAACCTGCAGTCCCAGCTACTTGTGGGGCTGGGGCTGAGGCTGAGAATCTCTTGAACCTGGGAAACAGAGGTTGCAGTGAGCCGAGATCACACCACTGCACTACAGCCTGGGCAACAGAGCGAGACTCTGTCTCAAAAAATAAATGAATAAATAAGTAAAATAAAAAATAAAATGCTTACAGGAACTTCAACCACAATTTTTCTTGTTCACTGATAGTAAATCTAATAGAGAATTCAGGATTTATCTTACACTTGAAATTTTGTTACTGATTACTGAAAAATTATCTACAAGCACCCAATTGTGAGTTTTACAGAAACCTGGTCTCAGGAGTTATGAACCAAAGATTCACCAGTGGACTCCGCAGAGTTTTCAGATCCCCTGAAATCATGTGCTAGGTGCTGACTGCATTTTTCTGGAGAGGCTATAATGGTTTTCATTCATCTGATTCCTCTCAAATGGTAAAAATCACCAGTGGAATGGAGCCACACATCCTGTAGCAGAAACTTCTAAAAAACCAGGAAAAAGATGAAACGTGGTACCATGTACCTGCTCAGCCTCTACAGATCCTGCTTCCAGAAGTTGAAACAAATTCTTAAAACTTGCACAACTTTTTTTCTAGTGCTTGAATGACCTCTAGTGGCTCCTTAAATTATCACAGCCAATTGCTCACAGCAGGAAATAGGTTGATGTAAAAGAAATTCACAGATTTTGCCATTAAAAGTAACGAACTAAAGAACTAAAAGGTGTGGAGAAATAATAAAATTAAGATGGCATCACAAAGGAGCACCTGGCTCAATTTCAAGTTATTATATAAGCTCCCTACTATCCAACCAAATGTAGTTCACAATACAGTGTGTGTAATTCAAAACAGTTCACCAGATAGTTCAGTACACACCATTTTTTAAATGAAATAAGTATGATTTTCCCTAAGGTCTTGCATTTCAAATTAATAAAGCATCAGCAAACACCCATGAAGAGAACAGTACCGGAATCAAAGATACAAGAACCTCGGGAATTAACACCCACCCTTTCCTCTCAGTTGAGGCAGGACCAGGAATACAACGTTGACAAAGTATAACTGGAGTAGCAGAAATACTTTGAGAATACAAACTGGCCACAGAACTCAACCTGAGTGAGCACAAGTAACAAATATGGTCCAGGAACTGCTGGGCCAAACTCTCCAAGTGGGAGTGCAGCAGCCGCAACAGCAAGTACCAGTAGAACAAGGGCAGCACATCACCCAGGGTGACAAGCAGGTCCCAGATTACTTCACATGCCCTCTGCCCAGTCCCTTGAGAATTCCTGCAGCAGCAAAACATACCATCTTCCAGGCACTGCTACAGGGAGTCCCAAGCATACTGATACACTTTCATTCACTTATTTCAAAATATTTGTCAGTATCTAGATATACACAAGACACTGTCTAGGCACGGGGGTGGAGTGTTGAACAAGACAATTCACAATCCCTGTTCCAATGGAGCTTGTAGTCTAGTATGGAAAGAGAAATAAATACATAAAATGCCAGGTGGTGATATATGCTGTGAAAAAGATCAAGTAGAACAAGGGGTTTGGAAATTACAGGGTGCCCATAGTATTCTTTTCTATAAGTTGATCATCTCAATTCAGACTAGCTGTTCTTCAAGCACTCAATAGCCACAGTGGCTGGTGGCTACTATACTGGATAGTGGAACACATCTGAAACTATCATCCATGCCTTTTTAATTCACAATCTTTATCCTCTTTCTTTCTGAATCCTAAGAGAATTCATCCAACTGATCTTCAAATTCACTAACTCAGCTTCCTAAAGTATCCATAATCTACTGCAACTACTGAATCATTTAATTCAACAGTCATATTTTACATATTCAGAGGCTCTTTCTTCACAGCTTCTGAGCAACAAATGCCTGCTCTGACGATGCATGAATATCCTCTAAAATCTTGGGACTTTGTCTTGGACTTTATGTTCTCTCCCATCTTCTACAGCTACTCCATCTCACTGGAGACCTTTTGCTCTGAGCCATCAGAAGGAACCCCCATTTTTAAGATCCTAAGCCTTCTCATCTTCCTGGTAATACTGCCCTATATGCTCAATCTTTTAGATAAAAATCTACTCGACACATCTCTGAGAACCAAGTTGGGTACCATCAGTAATCACACAGGTCACAATTCATTTATTTTAGGCCCCCCAAAAAAGGAAAAAATTAGACTTAGTGGCATTTTACTAGTAGCTCAGAGATCCAACAGTTTGCAGGAAATAGAGATGTAATTGTAAGCAAGGGAAATACAGTGAAATTATATTAATCTCCACCCAGACACTGTAAGGCCAGCTGGTATACTATCCCAGCAATTGGCTACTGCAGTGAATGGCACAGAGAGAAAAGTTTCCAATTCCTCTTGAGGCTCCAAATACCAATTGGCTACTATAGTGGACAACACAGACATAGAAAGTTTTCCAATTCCTCTTAAAGCCCCAAATACCACACAACCAGCTTCAGCTCTACAAAATCCTCTCTCCCTTACCCTTTTTAACTTCCTTCAGGACCTCTTGCTATTTCCCCTAAAAAGCCTTGGTTCTTTTCACCTACACTGACTCTTGAGCCTCTCCCAGTTCAAGGTATAACACTCTATTACCAATAAAGTGTAATATACATTAACAGAATAGGTAGAAAGTAATCTTTCATACGAAAACACTAAAAGCCAGAAGAATTTGAATTTTGAATTATAAGCTATGATTTAATTAGGAAATACATTAGCTGTAACAAAATGTTGGACAGACTACAAGAAAACGGGAAATGAACAAGTCTTATTCAAAAACAAATGAAATAATGATGAGTAGGGTTCACGAGCCTTGTTAACTCTGCTGTGCCATTTTAATGATGGACTACATTGTAAATGAGCCGCTATGTTTAAGCCTAAAGGTCTGTTGAGGTGATAAGTTTTTGAACAATTTCCACAATCCCACAAAGAAAAGTCAAGTGAAGGTCAAGGAAAGCCACATGTTCTAAATTACAGAATCAACAACAGTATTTCTTGTCATTCATCACATTTCAGTCATAAAAGACATTACCTCAACAACAGGTGTATTTTCCTGGAGATCAGTTTTGTGCGAAGCCAGTAAACCAATCACCCGAGCAACCTTGGCCCATCTGTAAACGGAGAGAAAACAGGCTCTGAAGAGAAGAGTCAGGGACTGAGGAAACTAACCCCAGCTAGTTACATTATGCAATGATGAGCATTAGATATAAGACTGTGAAATAAAAATTGAATGTGACAGGTCAGGCCCACACTCCCCCATGTACACAGCCCAGAGAAACTCTCCCTCGTATACACAGGGAGACATGAACTGTAATGTCTGCTGTAATTCTGCAACAGCAACAAAATTTAAACAAGTTATGGTGTAATAGTAAAAGGAAAAACAAAATTTGTTAAAAGCCTTAACCAGAGAAAAGAGCAACACAGTAATTAATCATTTTATTGCTGAGTACAGAGGCATTTGGCTAAAGGTCTCTTTTCTACTTGTTAGTAGATCAGTGAGTTTCTACGTAAGTGTTAAATATCTGAACAATAACATATCTGTATGTATTCATTTTAAAAGAAATTTTTACAATCAAAAGTTTCTAAAATATTGTATTATTTCCATAATCACTAGTCTTAATGAGGTGTGCCTTTAGTATCCAGCAGAAAACTGAATTTGATAAATCACAATTAATAAATCACATTCAGTGTGATTTGAAAAGGTATTTCATGCAGAAAAATTAGTTTTGATGAGAATTTTTTCTAATTGAAACAAATGGTGAGTTGATGAGAACTGCACTCATTGAGTGATGTCTGCATGTTGTCTGGAATAATCAATATGTACCTTAGTCAGCTTTTATTTTTTACCTTCTTAAAATAAACCTATGTGGCACCCATGGAGGAAAACAAATCAGACTCAGAGAAGTACTTCAGGGAAAATGTCTGCGTTATCACAACTCTAACATACAGAAATAATTCTTAGAAATTTCAACACTTATTAAATTGCCCATTAAAATTTCTTAACATATACAAATTAAAGAAGACCTAGGCAATTGTAGAACTAGCATCCTACCTCTGAATAAAAAGATTATAGTTTAAAAGTAATCATTTTGAAAAATATCTGTAGGATAATTGGAAAAGCCATCCTCCCACCACAACCCCCCAAGTAGCTGGGACTACAGGCGTGCACCACCACGCTCAGCTAATTTTTTTACTTTTTGTAGAGATGGGGTCTCGCTATGATGCCCAGGCTGGCCTTGAGCTCCTGACAAACAATCCTCCCATCTCAGCCTCCCAAACTGCTGCGATTACAGGTCTGAGCCACTGCACCTGCCTGTCTATCTCTTTTCAAAGACAAGCTCAAAATACTTTTGAAACACTGAACCATTTTTCAATCTATAAAAGTAAATAATGGCTACCAGATTTAATCAATGGAAATAAAAATGTATCAACAAGCCAATTATTTTCCCTAATATGACCAAAACAATTCCTATTAGAACAAAAGAAAACACACTACCTAAAAACCCTATACTTTTAAAATAGAAACTTTAAATAGCTTATGAATAGTCACTTTTTACCAAAATCCTAAATACAAGTACCACATGCCCCATAGACAACACCCTCACAGTACAGGTTCCTTCTCAAAATTCAGGTTTTCTCAGGTCACCACTCCAGGTGCCCCCAGTGACTTGACACTGTACCTCAGAACCAACCCATCTCCATGACGGCATCTAAGGCACCACTGTCTACCAAACCTTCGTGCACTGACAAATGTCCCACATCTGCACTGTTCAATCCAGTATCCACTAGACACATGACTATCAAGCACATAATATATGACACATGCAAGTGAGGAACAACAAATTTTATTCAAATTAATTTTTTTTTTTTTTTTTGGAAGACAGGGTCATCCAAGCTAGAGAGCAGTGGCGCAGTCTCCGCTCACTGCAATGCCTCCCGGGCTCAAGTAATCCTCCCAATTCAGCCTCCCAAGTAGCCGGGACTGTAGGTGTGTGTCACCACACCTGGCTAATTTTTGTATTTTTAGTAAAAACAGGGTTTCACCATGTTGTCCAGGCTGGTCTTGAACTCCTGAGCTCAACTGATCTGCCCACCTCAGCCTCCCAAAGTGCTGGGATTATAGGCGTGAGCCACTGTATTTGGCCTTAATTTTTATTTTAAAAATTACCCCCACAGTTGAGGGTGAGGGAGACAGTGCCCTGGGGTAATTACTCATCTTTCATGTGCCTAGTCCTGGTTACCTCGTAAGTAGGACCGATAACAATACATACCGCATGTTGTTAAAAGAATCAAAGGAGATAATCCATGTGCAGAAAGTACCATTGTGTCCGACAATACATGCTGAATGAGTAAGCTACTATTAATTTAACTAATTTAAATAACCCCCATGAAGTGAATGGCTACCACATTAGAGCAGAACTAAAATTTTGCAGTTACTTATTCATTCATTGACTGGTTTATTGTCTGTCTCCTCGACCAGCCCAGAAGATCCATGAAGGCAGGACTGTATCCCAATCGCCACTGTGACACCTAGACAGTGCTTGGAGCGCACTCGGGCATCTAAAAATGTTGGTTGAACAAATATATCAACATCAAAAGCAAAATAAACACATTAGTAGGAAAGGAGTGCATAAAAGTATGGCTGTCCAAGGCAAACAAAATGCAAACAGGATTGCCAATGTAAATCTCAGCAGAATTCAAGGCTAAACTCTTCAGAAGAAGATTCCCTTTAAACGAAACACCATATGACCTACAGAAGATCTAAGATGTGAATCTTTATACACCAAATAACAAAGCACGCAAAGTAAACCCATGGTAGTGGTAAACTTCAATTTTCTTCTCTTCCAAGCACAGAGAGAAGGCAATAACGAATATATTAATCAATACATTCACACATTCAAGCATTCTAAATAAAACTAATGAAGTCAAAGTAACAGACGTATCTATCAAACTCTACACCCTACAAACAGTGACCACCCTTACTCAGTGGGAGGCTGCATAGGATGGTGTCTAACACTCTAGAATTCAAAGTCTTGGACCTAGCTCTGGCCCACCATTGGAGGTGAGGGAGACAGTACCCTGGGATAATTACTCATCTTTCATGAGCCTGGTTTCATGTTGTTCTAAGAATCAGGAGATAATCCACATGCAGAAATTACCACTGTGTCCTGACAATTTGTGCTGACTGAGCAAACTACTAGTACTACATTATTATCAATAGTTGACTACATTCATGGCATACATTAAAAATGATTTTATATTGGACCACAAAGAAAAATTATTAGAATTCCCTAGGGCAGAAATTATAAAGGACTCATTTTGATGTAGTAAAAGGAAAAAAGTAAAAATAACAAATACAAACCAAAAAACCTAAACACGTGTGGAGTTAAAAGCACTTCTCCTGGGCATGGTGGCTCACGCCTGTAATCCCAGCACTTTGGGAGTCCAGGGCAGGCTGATTACTTGAGGTCAGAAGTTCAAAACCAGCCTGGCCAACATGGTGAAATGCCATCTCTACTAAAAAATACAAAAATTAGTCAGGCGTGGTGGTGGGCGCCTGTAATCCCAGCTACTTGGGAGGCTGAGGCAGGAGAATCGCTTGAACCCAGGAGGTGGAGGTTTCAGTGAGCCGAGATCGTGCCACTGCACTCCAGCCTGGGCAACAGAGTGAGACTCCGTCTCAAAAATAAATAAATAAATAAAATAAAGCACTTCTAAACCTTATACATCATATTAAAAAATAAAAACTTTGGCCAGGTACAGTGGTTCACACCTGTAATCCCCAGCACTTTAGGAGGACAAGATGGAAGGATCACTAAGGCCAGGAGTTCAAGACCAGCCTGGCCAACAAAGTGAGACCCTGTCTCTAAAAAAAAAAAAAAAAAAAAAAAAAATTTAATTTAGCCAGGCATGGTGGCATGTACCTGTAGTCCCATTCCAGTCTGGGGAACACAGTGAGACCCTATTTTTTTTTAGAGTGAGTCTCTAAAAATAATAATAATAATAAATACATAAAAGAAACAAAAGGAAAAATAAAAGGGAAAGGGAAAGAAATAAAGCATCCCTAAATCACAATCGTGTAAGTAACACAGATGCAAACTTATGAGATATTCTCTGTCTTTAATGATTGCACACTGAACACTTGACACTCACTTTTCTGAACCCTCCAGAGTCTCTAAAATACAAGCTCTTTTTATTAAATGATAATTGGAAACAAAAAGGAGGGCTAAAAGTGGACTAGAAAGTTTGAGAAAATCTCAGATGACATGCACAAATAGAATTAAGACTGACAGAGAATCAACAAAGGAATCCCCTGTCTAAGAACCACAGGTAGACAGACGTTCCCAAGGAAGCCTCAGGGACTTGGAATAAACTAAGACAAAAAGAAAGAATGAGCCACAGGACAATAATCAGATTAAACAACTGCACAAGGAAAAATTGTGTCCTTGTACAAGGAACAGCAGAGCCAATCAGGTCCTGTCTCTTTTCCATCTCCCTTCCCTGGTACACAGAATAAACCCTGCAGCCCTGGCCTCCTGAGTAAATGTGGAAAATCATTCCTACAGTGAGCAATCCACCTTGCTCACTGGATGGATGGATGTGGGAAGCAGCAACTGTGGTCCTCCAGATACCGAAGCGGGGAAGGGAATAAATGAGGAAAGCCAGCTCCACTGCAAAGAAAAACCCACCCTGGCAATTGCAGAGGCCTCCAGCCTGCCTACTGATCTTCAGCCAGCTGGAATCCCAAATTAAAGTCAACCAGTCAACAGGCCTCACCTACCCACATACCAGCCCTTTCTTTAAAGGAGAAGCTATTGGAGAAAGAGACTTAGGCAAGAATAAAGGAAACTCATATTGCCAACTTCTATACCAATCAATTTAATCATTTATTCATAATATAAATGAAGAACCAGAGATCACCAGGCATTTGAGAAATAAACAGCATTAAAAAGCAGGACCATGATGAAAAAGAAGTGACCTGCAAGTTCAAGAGATAAGAATACAATGTTCATAATCCTAATTTTGTTCCCTTTTTTTCAAAGTCCAGGTTCCAGGCTTATATTATATAATCCTAATGTTTAGCCTTAAATATTAATAACAATATTTAATTCTAAATTCTGCTCCAAGATGAGGATTTTTATAATCCTAATATTTATCCTCAAATTCAAAAGTATATTATATACCAAATATAGGCAGCTAGGAAAAAGGACCAATCAGAGAAAAAGAAAATGAACAAAAACTTTCAAATATGATTGTTGAAATTAAAAAATTAACTGGAAATCCTAAATAATAAAATGAGTGGGGATAAATATCAAGTTTGAGAGCTCAAAGATAAAGTCAAGGAAGAGCAATAAAAGAAGAAAGTTTGCATGGACACAAAGAGGGAACAATCGACACGGGGGCCTATTTAGGGTGGAGGGTGGGAGGAGGGAGAGGATCAGAAAAAATAACAATTGGTCCTTACCAAGCTTAGTGCCTGGGTGACCAAATAATTCATACAACAAACCCCCATAACATGAGTTCACCTATATAACAAACCTGCATGTGTACCCCTGAACCTAAAATAAAAGTTTAACAAAGAGACTTTGGCAGTTCTTCAAAAGGTTCAACACAGAGTTACCATTTTATCCAGCAATCTCACCACTGTAGGAGAAATAAAAACGTATATGTTCACACAAAACCCTGTGGACAAATGTTCAGAGCACCATTATTCATAATAGCCAAATGTGGAAACAACCCCAAATGTCCATCAAGACCACATAAGCAAAATGTGGAATAGCCATACAAAGATTATTCAGCTAGAAAAAGAATGAAGTACTCACACATTCCACCATACGGAGGAACCTTGAAAACATTATGCTAAATGACAGAAGCTAGACACAAAAGGCCACACACTGTATGATTCCATTTATATGAAATATCAAGAATAGCAAATCAGCTGACAAGAAGTAGATTAGTTGTTGCCAGGGGTTGGAGAAGAATGGGTACTGGGTTTCACTGGGTGAGAAAACTGTTCTCAAATTAGATAGTGGCAATGGTTGAACAGTTTTCAATATACTGACACCTACTGAACTGTACACATTAAAATGGTGAATTTTATGGTATGTGAATTATATCTCAATAAACAAGAGAAAGTGAGAAAGCAAAAGAAAATTTGAAAGAAGAGTCATGAGACACAAACTCCCACACCCATCCTGTAGGGGTTTCAGGAACAGAAAAAGGGTGAAATAGAGAGGAAGAAATCTAGGAAGTAATATAATAGCTAAAGGAGGGGTGAGGAGGCTGGGCATTGTGGCTCACACCTGTAATCCCAGCACTTTGGGAAGCCAAGGCGGGAGGATCACATGAGGTCAGGAGTTCGAGACCAGCCTGGCCAACATGGTGAAAACCCATCTCTAAACTAAAAATACAAAAATAAGCTGGGCATGGTGGCGTACAACTGTAATCCCAGCTACTTATGAGGCTAAGGCAGGAGAACTGCTTGAACCCGGGAGGCGGAGGTTGCAGTGAGCCAAGATTGCGCCACTGCACTCCAGCCTGGGCAACAGAGCAAGACTCTATCTCAAAATAAATGGAAAGAAAAGAAGGGAAGGAAGGGACGGGAGGGGGGAAGGAAGGGACGGGAGGGAGGGAGAGAGAGAGGAAGGGAAGAAGGAAGGAAGGAAGGAAGGAATTAAGGAAGGAAGGAAGGAAAGAAGGAAGGAAGGAAGCAGGCAGGCAGGCAGAAGCAAATTAGTAAAAAGAGATGGCAGGCAGGCAGGCTGAAGCAAATTAGTAAAATGAAATTCCTAGAGACAATCTAGTAAAATTTACAGGCCTGGAATAAAAAGAAAAGCTAACTCAAACAAGACCTACAAAATAGGGAGGAAAAAAGAAGGTAAGGTTGACTCCCAAGTCCTACAGAGCTACAGTTAGTAAAGAGAAGACAGCTCAAACTCCAAAGCATGGCACAGAGGTAAGCCACTGAGAGGCCTTCTTGAAAACAAAACAAAACAAAAAATCTACCAGCTGGGTGCGGTGGCTCACACCTATAATCCCAGCACTTTGGGGGGCCAAAGCGGGTGGATCACCTGAGGTCAGGAGTTCAAGACCATCTGGCCAACACGGTGAAACCTCGTCTCTACAAAAATACAAAAATTGCTGGGCATGATGGCAGGTGCCTGTAATCCCAGCTACTTGGGAGGCTGAGATGGAATGATCGCTTGAACCTGGGAGGCAGAGGTTGCAGTGAGCCGAGATCACGCCACTGCACTCCAGCGTGGGCGACAGAGCGAGACTCAATCTCAAAAAAAGAAAAAAAAATTGGCAAATGACTTGACTAGACCTTTCTCCAAGGAAGATATACAAATAGCCAACAATCACAAAAAAAGATGTTCAACATCACTAGTCACAAAATACAAATCAAACCCATGAGATACTAACTTCATACCCATCAGGTGTGAAAACACTAATGTTCATAGCAGCATTGTTCACAATAGCCAAAAGATATAAACAAGCCAGTGCCCAACAACAGATGAAAAGATAAACTGTGGTATATTACATACAAAGGGATATTATTCAGCCTTAAAAAGGAATGAAATGCTGACACATGTTAGTTACAACATGGATAAACCTTGCAAATGAAACCAGCCCAATTGTCCTATAGAACTGATGTTTACAGTCTTTTAAAATAAAGATAGAAATTGACCCTCCCAGTCTTAAAACTTGAGAAAGTTACATTTGTCTTATCTGAGTTCCTTTCTTGGGAAACCAACCATCAGGCCTCCCAGATAGTTATCAAGGAACTGAAACTTACCAGATCACCACATCTGGACCATAAGACACCAGACCACCTCACCCATCACAATTGCCTAACCAACTACCTGCTTCCTGTCGACCAACTCCTCTCCCTCACCCTTCCCTAACTCCTGTTTTCCCATACATGGTTACATTTCTTCCCTGCTAAATAAACCTGTGGTTTTAGTCAGTCGAGGAGACAAATTTGAGATTGATCTCCCATCTCCTTAGCTGCAGCACCCAATTGAAGCCTTGTTCCCTAGCAACACTCATCGTCTCCGTGATTGGCTTTCTGCGCTGTGAGCAACAGGACCTAGACCAAACCCCTCGATGTTTCAGTAGCAATATGAGGTACTCACCATAAGCAAATTTACCAAGATAGAATAAGTAGAGTATAGGTTACCAGGACTGGGGAAGGGAAAGGAAAGGGGAAGTTATGTTTAACGGGTAAAGAGCTTCTGTTTAAGATGACGAAAAAGTTCTGGAAATGAATAGTGGTGATGGTTACACAACAATGGGAATGAACTAAATGTCACTGTACACATAAAAATAGCTAAAATGGAACATTTTAAATTATGTGTAATTTACAAGTAACACATTTTAAAGTTACAGTATTACACTATTACTATATATGAATTATACCTCATAAAGTTGATTGGCAAGGATAAAAGGATATACAATTTGATAAATACTCAACGTTGGAAGTTCTAACAAAAGGCATTTTAAACACATTGACTGGGATTATCTATTGATACAATGTTTTTTTAAGAGTATTTCAGCAATTTTTCAGAAGTCACAAAGATATTTACTGCCTTCTACCCATTTGTTCTAGTTCTATGAATCTTTCCTAAAGGGAAAAAGAAAAAGCGGGCACGAAGATTTAATCTCAAAAATGTTCATCAAAATGTTGTTTACAACATTATAATACTATCCAAAAATAGTAAACAAAATGATCAGATATTCACAACATATAAAACGTTTACCTTAAGTATTATGTATTTTATTTTAAAATGTTGATAACATTTAAAATACATAATATATATGTTATGGGGGAAAACAAACATAAAAAACTATATCATGTGATTCTAATTTTTTATAAGCAAAACAAAACTAAGTATCTACTTCAATAATAATTATCTCCCAGACTAAGTTAAGGACCCTTTATCATATGCTATCAAGGTAATATAACCTGAGGTCAGAGAAAACCTCGCTGGAAGTGGCTTTGGATGGAGAAAGAGAATAAAAGAAGATTCCTACCAGAGAACTTGTCTACCTCAGTATCATTTTATTCAAATTAAAACTGTTTTACAATCAAACCTCAATTTTTAACAGTGGGGGAAAAAACAGTATGTGTTAATTTTAGTATCCAAGGGGATACTAGAACCATTCTCCTGGCTGATACAGAGGGATGACTGTTCTCGGAAATGATTTGGAATGTCTGTCTGAAAATGTCAGCAGGGAGCACCCCATTCAGGTATATAACACGTTTTAAATAAAAGTGTTTAGATACATATTTCATTGATTCATTTTTAATGAGCATACCATAAGCCTTCTCAAAGTATTAAATGCTCAACCATTACCTAAAAATCCTACTTTCTATTACCAGATTTTATTTTGCGAGAGTAACATTAGAAGACGTATAATAAGAATTACCCTTATTATTAAACATTTTCTAAACTCCTATTGTTTCACCCATATTTCACCAGCATAGAAGAATAATTATTATACCACTGCCACAATTCACAAAATCCTTTCACCTCCGTTTTTTCATGTGCCTGTCCTAACAATCATGAGATAAGCAAGCTTCATGATAATAACTACAACTTCTACAACCCCAACCCCACTGTCAATGAAATACCCACTAAGAATCAGGCACTATACGGCCAGGCACGGTGGCTCATGCCTGTAATCCCAGCACTTTGGGAGGCTGAGGTGGGCAGATCACGAGGTCAGGAGATCGAGACCACGGTGAAAAAAATTAGCCGGGCGGGCGTGGTGGCGGGCGCCTGTAGTCCCAGCTACTAAGGAGGCTGAGGCAGGAGAACGGCGTGAACCCGGGAGGCGGAGCTTGCAGTGAGCTGAGATCGCACCACTGCACTCCAGCCTGGGTGACAGAGGGAGATGCCGACTCAGAAAAAAAAAAAAAAGAAAGAAACAGGCACTATACCAGGTATCTCACATATTTACCACATTCAAAGTTGAATAATTACCAAAAATCTATGAAGTAGTTATCCCATCCCAATTTTACAGATGAGGAAACTGCGGCTCAGCAATTAAAGTAATTGGCCCAGAAAGCGGATCTTTGATCCACACCCAGGTCTGTCTGAATCCTAAACCTATGCCATTTCCTTGTCCCACCCACACTCCCCAGGAAACAGAGATTGAGAAAAAGATAATCATTTGGCCAAGTCTTATAGGCAACAGGAACCCAGAGCCTTCTAACACTTGATCTACGGTGCTTTCCACCTGGTATGTTGCTTCTATAAAAAGTAAGGACACTTCCTTCCATCGGGAGTTTATAAATCATAATTAATCTCATTAGATTATAAATAACATCATAGGGAAGCTATGTGCTACATAGGGACAGATAAGGGTGCCCAAGGGAAACTTTGAGGAAGTATAACTAAATTAATACACAGGGATCAGGGTTGAAGTATTTTATAACCAATACTCAAAACAGTAACAGTTAGCCTGGCGCAGTGGCTCACGTCTGTAATCCTAACACTTTGGGAGTCAGAGATGGGAGAATCACTTGAGCCCAGGAGTTGGAAACCAGCCTGGGCAACATAGTGAGAGACCTTGTCTCTACGAAAATAAAAAAACAACAACAGTTAATAAAGTTTCCAGGAGTAGCTTAGATAATCCCAGAATCGTATCTATATTAGGAGAAGGGCTATTTTTAAATATTCTAAAGTTTATAATTGGAATGCCCATAAAAATTGCCTATGAGTAAATTCATCATTACATCAGGAAAATTTATGATAATTACTTAGGACTCTGCTTTTGATAAATATGTATGCTGTAACTACTTAATAAAACCATGAGAAATAATTTTTAAAATGTAAATGTTACTTACATATCGCAGTTTGCAGCTATCCACAAATGCTGGATTAGCAATTGGAACTAGAATAAAAAATGTAAATGTAAAAAAAGAAAAAATTAAAATATTTAAGTCATGAAACACAGAAAGTGACAGCAAAGTTAAAAACTCAGATCTTTATAAAAAGGAAATTTATACTGTACACCAAAAATGATATTTGCTAAATTACAAAGGCACTTGTATACGAATAAGATTAAAATAAAAACTAAGAACAGTACTTTTAGTTTCTCCTACCACTTTATATTCTCTAAATGACAGCCCTTACCTGATAGACACACGCCAACTATCAAAAAAAGCAATCTTAATACCATCCTGGAAGCAAGTGAACTTACATTTTTTTCAAGCCAATTCCCAAATGAGGGCCCACTACAGAAAACACCTCCGAACCACTGTAATTCCTTTCTGAGGATGACTCCAAACACTCTGCCAATCGATGCTAAACATGAGCCAAAAGAAACAAAAAAACTCTGACAAATTCCCATGAGCTTACCAATGGACCAAGATTGTCCAAAAAGTAATATTCCCAGAGGATAGGAAAAAAATGTCTTAGAGGGTTGATGTCTGCCTTCAATGTCACAGCAGAAACCTTGCAGTTTACCAGATGACCCAGTAAAGGAACCAACACCCACAACCCGTTCCACATGGGCAGTTAATTCCAGTCACTGATGAGAAGGGAAAAGGTCTGTCTTATGATATCACATTTTTTTTTGTTTGTTTTTTGTTTTTATTTTTTGAGATGGGGTTTCGCTCTTTTTGCCCAGGCTGGGGTGCAATGGCATGATCACGGCTCACTGCGACTTCTGGCTCCTGGGTTCAAGTGATTCTCCTGTCTCAGCCTCCCAAGTAGCTAGGATTACAGGAGTGCACCACCACGCCCTGCTAATTTTGTATTTTTAGTAGAGATGGGGTTTCGCCATGTTGGCCAGGCTGGTTTCAAACTGCTGACCTCAGGTGATCCACCTGCCTCGGCCTCCCAAAGTACTGAGATTACAGGCGTTCATTCCAGTCACTGATGAGAAGGTAAAAGGTCTGTCTTATGATATCACGCCCGGCCTGATTTCACATATTTTTTAAAAATCTTACAAGTTAACATAAAATGGAAACCTGAGTATTACAAACAACAACAACAACAAAAAGTTCAAAATCACCGTCTACTCTTATCTACTTTAAGACGTAAGGATTAAGCAGAGGATAATTTGCATAAACCTAAAATCGTGATAAATCAGTTTTTTCATGGTAGTTAAATCAAATTGCTATTTTAGCACTTGTTTGAGCCTCTATAAAAACATAAATTTAAATGCATAAGTCATGTCACAGAGGCCTACCAGCGGGGAAAGGAGGAGCCTGGTGGCCACCTCCTGGTGACCAGCCACCACGCACAAACAGCAAAGGAGATTAAACTTGGCTCAGGAGGTCCCCGAGCTCTTCTCACTGGAGTCGATCTGCGAGCACACTTGTTACAAAAAGTCATTCCAATCTTGGTCTTTCAGAAATTATAACTTATCCATTGCCAAGGAAAGAAAATAACAAAAGTATGATGATGAGAAAAACAACTGCTGGAAACATTACATGAGAAATAAACACAGAGTTACGACAGCTAAGATGAGGACAAAGAAAACATTACTCTGTCAACACCAAAAATACTCCAAAGATGACACTACTTCTATTTGTCCTTCTATATTCCTCATCTCTTTATCTATCCATGGAAACTTTTTAAACACTTCAATGGAAAACTATGCTTTCAAACCAAGCAGATGTCTAAAGCAGAATTGTCTCACAACCTAGATTATAACAAAATGCAAAGTTCAATACAACTGGAGTAAAAGACAAAAAAGCCTTTGTATAAATAAATCAACTCTCAGATATTGAGAAAAGCACAAACCACACAGTTATTAAAAAGTTCCAATGAAATTACTGTAAAAAAATAACGAGGATAACATGATAGCTAAAATCACCTGAAATTCCTACCTCCAAATCCCTATAAAAAAAGGGCAAAATCTAGGAAATGTGATACTCCCTAAAATTTTTTGCTAACATGTTTTTGCTGATCTCAATCTTTAGACAAAGAAATTGTAAATATAATTTCCTAAGTAACTCAAAGAAGAAAAAGGAAATAGTATTTCCCGATAATAATTCTCTAGGTTTGCATAAATAGACCTACTTGGCACTGAAAGCACTATTAATATTTTGCTTCACTTTGGTCTTTCAAAAACGTCCTTCTACACAGGTTTTTTTGGTTGTTTTTATCACTAATTAAGTTGACTGATATAAACCCTTAGCTGGTTTATTTAAACCTAAATATATTTTAAATTTACTTCAAATCATAGATTCTACTCTAGCCACAATGAATAATTTTCCCCAAATTGAGTTTAACAGCTTAAAATATAATTTGTTAAAAAAAAAAAAAAGTTTAAGGTATGTAAAAATTTCTGACTTTCACCCTAAATAAGATTTTCATTAGCTCAACAGAAATGTAATAATTATCCCTTAAGTATCTCCACTCCCACACCATCTCCACAGTCATGAACCACCTAGTCCCGTTCTCAAATGTCCTGGTCCCGCCAATAGAATCCCAATCCTTCCTTGTTGTCCCCAACCCTGTGCACCTACACCTGCCATAAATGGTGGAAATTCAACCAGCTCTATGAACGGAAGGGAGGAGGCCCCCCACCCACTCTACAGGAAAACTTGCCCAGATCTACAGGAACCTCCCCACACACAAGAGGACAGGGCAGCCCAGACTCAGCTGAGAAATGTCAACAGCTGGCACAAATGAATTACAGATTATTTACAATTCACATAACACTGACCCAAGAATATAACCAATTGTCAAGACAAAATAAATTTAGTTGTTCACATACAAATATTCCATTTGTGAATAAATTTCATATTCGTATCTGTATACAGACAGTCTACATGTTCGATAACTCCTTTATGATCCTACCTGAAAATGCTGGTAGATGCAATATTTTTGCATCAAATTTAACCGATGGTGGTTGTTTCATTATCTGTGGTTAAAAAAAAAAAAACTTTTGAGGCAATTTTAAAGATGGATATCTGTCTCCTTATATGTCCCTTATATCAGATAATAAATCAATGAGGACAAAAAAAGAATGTGTAAAATTTGTTACCAAAAACAATAAGAACGATGCCTTTTCAGATTAAAACATAAAATATAGATAATAATTTATTTTTTAAAATCATTTCAATTGATATCTGTAATAAAATAAAGCTTCAAAGAAAAATTTCACCCCATCCTGGCTTACTTTTTAGGTAATTTACCTCTAATTAGAAATTCAGTCTTTCAACAAATATCTATTGCTTACCTGCCAAGGTAAGGCTCTATGTCAAGTGCTAAGGGGGATACAAAGATATAAAAGACACAATCCTATTTTCAGCGAGCTGACTTTCTGGTTGGGAAGATGAGACAAACATTTGATAAACAAGAAAATATTTCACAATTCAAAAGAGGCAGGACATAACTACAGACAAAACCCTGGACAGAAAGAATTTTTTTTGTAAATAGTAGTTTAGAGAATACAGCAAGCACTTTACTTGATATAGTTGACACCGGGTTTACGGAAGAGGTAGAAGGTGGGTTGAGGTCTTGAAGGATGGCTAGAACTTTATGGTTATATCAGAGAAGACACCATTCAAGGAAGCCATAATAGCATGAATTGGAAAGTGCATAATTTATTTGAGAAATGTGAAGAAACCATGTAGTTGGATCCATGAGCTTAGGACAGCCAGATACTGCATCTTGAGACTTTTAATTAAAAATTCAACCATCATTTCTATACCTAACTTCTGCAAAACTTCTATATGTAATATTTTTAAAACCTTTACTAATTAAGTAACCAGCATTACTGTATTTACTGTAGTATTCTTACTAAAATGCATATTCTCATTCTAATCTCATAATCCAAATTCATAATCTCATTCGAGTCATGAGAAACCCTTAGACAAACCTAAATTAAGGGACATTCTTCAAAACACCCAACCAGTTACTCTTCAAAGTGTCAAGGACTTGAGTCATACGTTTTATAACATGTATTACAAAAACATACAAAGGCCAGGTGCCGTGGCTCACGCCTGTAATCCCAGCACTTTGGGAGGCCTAGGCAGGTGGATCATGAGGTCAGGAGTTCAAGACCAGCCTGGCCAACATGGTAAAACCCCATCTCTACTAAAACTACAAAACTTAGCCAGGTGCAGTGGCAGGTGCCTGTAATCCTAGCTACTCATGAGGCTGAGGCAGGAGAATAGCTTGAACCCGGTCGGCAGAGGTTGCAGTGAGCTGAGATCGCGCCACTACACTCCAGCCTGGGTGACAAAAAACAAAACAAAACAAACTAAAAGACAAACTGTCAAGGTCATGAAAGACAAGCAAAGTCTGAGAAATTCTGACAAAACCGTGAAAAACTAGGACAGACTATATGAGACTAAGGAGGCATAACAACTAACTGTAATGTGGGATCCTGGAACAAAAAAAAAGAGGACATTAGAGGCAACCGGTAAAATTCAAATGCATTTGGTAGTTAGCAGCACTATTCTCATGTTTTATTTTTCCCTTTTCAGGAAGAATTCGAAAGGAGCAGTCAGGGTATTGCATGCCATCATTACACAGAGATATGAATCAAGTATCATGCAACTCCAACTACCACATTCTACTGCCCTCCAAAAGGAGGCACAGGTAAGGATTATCCCGCCTGACTAACACTATACCAGTGTTAATTCCCAGGTTTTGCTAACTATACTATAGACCTATAAGATGTGAACATTAAGAGCAGCTGGGCAAAAGCTATACAGGGGTTCTCAACTATTTTTTAATCTTTTCTCTAAAAGTAGTTTAGAATTAAAAGTTAAACACAAAAATTTCCACTGATGAAGGCTTCCCATAAACTATCAAATATGGTTATAAGAGGAAAAAAGGAAACACAGAATATTGTGTAAAGCAAGCTTGTCCAACCCGCAGCCCGTGGGCTGCATGCGGCCCAAGACGGCTTTGAATATGGCCCAACACAAATTCATAAACTCTCTTAAAACATTGTAAGAATTTTTTTGCAATTTTTTTTATTGGTTTTTTAGTTCATCAGCTATTGTTAGTGTATTTTATGTGTGGCCCAAGACAATTCTTCTTCCAGTGTGGCCCAGGGAAGCCAAAAGACTGGACACCCCTGGGAAAGATATCACAAATTGTTCTAGAAAGCCCATTTTGAAAATGCGCCAATGCACATCAAACTTAGCATAATAAAGTTACACTGCCAGACATATGAACTCACAAAAAGAATTAGCTCCATTATGAAAAACAGCTAAATCATCTATATAAAATGCTGTCTATCTAGAAAATAAACATGAATCCAAAAACCCTTACATTGTTCTAAACCACACTAATGTTCCCAATGAGACAAGAAAAAAACAGTCATGAATTAATACAGAAAAAGATATTTAAAAAAGAAAAAGAAGGCCAGGTGTGGTGGCTCATGCCTGTAATCCCAGCACTTTGAGAGGCCGAGGTGGGTGGATCACAAGGTCAGGAGATCGAGACCATCCTGGCTTACATGGTGAAACCCTGTCTCTACTAAAAATACAAAAAATTAGCAGGGCGTGGTGGCGGGCACCTGTAGTCCCAGCTACTTGGGAGGCTGAGGCAGGAGAATGACATGAACCTGGGAGGCGGAGCTTGCAGTGAGCCAAAATCGCGTCATTGCACTCCAGCCTGTGTGACAGAGCAAGACTCTGTCTCAAAAAAATAAAAAATAAAAGTAAAACTAAAAAAAAGTAAAAGAAGCAGTAAAGTTAAAATAGAGAATAAGTAGTGGAATGTGAGTATGTTGGGGAGCTGGAAGTCAAGACAAAACAGAGGGACTTAGAAATGCATCTGTTTTTTAAAGTAAATACTCATTATCCCCCAGCAATAAAGTATTATATTCCAAAAGACAAGAAGCAAAAAAACTCACAGTGGTTTAGAAGTACATTGTGAACCATGACTCCTCAAGTTCCCATAGTGTCTCCCCACCATCTCCCCTGCAGTATTAACAACCTGTGACAGGGCAGGGCTTCCGTGTGATCTGCCTGCCCAGCCCAGCCTGGTGAGCAGTGCCCTCTGACTGCTTCTGCCTTCAAAACACATCAGAGACTAGAATACTTAGAGTGATTCACATTAGTGCAGATGGAGAAACGATGGGACTGAGAGCTAAGGTCTGAGGTCAAGAGGCTGGCAACCCCTCCGTGGCATGTGGAAGAAAGCAGTAGTGAGAAGCAGAGCTGACTCATTCAAAACAGAGGGGGGAAAACTTAGAACTCCAGTGAAGCGGAAGTGAAGGCAGAGGAAAGGGTTGCAGACAGAGCGGGAGCTGGAAATGCAGACATGCAGCACAAATGAAAGAGTAGCGGACAAGAGAAACAGGAAAGATTAGACAGTAAATAATATTCTGAATGAAAATCTTATGCAGATTTCAGATCTCAGTAAAGTCTACAACTCACTTGTCAGAGTGCTTTCTGCACCTTTGGATTGTCAATAATGGGGGTGACAACAAGATCTGAGTCGTGTAGATAAGCTCTCTCATCTGGGATTCCAGGTCCTGCTGACTCAGGTGTCCACTTGTAATCTGAAATGAGAACAAAAATTTGACTTTGTTTCTGTGACTAATATAGAGCTTTAAAACACTGAACTAATATGATGCTGAGGAAGACACCACTGTAAAATATCACCTATATCAATGTACTTCCACTGCTATTCAAGACACTTGCAGTCTCACTTGATTTTCACAAAAATCCTAAACTGTAGGTACCATAATTTCCATTTTACAGATAAAAATATAAAACTCTGAGAAAGTAACTGAATTGCTCATGTTACCATTAAAACTGGCTAGGACTACAAAAAAGATCTTTACAATTCAACGTTCTAAACTCTGATGAGGCAAACTGCTTTTTCGATTACCAGCATGGTTTTTTTTTGTTTTTTTTTTTTTTTTTAGGGATGGAGTCTCAGTCTGTCACATAGGCTGGAGGGCAGTGGTGCAACCCTGGCTCACTGCAACCTCTGCCTCCTGGGTTCAAGTGATTCTCCTGCCTCAGCCTCCCAAGTAGTGGAATTACGGGTGTGCACCACCATGCCCAGCTAATTTTTTTTTTTTTTTTTTTGAGACAGAGTCTTGCTCTGTCACCAGGCTAGAGTGCAGTGGCGCGATCTCAGCTCACCACAACCTCTGTCTCCTGGGTTAAAGTCATTCTCCTGCCTCAGCCTCTCCAGTAGCTAGGACAAGGTTTCACCATGTTGGCCAGGCTGGTCTCGAACTCCTGGCCTCAGGTGATCCACCTGCCTCGGCCTCCCAAAGTGCTGGGATTATAGGTGTGAGCCACTGCACCCGACCCATGGCTTTATTTTTCATTCATAGAATGCTGATCAATTTATTTCTGCTTTACAGAATATTCAATGTGAAGTTGAAACTGTAACATACAAAAATTTTCAGACTTAAATACAGACCGGTTACCTAAGTGTTAAACCTCAATTATTTATTAAGCCTCATTAGAGATGATACATAATAAAATCAATCACCAGACATTCACCATCAGTTATTCCTTTGAGATGGTTCTTTGTGCTCTATTTAAACATAATTTGTATTCCTAGTGCTATGCCCCAGTATTTCCCATCAGAAAAAAAAAAGGATTTATGCTTAAGAACCTTAAAAGAAACAATGACTAGCAAACTAAATAAAATAGAAAAGTAAATCAGTGAAGTAAGGAAGAAGGAAAATAAATTATCCAAAACTAGTGAGGAAGGGTCATAGATAAAGGAACAGAGTTAGCTAAGAAAATTCCTGGAAACCCAAGGTGCCCCTTGCAACTCAGATGAAAGATATACGAAAACACACAAAGAGGCCGAGGCCGGGCACGGTGGCTCAAGCCTGTAATCCCAGCAATTTGGGAGGCCAAGGCGGGTGGATCACGAGGTCAGGAGTTCAAGACCAGCCTGACCAACATGGTGAAACACTGTCTCTACTAAAAATACAAAAATTAGCTGGGTGTGGTGGCATGTGCCTGTAATCCCAGCTACTCAGGAGGCTGAGGCAGGAGAATCACCTGAACCTGGGAGGCGGAGGTTGCAGTGAGTTGAGATTGTGCCACTGCACCAATTAAAACAATTGTATGCAAAAATTAGTTTCCTATAGGTAAATTGAGTGTAGGCACAAATGCCAAGTTATAACAAATATCCCACTCACAATAGCAAAAATATATAAAACAAAATGTTCAGGAATAAACTAAATGATCAATAATTGCAATGAGATCACGATCATTAAATGAAAATAATCGTTATAAAATTATACTCTCTTGCTTCAAAGTGAACACATTATGTATAAAACCAGAAGTAGTAATATCAAAATGTATGAGATGTATGAGGTTACAGTGAACTATGATGGTGCCACTGCACTCCAGCCTGAGCAACAGGCTCTAAAAAAAAAAAAAAAGGTAATCAGTGTTTACTTGGGAATTACATTGTAAATAATTTTTCTACTGTCTTTGTCCTCTTTTATATTTTACAAGTTTTTTACAATTATATATGTTTTGTAATAGAATAAAAAGTATCATTTAAAAATTATAAAACATAAGGCCAACACAGTGGCTCACACCTGTAATCCCAGCTCTTTGGGAGGCCGAGGCGGGCAGATCACTTGAGTCCAGGAGTTTCAGACCAGCCTGGACAACATGGGGAAACCTCTACTAAAAATACAAAAAATTAGCCATGCATGGTGGCGCACACCTGTAGTCGCAGCTACTCAGGTGGCTGCGATGAGATGAGATAAGCACCTAAGCCCAAGAAGTTGAGGCTGCAATGAGCCATGATCGTGCCACTCCACTCCACCCTGGGTGACAGGAGTGAGGCTCTGTCTCAAAAATAAATAAATACCGAGATATATATGTAAAATAAACTACCTTAGGTATTCACATTATTGATTATATTTTCTCAATAGAATGATTATATATTCCTCTTTATAACCATCTGCCAGAAGAGCTTCAACATCTATCGCATTTCAGAATGAATTTTTTTTTTTTTTTTTTTTTTTTTGAGACGGAGTCTAACTCTGTCGCCCAGGCTGGAGTGCAGTGGTGCGATCTCAGCTCACCGCAACCTCCGCCTCCCAGGTTCACACCATTCTCCTGCCTCAGCCTCTCAAGTAGCTGGGACTACAGGTGCCCACCACCACACCCGGCTAATTTTTTGTATTTTTAGTACAGATGGGCTTTCACTGTGTTAGCCAGGATGGTCTTGATCTCCTGACCTTGTGATCTGCCCTCCTCAGCCTCCCACAGTGCTTGGATTACAGGTGTGAGCCACTGCGCCCGGCCCAGAATAAATTTTTAAATTTACATTGATTTTCTATTTCACATAACCAAAAAATTAGCACAGTCAGATTTTATTATAACCAATTTATACTAAATTTCAAAGCAGAAATAAGCTTCACAAGGTCCAAATACAGTTCACATTACATCAAAACTACAGTTAAAAACTAAAAGCAATTATATTTGTCAACCAATAAGTAGCATAAAAATTACTTAGAATTAATTCAAAGTAGGTCTGCATTCAACACAACTACGATTGAAAGAAATTAAAGGAAGACCTAAATTAGTACAAATACATCCTGTGTTCATGGAGGAAAACTTAATATTGTTAAAATGGCAGTACTTTCTAAGTTGATCTACATATTCAATGCGACTGTGATTAAAATCCCAGCTGGCTCCTTTGCAGAAACTGACAAGCTGATCTTAAAATTCATATGGAAATGCAAGTGACCCGGAACAGCCAAACCCACCTTAAAAAACTTTCTGGAGGATTCATACTTTCTGATTTCAAAGCTTACTAAACAGCTACAGTAATCAAGAGTGTGCTACTGGTATAAGGACAGATGAACAGAGAAAAGAATAGAATCCAGAAATAAACTTTCACATATACAGTCAATTGATCTTCAATAAGCGTTCCAAGACAATTCAATGGGGAAAGAATAAGCTTTTCAACAGATAGTTCTGAGATAACTGGATGTCTAGGTGCAAAACAATGAAGCTATACCCCCCTACTTCATGCCGCATGCAAAAATTAATTCAAATGGATAAAAGAGCTCAATATAAGAGATATTGATAAACTATAAAACTCATAGAAAAAAACATAGGCAGAAACCTTTGTGACCTTGGAGTAGCAACGTTTTTTTAGATATTACACCAAAAGCACAAGGAGCAAAAAAACACAAATGAAAAAAGATAAATTGGACTATATCAAAATTTAAAATCTTTCTGCTTCAAAGGACACCATCAAGAAAGAAAAAAGACAATCCAGAAAAAGGAAGAAAGTTGTTATAACTCCTATCTAGAATATGTAAAAAATTCTTACAGCTAAATAATAAAGAGATACATAACCCAATTAAAAATAAGTTAAATTTTGGAATAAGTATTTCCCCAAAAAAACAGACAAATGGCCAATAAACACATGAAAAGATACTCAACATCATTTGCCATCAGGTAAATGCAAATCAAAACCACTAAGACATAGAAATTCACACCTACTAGCTGGGCGCAGTGGCTCACACATGTAATCCAAATACTTTGGGAGGCGGAGACAGGTGGATCATTTCAGGTCAGGAGTTCGAGACCAGCCTGGCCAACATGGTGAAACCCTGTCTCTACTAAAAATACAAAAATTAGCCAGCTGGTAGTGGTGCATGCCTATAATCCCAGCTACTCGGAAGGCTGAGGCAGAAGAATTGCTTGAGCCTGGGAGATGGAGGTTGCAGTGAGCCAAGATCATGCCACTGCACTCCAGACTGGGCGACAGAGTCAGACCCTGTCTCAATCAATCACTCAATCAATGGAATTTCACACCTGCTAGATGCGAAATAGGATGGCGATCATGAGAAAGACAGGCAATGCAAAACTATTCACAATAGCCAATAGGTGGATGCAACCCAAGTATTCATCAACAGAGGAAAAGATAAAAAGGCATATTAAATACATACAAGGGAATATTATTCAGCCTTAAAAACAAATGAAATTCTGGCACATGCTACAACATGGATGAACGTTAAAGACATTATGCTAAGTGAAATAAGCCAGGCACAAAAGGACAACTACTATATGAGACCACTTATGCCAGCAGTCCCCAAACTTTTTGGCATCAGGAGCCAGTTTTGCAGAAGACAATTTTTCCACAGACAAGGTTGGGGGAGATGATTTTGGGATGATTCAAGGACATTACATTTATTGTGCATTTTATTTCTATTATTATTACATTGTAACATATAATGAAATAATTGTACAACTCACTATAATATAGAATCAGGGCTGGGCACGGTGGCTCACGCCTGTAATCCCAGCACTTTGGGAGGCCAAGGTGGCCAGATCATGAGGTCAGGAGATCGAGACCATCCTGGCTAACACGGTGAAACCCCGTCTCTACTAAAAAATACAAAAAATTGTTGGGGCGTGGTGGCTGGCACCTGTAGTCCCAGCTACTCAGGAGGCTGAGGCAGGAGAATGGCGTGAACCTGGGAGGCGGAGCTTGCAGTGAGCCCAGATTGCACCACTGCACTCCAGCCTGGGTAACAGAGCGAGACTCCCTCTCAAAAAAAAAAAATAAAAAATAAATAAATAAATAAATAAATAAATAAATAAATAAAAAATAAAAAAACTACAAATGATAAGCAACATAGAATAGATATGTAAGGAAAGGCTTTAAAAAGGAAAATAAGATCAATATAAACTAAGAAAAAATTATTACAGAACAAAGAGATTCTAGGGAGAAGACAAAAGAGTATCAAAATCACTTCGTAAAGATACTTGTGAATATATTACATGTATAAAACAAAACAGAGGGCGGGCGCGGTGGCTGACGCCTGTAATCCCAGCACTTTGGGAGGCTGAGGCGGGTGGATCATGAGGTCAGGAGATCAAGACCATGCTGGCTAACATGGTGAAACCGCGTCTCTACTAAAAAATCCGTCTCTACTAAAAACACAAAAGTTAGCCAGGCGTGGTGGCGGGCGCCTGTAATCTCAGCTACTCGGGAGGCTGACGCAGGAGAATCGCTTTAACCAGTGGACTGTCAAGAGAGGTAGGCTGCAGTAAGCCGAGATCGCGCCACTGCACTCCAGCCTGGGCGACAGAGTGAGTGAGACTCTGTCTCAACAAAAAGAAAAAAAGAAAGAAAACTTTTTTTTGAGAGAGAGAGAGAGAGAAGTCTCGCTCTTCTCCCCCAGGTTTGAGTGCAATGGCTCGATCTCAGCTCACTGTAACCTCCGCCTCCCGGGTTCAAACGATTCTCCTGCCTCTGCCTCCCAAATAGCTGGGATTAAGTCGCCTGCCAACACGACCGGCTAATTTTTCTATTTTTTAGTAGAGACGGGTTTCACCATGTTGGCCAGGCTGGTCTCCAACTCATGACCTCAAGTGATCAGCCCGGTTGGCCTCCCAAAATGCTGGGATTACAGGCGTGAGCCACTACGCCCGGCCAAAAAACCGAAAATCTTAAAGGCCTTTCCCCTTCCCCGCCTGGGCTCCAACAACGCGGGAGCCGCCCTGCCCCGCCCTGTCGCGGTCCCTAGAGCAGGTGGGCTGACTGAGGGCGACCATGGGTCCCAAGAGAGCTCCCGCAGCCGCGGGCTCCCACCTCGAGGCGCAGCGACAGGGGCCGAGAGGGGCCAGCAGCCCCCAAGCCAGCCCCGCGCTAGGAGTTGGAGAGACGCGCCCTCCGCCTTCTCCCACCCAAGCCTCTGCCTTGCCGGGCGGGCCAGTTGCGGGAGAAAGGGGCGGGGAACCGCGGCCTCTCTGGGGCAGCTTCCCCTTTCTCCTGGGACTCTGGGCACCCGCTTTCCGCCCTCGCCCTGCCCCGCCAGGCCGCCACCCGGCGACTCACCTTAATGTTGCGGTGGGGCGTGAGCCGCGGCTGTGGCTCCTGGTTCTCCTGGAAGATAGAGGCCAGTAACTTCGGTTTGCCCTTGAACCCGGACATGGACATCTTCCCCTCACCTCCGGCGGGAGGGGCGCGGAAAAGGAGCCAGTCCCGAGCCGCTGTCATGGCCGCGACCACCAGGCGGGGCCCCCGGCCGAGCTCTCGCGGCTCCACCTCTCCCCGCCGCCGTGACCCTCGTGGGAGCGCGGCTGGAAAATGGCAAGGGGCACCGAGGACTTGGCGGGAGCTATGTGGCGGCCTGCGGGGCTGCTCCCTTTATAACCGACTCCACCGACAGGAGGCGCGGCTCCCGTCAAGCCGCAGTTTAAAAGGGCAACAGCACCACTGCCCCCGCTACCGCCTGGGAAAGGGCTGCCCCTACCCCGCCCCGGTCCTCGTCGCCCCTCACCTCTTACCCCTCACCCCTCACCCCTCAACCCGGCGCGCCCCGCGCGCACCCGGCGTGCCCGCGCTACCGGCTGCCCCCTCCTCTCTTGACCCAGCACCTTTCTGCCCGACCGATCTGGTCCCTTCCTCACACTCGCGACTGGGCGGCACAACTACCAACTCTGTGTGTGTGTGTGTGTGTGTGTGTGTGTGTGTGTGTGTGTGTGTGTGTGTGTGTCTATGTGTGTGTGTGTGTGTCCCTGTCCCAAGGGGGCGTGGCTCACGCCTGTAATCCCACCACTTTGGGAGGCTAAGGCGGGTGGATCAGGAGGTCAGGAGATAAGACTATCCTGGCTAACACGGTAAAACCCCGTCTCTACGGAAAAAATACAAAAAATTAGCAGGGCGTGGTGGCGGACGCCTGTAGTCCCAGCTACTTGGGAGGCTGAGGGAGGAGAATGGCGTGAAACCGGGAGGCAGAGCTTGCAGTGAGCTGAGAGCGCGCCACTGCACTCCAGCCTGGGCGACAGACCAAGACTCCATATAAAAAAAGAAAAGAAAAAAAACCTCAAAGGATCACTAGTGGTCAGCAACTGTGTGCAAATAAATAGGAAAACCTACCAAAAATGGATAAATTTCCAGACACATCTAACCTACCAAGATTGAACCATGATGAAACCCAAAACCTGAACAAACCAATAACAAATAATGGGATCAAAGTGGTAATAAAAAGTCTCCCAGCAAAGAAAAGCCTGGGACCTGATGATTCACTGCTGAATTCTAGCAAACATTTAAAGAAGAACTAATACCAACCTTACCCAAACGATTCCAAAAATAGAGAAGGAGGGAATACTTGCAAACTCATTCTACAGGGCTAGCATTACCCTGATAACAAAATCAAACACACAGACCAAAAAAGAAAACTACAGGCCAATATCACTGATGAATATTGATGCAAAAATCCTCAATAAAATATTAGCTAACTGAATTCCACAACACATTAAAGTTGGGGTGCAGTGTCCCAGGTTCACTCAACCCTTCCCGTTTTCCTCTCTGTGTGTGTCTACTTTGCCGTGTTCCCTGGTGGCGGCGGCGGTGGCAGTGTTGGTGCATGGGCCTCCCAGGACAAGGGGAAAGTGAGTATGCCCCTTTCTTGCCCCCTGCCAGGCGTCTGCAGCCTGGCACAAGCTCTGGCCAGGTCTCCAACAGGGGACCTGGAGATGTTTTTTTCCAGTTTCTGGATTGGTAACTTGAGGCAGATTCTGGGCACTAGAGTCAGAACTAAGAGGAGACTGAATCAGGGGAGTCTGGGGTCCTGAGAGGCAGATACCTGAAACCGTCTAGAGCGTGTGGGGAGCTCGGTGCATGTTCACGCCAGTTGTTTTTCTCTGTGCCTCAATGTTCCAGGTACCCTTGGAGGTGCTGAGATCCTAGGGATTCCTGGAGCCTGGCTGCATGGCCTGGCCACCCTGATGCCACTGTGTTCTCCATGACAGGACAGCAAGGCTGAGGAGAATGGCTCCGACAGCTTCATGCACTCCATGGACCCATAGCTGGAGCGGCAAATGGAAACCACCCAGAACCTTGTGGACTCCTACATGGCCATTGTCAACAAGACCGTGTGGGACCTCATGGTTGGTGTCATGCCCAAGACCATCATGCACGTCATGATCAACAACGTGCATGCACCGCCTCATAGGGGCAGGGGGCTCCTGTAGCACTGGGGATGCAGGTGGCCATGTTGGCCTGGGGGAGATGCTGACCAGCCCTATGGGACCAAGGTCCAGGGAGGGAGGCACAGTCCAGACCAGAGCTGTCTCATAGAAATATAACGTGGGACTGGGGACAGTGGCCCATGTCTGTAATCCCAGCACTTTGGGAGGCCAAGGCAAGAGGATAGCTTGAGCCCAGGAGTTCGAGACCAGCTTGGGCAACATAGTGAGACCTGATCTCTACACTAAAATTTTAAAAATAGCTGGGCTTGGTGGTGGCACGTACCTATAGTCCTAGCTACTCGACAGGCTGACATTGGAGGATCACTTTGAGCCCAAGAAGTTGAGGCTACAGTGAGTGGTGATCTCGCCCACTGTCCTCCAGCCTAGCGACAGAGCAAGATCCTATCTCCAAAAAACATTTTTAAGAAACTGAGTAGACCGGTGTCCTGGTGGCATGATAGGTCCTGGGTCCCCTCCCAGATGTGTGACCTTGGACAGGTGACTTTTCCTTTGGACCTCAGTGTCCCTATCTGAGTGAGAAAAGGGCGGTGGGGAGGCAGATCTTTGAGTCTAAGCGGTGTAGAAGCCGCGTCTGAAAAGCCATACTCAGGGCTCCAAGTCCAGCACACAGTCCCAGCAGGGCCCGGCAGGAGGCCAGGGCAGCAAAGGCATCAGGTCCCAACCTCCTTCCCTCTTTGCCCGCTCTCAGACCAAGGAGTTCATCTTCTCGGAGCTGCTGTCCAACCTGTACTCACGTGGGGACCAGAAAACGCTGATGGAAGAGTCGGCAGAGCAGGCACAGTGGCGCGACGAGATGCTGCGCATGTACCACGTGCTGAAGGAGGCACTCGGCATCATCGGCGACATCAACACGACCACCATCAGCACGCACATGGGGGCCCGTGGACAACTCCTGCCTGCAGGTGCAGAGCGTCCTTGCCGGATGCAGGTACCAAGGCTGGCTCCCACGGCCCCAAAGCCCCCCAGCCCCCATGGCTGAGCCTGGGGACTCTTGGAACAGGCTCCGTGCCCACGCTGGTAGACATGGGTGCTCCCTGGAGCCGTCACAGAGCTCGTGGTTTATGGTGTAAGGGCTGAGAGCTTAGAGGGGGTGGTGTGTGGGGCTGTACTCTGAGGCGGCCAGAGTCCTAGGATAGTCCTCCTGTGCACACCGCACCTGTTGGGCAGTCTGAGTCATGCTGCCAGGGCAGGGCATCCAGCTCCCAGCCTGGGAGTGCTGAGAGCCAAATCCACTGCAGAGCAGGGGTGATAGTCAGAGTCCCACCTCCTCTATCTGTCGGCAATGCAGTGGTGAGATAGGATAAAACCTTGAGAGTCCCATACACACGGTCAACCCACAACACACCTCACAGGCCAGGCAGGAAACACAGGCCCCTTCCCTCCCTCCCAGGTACCATCATAGCTGCTAGCGTGTGACTGAAGGCAGGGTCCCTGGCCCCCGCTGAAGCACTATTGCTGGCCAGCAGGCTCACGCACCTTGGAGTGTTGCTCCTAGAGGTCACCTCTGCTATTCAGCCAAGGGGACCACAGTGCCTGCTGGCCCAGCTGACCTCCGCCCCACAAGCCCACCCACCTCCCCTGCCATAGACTCTCCCTCTTCTGCTTTTCCCAGCAGGAAGGGCCCAGCCTCACCTATCCGACCTGCAACCCCCAACAAGCTGAGGCTCCCCTCTTAGACTTATAAGTCTATAGCCAGTGGCATCCAGCTGCATGCCCTCCTTTCCTCCCCCAGGGACCCTTCAAGGGTTCCTGGGCTTTCTGACCCCCCAGAGGGGGCTCCGGCGATCACTCCACCCATCCATCCCTTTTAGCTTCATCATCCTGGTTCAAGCAGTGTTTCTTCTCTATCAGGCCTGGTGGCTGTTGTTTTGGGCTCCCCAAGGCGAGAGGTGGCCCTGGACAAGTGGGTTGGAAGACACGGTGCCCAGAGAAGAGGGAAGCCCAAAGGGGCTGAGCATCAGTCTTAACAGTGGGTGCACTGGGTGCCGTGGAAGAGGCCAGCACGTGTGGGGTGGGGAGGGCTGCCACAGCCCCCAGGCACTACCTGTGAAACTCCGGCTCCTCCCTCTGTCTTCCTCCCCTTTCCCTTCCAGCCCCTCTTTTCCAGGAACCTTGCCACACCCGCACGTGCACCCTTTACTCCTTGGCCCTCCCACAGCTGCTGTGGCACACCTGTGCTCTGCACTTGCCTCACCAGCTCTCTGCTCGCTTTTTTTTTATTATTATTATTATACTTTAAGTTTTAGGGTACATGTGACAATGTGCAGGTTAGTTACATATGTATACATGTGCCATGCTGGTGCGCTGCACCCACTAAATCGTCATCTAGCATTGGGTATATCTCCCAATGCTATCCCTCCCCCCTCCCCCCACCCCACAACAGTCCCCAGAGTGTGATGTTCCCCTTCCTGTGTCCATGTGTTCTCATTGTTCAATTCCCACCTATGAGTGAGAATATGCGGTGTTTGGTTTTTTGTTCTTGCGATAGTTAACTGAGAATGATGATTTCCAATTTCATCCATGTCCCTGCAAAGGACATGAACTCATCATTTTTTATGGCTGCATAGTATTCCATGGTGTATATGTGCCACATTTTCTTAATCCAGTCTATCATTGTTGGACATTTGGGTTGGTTCCAAGTCTTTGCTATTGTGAATAATGCCGCAATAAACATACGTGTGCATGTGTCTTTATAGCAGCATGATTTATAGTCCTTTGGGTACATACCCAGTAATGGGATGGCTGGGTCAAATGGTATTTCTAGTTCTAGATCCCTGAGGAATCGCCACACTGACTTCCACAATGGTTGAACTAGTTTACAGTCCCACCAACAGTGTAAAAGTGTTCCTATTTCTCCACATCCTCTCCAGCACCTGTTGTTTCCTGACTTTTTAATGATTGCCATTCTAACTGGTGTGAGATGATATGCTCGCTTTTCTCTCTCCTGTCTTCTCTCTGCTTTCTCTCCAACTGCCAGCCAATCGGCTCAGGCAAGTCCATCCCATCCTGAGAGCCCCAGGCCCCCCTTTGACCTCTAAACAGATTCCTCCTCTTCTCAGAGACTTCCCTTTCCAAGCCTGCCTGGGCGGCTGTTCTGTGACTTGGCAGTGGCTCCCCCAGCCCCAAAGGCAGCCCCCTTCATCTGTGACTTCGTCTATTGTTGCGGTGAGCTGACACATCCAGGTGTGACCGTTGCTGAAAACTTGTGCCCCCCTCTGTGGTATGCCCCTGCCCTGTTCTAGAAATATCTACAAATACCCATATACATACACACACACACACACACACACACACACACACACACACACACACCTACATGTGGCCAACCGCCTCGCCTCTAGCGCTGGGAATCAGTCACCGTGCTGTCCTTTTGGAGTCTTGTGGCCAAACAAGAGAAAGCTAACCCCTGACATTGCCCCTCCAAAGTGCGCTACCTTCAGTGAGCCTCCCTGTCACGCCCAGCCTATGGAGAGACACACCCCGCCATCCCTCCCGCCCCCCCCCCCCCCACCAAGCATGGGAGTGCTGTGCAGGCAGCTGTGTGGCCTGACAGTCTCTACCAGTCCTGCTGTCCCTTGGCTGAAAATCAAACCCGCTTCTGGATGGCGGGGAAGTGTGTCCTCTGCTGGCTGTGTTCTCTGTGGAGCTCAGGGGAGGGGAAAGGCCAAGCCATTTCTAGGGTGCTGTTGGGAGCAGTGAAAAGGCCATGCCCTTTCCAAGGGACACTTTTCCTGGAAAGCCCCTGGAGCTTAGCGGGCTCTTATCCTGTGAAGCCGGCTCTGGCCACCAGGGGGCAGGGCCATGAACTCAGCCCAGAGGGAGCCTGCAGGGCAGCCGGCACTCTGGAGGCACAGACAGAACAGGCCACCAGGTGCAGACAGGAGAGGGAGACAAGGGGATAGAACGGAAGATGCCGGGGCTGGGTGGAAGTCAGTGCCCTTAGGTGCTGGTACCTGTCTTCCCGGCCACCGCTAGATCAGGCTTCTGAGCCTGTTGGCTGTCAGGGCCAGACTGCGCCCCATAGACTACATGGCAGTCCCCTTGGAATCCCCCAGGCGCCACCAGGCAGCATACAGGTAACACGCCTGGAAGGTCCCCAACAGCCTAGCTGGACATGCTCAAGACACTCTGGGACTCCTTGTTTGGTGGCACAAACTCCAGGACCCAGTGAGGGAAACGGAAACACACCAGGCCGAGCAGTATGGCTAAATCCATTTATTCCAAAATAAAAAGCAAAATAAACAGGAGTCGCATCACCAGGGAGCCATGACCCCATCCCCGCCTCCTTCCTCTGTCCTATGCTAGCAATAAATAAGTTTCCCAGCCACAAATAATTATTACAACCTCCTCCCCATGTGCCGGCTCCAACCTCAGCTAGGTATGACACAGGGGTGGCCCTACCCTCTGGAATATACAAAACCTTACACAGACACAATGTGTACACCGGGGAACGGGGGCCACCCCAGCAGCCCGTGCCCTCGCCTGGTCCACAGTTAGCCCCACTGTCCTGCCTCTCTGAATAAGAAGGGAGCCCCCCTGAGGGAAAAGTTGCTATGGTGAGAGTAAGGGGGACATCAGGCCTCCTCCAAACAAACCAACTCCACCAGCCTCTGGCTCTTAAATAACAATCATCATCATCCAGAAATTTAGGGACTCAGCCCTGGTCAGGGTGGCAAAGGGTCTGTTTGTCTTTCCCCATTAGACAGAGGTCTTGTCCTGCTACCCTAATTGTAAAGGGGTGCCTGGGAAGGGGTGGTAGGGACATGGTGGCGGTGGAGACCCCAGCCCCACTTCTCCAGGCTTTGCTGACAGGGGCCTGCTTTTAATTTTTATTTTTATTCCATGACTTTTTAAAAAAGAATCCCGTAACTTCTTTTTCATAACTTTTTTGGTAACTTTTCATAATACTGTTTTCTACTTTGTTCCCACAAGTTTTTTTGCCACAACGTTTTTACATTTTTTATCCCATAACTTTTTCACCCCATAACTTTTTTAATCCCATAACTTTTAAAATCTTGTGTTCTTTTAAGAAACACTTGCATAGTTATATTACAACTTTGTAAAAATGAAACACATTATCTCATGCCAAGCATGCCCAGCATTTGCACAGTATCAATACCTTTAATACTATAGTTTTCAAGAAACGCAAAATAAAATTTTAAGACAAAAACAACACATTGAAACAACTTAATAATTTATTACATTACAGTGGCATCACACCAGCAGTCAATAAGGCCACTCTAGGGAAAAATCTTTCAGTATTTCCACGACACATTCTCTTTACAATAATTCATAAACTGGTAAAATTCATTCTAAGAAAACTTGGCAAATAAAACTTTGGACTGGAATTGGCATTTCTTTCTCTGCTTTTCGTTCCCACCATTTCTTTCTTTTATACTACAGTATTCATATTTTAAAATGTTTTAAATTATTTCAGAACATTAAGATAGCAGTTACATTTTTTAATAGTTATATTATTTTAAAATGACTCTTTAAAATAAAGTTTTAGAGAAACTATATTATGGATAGGGCTGATTTACATTTTCAAATTTTCTAAAATCAGCTTTGGTTTAAGAGCTGATTTTTTTTTTTCATTTCTGGAAAATTATCAGGTTGAATCAAATACTTTTAAAATGATTATTATATATTGCCATCTTTAAATAGGTGTTTTGATTCTTCCTACAGACATTAAAATGTATTCAGTGGAACTCACAGTTTAAAATTCTATGTTTCTGATGAACTCTAACATTCCAATGTTGCCTTCTAAGCAAACTGAAAGCTGCCTTATACTGAATGAGGAAGAGCACAAATACTCGGCTGAATGAGGTATCGCAAAAGACTGCATGCACTTTGGAGAAAGACTTGAGTTATTGTCATACAATTTCCATTCTTTTTAACTTTTTCTTAAATATATGACAAATACCTACACAAAGAGTGGTATTTCAGTCAATATAGTAAATTTATTTTCCAGACTGACCTTCAGCTTAAATATGCCAGTGTGTGATTTAATCCATAGGCACCTCATGAACACATTATTGTCAGATTGGTTACAGATGCTAAACGCTATCCGAAGGTCATTCCTAGTCACTGATATTTATCAGGGTAAAAGTGAAGTGATTTCAACGATAAAAGTACCTTTGCAATAATTTATCAATGTATTAGATAAACCCAGTTTCAGAATGATAAAAGAAAAAACGTTAGACCAAATAATGTGGCTGATTAACAGTGGTCCGATTTCTAGCCCGAGGGTTTAAAATGCTCTTAAAGTAACTGTCTTTAAACTGAACTCAAAGAATGCAAAAGCGGCAAGTTCAGAAAATAAAAGGCGAGAACAGGACTTTAAGTGCATTTTAAACCCACGGGCTACAAATCGTACCACTGTTAATTAGCTGCATTATTTGGTCTAAATTTTTTCTTTATCATTCTGAAACTGGGTTTATCTAATACATTGATACATTCATAAAATTTGGAAGAGTCAGTGGAAGTCACAAGGACCGAATATTTGCACTCTTTCAGTGAATGCCAGCAAATCTGTTATTCCATCGGTAAAATCGTATTGTTGCTCTCCTGTTAATGTCATATTTATAGAAGTATCATGAGGATGCCAAATGCTAAAAATGGAGATGATCTAGTAACTAGAAATCCCCACCGCAGGGAGCACACACACCTATCTCCCTGCATCCTAACAATGTGATGTGTTTTGGAACACAGACATTAGAACTTCATGAAGTTTTAACTGTTGAGTCTTTCCCAAGCATCATCAAGTTATGATTTAGGCAATATATAACTGAAATGTATTCATTCATCATGCATAGGCACAATCACATAAATATTGCACAAAATATGTCCCGAACAGAAACCCAGAGGTACAAAAACATATTTCACTTTGTAAAGAAGTCTGTGAGAAAATATAACTCTGTGATTGTATAGACACGTTTCCTGATAATACATTGACATTCACGAACAGTAGATTGCACTGCAGTTTGTACACATTTTAAGTTTCATAAACTTCTCCTTGATTTTCAAAGAGAGTACAATACCGTCTACTAAAACTCCTTTTTGTTTCAACTAAGTATCTCACATATATTAGTTTATAATAATGTTTCTATTATTTTTTAAAGTGTTTTCCATTCAAAGAAAAAGAAGTAAATTCCTATGTCAGAGTAACCAAGGTGGTTGAAGAATAGGTATTAGCCAAAGAGGTCTAGATGGTAAAATCAATCTTCAAGCCTCAAAGAATCTCCGTGAACAGAGAGGAATGCCAGGTGTCACACAGCTTTCCTTCACTCTAATTCATTCTTGACTAGAGCCTGTATGCCTGTTCCAGGAACGTTTGAACTCATAAAGGATTTCTTATGATCTTCACTAAATACATTAAGAAGAATGCCAACCAGTGCCCTTTTGTGTACTGGGACATGTAGTCATGTGATTAAAACAGGTAACATGAACTCTGACTTTAAAATGTATTGTAGATACAAATGCTCTAAGCTAGGAAAGGTTTCCCACATCCACAGTCAATGATGGGAACCTTTCATTCCTCAGAAATAAGCCCTTTTTAGGTCATCGAAAAAGAGTACAACTGCTGCAGCTCATGATGCAGTATCTTCATGAGCCCAGAGCACATACAAATCCTAAGGGAACCACCATAATACACTGCTAATTCCGGGCACCGGAACAGATGAAACACACTCTATCCTGCACGTACCTGCCAGAGGAGGCCACTTTCCTCTTCTGTGAGATTTAAAAAGCTCCCCCAAAAGGTTATCACTCCCATCACCAACACACAGAAAATGGAGGAAAGGCTGTTTCCAGTTCTTGGCCTTTAAACAACTCTAAATGTCAGTACTCATAGTGGCATATTACAAAGTAATAAACAGTGCACACTTGGGGGCAAACTACATATTGAGCTAATGAAGAGCTCACTGTGATTAAGATTAGATCAAACAACAGCAGAACATAGGCAAATTTTGTCTGAATTCTGTAGTGAATATACATGCTGCAATAACATTAAAAAAGCATGGCAGCCTATTCCAAACCAAAGAGAACAGTTTTGGGCAAAGAGTGGGTCTTTGTGTGTTTGAACTCCCACCACGTAAGGGCAAACTCGATATGCACGCTAATGACCTACAATTATGAAATTAAAAAAGAAAAATGCTAAAGGATGCCAGAGTGAACATCAGTGAGAGCCACAGACACCCACTCTCTTTTAACTTTTTACAAATAAACTTAAAACTATAAATTAGAAAAACAAATAATCATGAGTGACTCTAACATTCAAAGGAAGTAAATGAATTGTGTAGGAGATTAACCCCATAACTTGGTTTCTTATTTAAAAATTTCTTGAGCAGCTCTTTGAGGATGGTGATGTTTATCTCCTTCTTCTTGGCAGCCAAGCCCAGCACAAGAATGGCACACAGCAGTTGCTGCCCAAGCCTGGGTGCTCCTGGTGGTCCTGCACGATCGGCTGTGCAGTAGGCTTGTCAAGGAGAGGATCCTCCCTGGCCTCTCCTTGGGCAGAGGAGGTGAGGCTCACCTCACAAAGATCTTTGGAGAGAGGGAGGCAGGGATCTGAGCACAGTGGGAGCCCCCTCTTCCTGCCTGCCCACCCCACCTGAGGGCTCTACTCACGACCATGCTTGTCTGCAGCCCCAAGCTCCTGGGGGGCTGGGGCTCCTGGACCGGGCTCATCAGCAGAGTTGTGGGCAGCGGCCAGGAATTTTCTGTGCCCATTGTTGTAGTTGCTGTAAGCCGCAATACCATCTGCTGCAGCTCCAGCAGCTTCACCTGGAGGGAGGGGTGCTCAGCTGCCATGCCGCTGCCTGCGCCCACCCTCACACCCACCCCCACCCCCACCCCCACAGAAATGTTGCACACCCTACCTTCATCTCCTCCCTGAGCTCCAGCCTGATGGTGTCCTCCTCCCAGTGCCGCATCTTTGGCACGGCCCCCTGGTTCTGATAAAAGGTGATGGGTTTTCCTGCGGGAGGACAGGGCTCAGACGCTGGGGCCCCTCCGACGGCCCTGTAGCTCCCCCTGCCGTGCCCTGGCCTCCCACTCACTGATGGCATCTCTCTCGCCAGTGGTGGATGAAGCAGAGTTCTTTTTTCTTCACCAGCTCACTCAGGTCTGCCTTCTCCTCCAGGTGGTCCATAAAGCTGCTCTGGAGCCAAAATATTGCAGTCACATCTCGGCAGCGACCTGCCCTCAGGTGGCATTTTCAAGTCATGGAGAAGGTGGAGGTGAGTCCTGGCATGGGCCAGCTTCTCCGTGACTTCCTGCAGGGCCCAGTGGGTCTCCCCACTCACAGACTCGCCCCCAGGCCCTGGGGCTCCAGGGCCTCTGGCTGCCTCTGGCTCCTTCTGGGCCGAGGCCACCGGGTGAGCCAGGCGCTGGCAGCACACCCTCTGCTCTTTCACCTGCTCTTGTAACTGTGCCTGCTTCTCCTGGGCACTAGCTCCAGCGGACTTGAAAAATGCCACCTGAGGGCAAGATGTGAGCATTCTTCTAGGGGCATACACAGAAGAAATGGGGCAGAGAGGTGGAGCGCAACCCCTTCCCTTGGGGCCTCAGAGAGTGCACCTGTTGGCCACAGGTGAAATGGTGTCTGACCACTGGCTCTCGGAAGGGGTGAGGGTCCAGAGAAATCAGAAGGCAGGGAAACGAAGAGCATAAAGGGGTCTTGGAGGGACCACAGAGAAAGGTGGCAAAATGGGTGCAGGGGGAGTCAGGCTCACCATGGCCTCCCTGCTCTCCGGGTCCTCTGGGACACTCGGCATGGGCCGAGGTGCCTCCTCCCCCTCACTGTCCAGATGTTCTCCTCCGTGTCCTGTGGGGGGTGGTCAGACGGGTCTTCAGACAACCCAACAAGGGAGGTACTGTGGGCCCACCTCTACCTCCACCCTCACTGTGTAACCCTGAGCCTGCCCCTCCCCAGAGAGGAATGAGCTGTTGTTCTTTATTTTTACTTTTAAGAATCAAGATCTTGCTATTCCGCCCAGGCACACTCCCACTACTGGTCGATGTGGGAGTTCTGACCTGCTCCCTTTCTGACCTTGGCCAGTTCAGCCATCCTTAGGCAACTTGGTGACCCCCCGCTCACAGGAGGTCACCACACTGATGCCGAACTTAGTGCAGGCACCCGGTCGGCATAATGACCAGCTGTTCTAAAGGTCTCTTCCAACTCCTCAATCCTATGCTGCTAGCAGTCCCCCCTTCCTCCTGGGGCTCTCTCCTCTTCCTCTGAGCAGTCTCCCGTACCTTCCCCAGGGAGAGCCATGAGGCTCAGCTGGGCCGTTAGCTGCTGGTTCTGCTGGCTGGCAGCTTCCAGGTGCTCCTAAGGGGCCAGGACAGAGTGAGAAGGGGTGGAGTTTGCCAGGTCATCCCCCTCACAGCCCCATCCTCGGCAGCTCCCTCCCCTGGGTCTCCTGCAACTTTTGGCAGGCCATCTCAGCCACCGCTTTGCCCCAAGCTTCCTGCTGCTGCAGCTGGTTCATTAGCTGGGTCTGCTGCAGTCACTGCCTGTACAGCGCCTCCTTCTCACAGGTCAGCTGCTGATAGGCGGCCACCTGCTGCTGATAGGTGGCCACGTACTGCTGCAGGTGACCCAGGTAATGGTCTGGCTGCTGCTGCAGACTCTGAGCCTCTTGGCTCTTCAGCTCCACCTGCAGGAAGACCCTGGGTGTGAGGGCACGTGGTGGCTGGTTTCCAGATTCTGGGCCCATTAATAGGGTAGCGAGGGCACTGTGGGGCTCTGTCAGCTGCCCAGGCCCCTGTCCCCTTACTCCAGGCCTAAGTGACTGCCTCCCTTTCCTAGAACCCCATGCCTCCTTCCCCAGCCTCAAATCTCATACCCTCTTCTCATTTAATCCTCAGCACCTCTGTAAGGAAAATGCTAACTTCCCTTTGAAGTTAAAGAAACAGAGACTTAGAGATGCAAAGTACTTGAATGGTGACCAGTGGAACCGAGGCTGGAATCCAGTTTTAATCTAAGGAGTCTTTTTGTTTTGTTTTCAGACAAGAGTGTCACTCTGTGGCCCAGGCTGGAGTGCAGTGGTGCAATCTCAGCTCACTGCAACCTCCACCTCCTGGGTTGAAGCAATTCTCGTGCCTCAGCCTCCCGAGTAGGTGGAATTACAGGCATGCGCCACAATGTCCTGCTAATTTTTTTTTTTTTTTTTTTTTGTAATTTTAGTAGAGATGAGGTTTTACCACATTGGCCAGGCTGATCTCAAACTCCCGACCTCAAGTGATTCTCCTGCCTCAGCCTCCCAAAGTGCTGGGATTATAGGCATGAGCCACTGCACCTGGTATAAGGAGCCTGTTATAGCACTGTCTCTTCCCCTGTGATTGGGGGCTCCATGCCTCTAGCTGGGATGATGATGTCCAGACCTTAGAGGAGCCCAGGGCTACCCACCTTTAAAAGTCAGAGGCAGGAAGCAAGAAACAGTCACAGGACTGCCCTGGGGGGTGCTGTGGTCACCAGCCCCCAGGCTGGAAGCTGCCTCTGGCCTGGCACCTCCCCTCCCAAGAGGCTGCTGCCCGCCTCCCAGCCCTTCTTGGATGGGGTGGAGGTTTCCGTCTCCTTCACCTCGCCAAGCTTCTCCTGTAGCTCCTTTACTTGCTGCTCCAACTGCAGTGCGTTCTTGTTCTCATTGTTCTGGACAGAGAGAAGCAATCAGCAGCCACCCACTGCAGCTGGAGACCCCAGAACTTGGTGTCTGCCTCCCATGGCACTGGGAAGGCTGGAGGCAGGTTAGAAAAATCACCCCCTCTCTCCCACAGCCACCTGGCTCACAGGTGCCTTTAGAAGTAACATTTCATGTGAGGGCTACACTGCCCCATTTTAGAGGTGGGGAAACAAAGGCCCGGAGGTCTAGGGAGGAGGGCAAGCTCCCCAGTTTGGGCAACGCACCGGCTCCTTGAAGACGCTCTGTGGCTTGGCCAGCTGCTGAAGGCTCTTGTGCTGCTCCTGAATCCTCTCCTCCTGCTTCCGAAGCCTCTCTTCCTGCTCCCGAATCCTCTCTTCTTGTCGCTGGTTCAGGAGACTTATGCGCTGATTGTTTTTGACCTGGGCCTGGAGCTCTCCTGCCACTCTCTCTAGTTCCTTCCTCAGGTGCTGCAGCTCCACCTCAGAGGGCACTGCTGGGGGCTCCGGGGGCAAGGGTTCAGCTGACAAAGGAAGCAGATAATAAGGGCCTCTGGATTCTCGGAAAAGAAAAACCCTCCTCTTGGCGCACAGCTCCTCTCAGGCTCCTCAAACTTGGCCTCACTGCTAATGATTCCTCGCACCCAGATGGTAGCCAGTCTTCCAAAGCACTTTCAGAGAAAGAGCACTGCGGGTGGCTGACAATGGGCCCTCTTTGCTGATGGGGACACTGAGACACTGAGACTCATTGAGATGACAAGACTCGCCGTCTCCTGGCACAGATCTCTTTCCCTCTGCCTCAAAGCCCTTCCATCCACCCACCTCCCTGGGGCACTCTAAGCCACCCTCACAGCCCTCTGATGCCAGTCCTGCTCCCAGGTCATGCCAGCCCCATCTTACCCATCTGGTTTTTGAGTTTGGACAAGCTCCTCTCCAGCTTCTCTACCCGACGCATATCTTGCTGCTTCTCTTTCTTTAATGTGCAAATCTGCCCAAAGCACAAGGGGAAAGGGCCTTGGAGAGAGGGGCTGGAGGCTGGACAGGCTGCCCTCTCCCTCTCTGCCCCCACCTCCACAAAGCCCAGACCCATGACCACCTCTGGCTCTACTATTCCCATTTTACAGATGACCAGAAAGATCCAGTGACCTATCTAATGTGGGGGGGCTGAAGGGTCAGATCTCACCTCCTGCGACATTTTTCTCATCCTCTGCTGCCACCGGGCCCTCTCTCCTTTTAGATGTTCAGAATACTCATCTCTTTCTAATTGGACTTGTTGAAATGACTCCTTGAACTGCAAGAATGGGCACAGAACTTAGGAAGGGCTGTCACTGGTCCTCACCTGCTCCTGGCCACCTGGGGTCATCTTCCTTCCACATAACTCCCTCAGAAAACCTCACCTGTGTCAGCTGCACTTTCAGTAGTGCCTCCTCCCGCATGGACTGCTCTAACTTCCACTCCGTACGTGCTTTGCTGCGGCTGGACAACTGGATGGTGAAGAGTGAGAAGTTTCAATCTGGAGAGCCTGGGCATTTCCACACAGTGCCCCTTAAAAGGGCTAGGGCTAGGCCCAATATACAACTCGGTCAGTAAAGATCAAGGCATTTCCAAGCCCGTGGTCTGGTTTTTAAAAGAACTCAGTAAAGTTGGAACGGACAGGGAATGAGACTGAGTTTATAGCTGGCTAACAGAGGCCCAGAGAGATCAGATAATATTGCTATTGTTATTACTGTTATTATTACCACTGTTTGAACCTTTGTGGAATGCTTCACCAGGTACCGTGCTAACAATCCCATTTAATCCTCGCAACCACCATAGGAGACAGTTACTATGATTCCCTCTATTGTGGAGATGAAAAAACATGGAGTATTTGAGGTTAAGTGCTTGCCTAAGTTCACTTAGGCAGAGCTGGGATATAAACACCCAGGTCTATCCAATTCTCTAAGCCCGTTTTTCTTGCTGGGGATGGGGGCACAGATAGGAAGGGGAAAATTAATCTTTTGTTCACTTTTTGAAAGGATGATACATTTGCATAGTCCAAAACTCAGAAGGTACAGAAGGGAAGTATCTCCCGGCCATCTTGTTGCTCTCTCCTGAATTTTTTATGAACCCTTGCAGACATGTTTTATGTATATTATCACAGTATGCACACACACACACACACACACACACACGCACACACGTTTCCTCTTTCTACAGAAATGGTAACATACTAAAGGTACTCTTCTGTACCTTCACAGTACAAGTACCCAATACCCCACCTAGGACTAGGACTTGCCCAAGACCACAGACAGGTAAGGGCGGGGCAGGCACTTGGCCTCCAAGCTCTGCGTCCAGTGCTCACTCCACACAGTGACCCCCAACTCACCCACAGCAGCTGACTCAGCCCCAGGCTGCCATTAAAAACCATACAAAAAAGTAGCAAGAAATGGCCATGCTGCCTTCTGGGCAGGACACTCCATCCTGCAGAAGGGACCTTTAGGCTCACTCCTCCATCTGCAAAGCCAGGCTCCCAGGGGATGGGGCAGGTGGTTGGACTCACCTGGTTTGCCTTCTTCTTCTGTGTGGCCATGACATTAGAGAGAACACTCTCTAACTCTCCTTTACGCTGCAATGAATGTTGCAGGCGGACAGCCAGATCCTTGGACTTTTCTGTAATGAGAGAGTTGAGATGGGGCCCAAAGGACTCCCCCTGAAGACCTGTCAAAGTGCCAGGTTGAAGGATGACAGGGTGCCCAGATTCCCACCTTCAAAGTATCTGAGAGAACGTTTCATGTGGTACAGGTCCGTATTTAGTTCCTCTTTCTGTATGTTCAATGTCTGGATTTGAACCTTTGGGAGAAAAGCCAAGCAAGTGCTGAAAGAGAAGGAAAGAAACCTTCTCCGGAGGACAGGAGGAAACTGCACACCCTCCACTCACCTCTAGCACCCTTTTGGCTTTCTGTTTCTTGTTGTTTGCTTTCTTTTCCTGTAGGAAGAGGAAGACAGAGCTCTTACCAGGGGGAGGCAGAGATGGCACAGCAAGAGACATGCCCCCAGAATGCCACCAATGCCCCAGGACAGGCCCACCCATGGGACCAGGTTATCAGGGGCCCTGTGGGGATGGGGTGGAATCTGAAGGGTGAGCCTTCATCCCCAGGCTGGGAGTGGGTGAGACGAGACTGGGGCCTGTATGTCTGAGTGCCCCCCAAACCCAGCAGTCATGTTGCGAGGAAACGAAATCACGTTACTTCTTCCAGCTGATGTTCCACTTGTTTCTTCTGTTGTTTCTGTGGGGAGAGTCAAATAAGGTGATGGAGGGTGGCCCCCTCAACTCTATTCCCCAGACCAGGAAGCGGTAGGCAGGGGCCAGGAATGGATTTTAAAGGCAAAGTTCTCAGACATAATGGGAACACGAACCGGTAAACTCTCCTCAAGCTCCCAAGGACAGAGGATTTGGGTCTTTGTTGGCTTTTGCCCACAGCCACAGAACTCAAAGTCTGAATCTGGAATCTCTTGAGAGGACAGCAATATAAACCTCTAGAGATGGAGTTTCAGAAAGGCCCCTCCTTCTGGCAGCTTGTGATTTAGAGAAGTGGGTTCATTCAATAAACATTTACTGAGCATGTATGGGCCAGGTACGGTTCTTTACAGCAGATATAGGATGGAAAAGGACAGACAGGAGCCCTTAGCCCTGAGGTTTCCGTTCTAGGGGGCCTTTAAATCTCAGACTCGAGAGCTAACAGAGACCTTTGATACTCACTACCTCCTCTGGAAACACGAGCCCAAAAAGGAGAGGTGGCTTGTCCAGAATCAAAGAGCAAATTAGGGACTGAGTCATGGCAGAAATACGGGGCCCTTGACAACCAGTCAGGCTAGCACTTCCCCAAGAGGCAACAACCCCAGGGCGTGTGTAGCAAGGACTCGAGCAGGGGTGTCTGGAGAGGAGAGAGTCGGCAAAGAGGGCAGCAAAAGAAGAGCCATGCTGCATGCTCTGGGGTCCCTCCAGGTGAGGCCTGGGCACCCAAGCTCCCTATTTGTCCCAGGCACCAGGGACCCCCAGCCCCTTTCTTCAGGGCCCCAAGGGGAAACTGGAGCCCAGGATTGGCAGCGTGGAATCAGGGGACCCCAGTGGACTCTTACCAGAGATTTGATGGTGTTCTTCAGTTGACTGATTTCTACGGACCTTGAATCCAGGACTACTGCTCGTTCTTGGCACGGGCTCTGAGGTGCATGCAGAGAGGAGGAGGTGGAGCAGGAGTGGGGGGAGAGGTAGAGAGAACAATCATTAGGGCTGGGGTGTGTGGGCTGTCTCAGCTGGCAGAGGGGCACCCAGTCCCACCTGGAGGAGGAGGTTGGAGGGTTGACCCGAAGGGTCACTGCACCTCCGCCCAGAGCCTCTTACCTCCAGATCTTTCAGGGTAGCAGATGATGTAGGGCCTTCCCTGTGGAAACCTGTTGCTGACTACAAGAGATGAGAGTGCACATGGAGATGTTCTGTCCCCCACAGTGTCTGAGCCCTCTGACTTCCTTTCTTCCCCATCAACTGGCAACATTTTCTTTTCTGCCTATCTTGGACCTTTTGTCCCATAACTCCTTTGTGCCAACTTCTCTCATGGTTCTTATCTCCCCACCATCCCATCCTGGGGCCCCTTCAGTGACTCCTGATGGCAAGTGGCTGTTCTCATTGTCCTGGTTTCCCCCTGAGACTGGGGATGAGGAAAATCAAACCATATCCTGGGTGTCCTGAGTGTTTACAGCAGGCCATGTACTAGGGATTAACATAAAAACAACAATAACAAATCTCATTTAAACTTCACAAATGGAAGTGAAACAATAACACCTCTATTATACAGATGTGAAAAGAGAGGCCCGATGAGGTCTAGCAACTTGCCCTAAATCATATCCCTAGCAGAGCAGATGGAGAGGCAGGATTCAAACCCAGAATTCCTTTTTTTTTTTTTCTTTGAGACAGAGTCTTGCTCTGTCACCAGGCTGGAGTGCAGTGGCATAATCTTGGCTACTGCAAGCTCCACCTCCCAGGTTCACACCATTCTCTTGCCTCAGCCTTCTGAGTAGCTGGGACTACAGGCACACGCCACCACGCTTGGCTAATGTTTTGTATTTTTAGTAGAGACAGGGTTTCACCGTGTTAACCAGGATGGTCTCGATCTCCTGACCTCATGATCCGCCTGCCTTGGCCTCCCAAAGTGCTAGGATTACAGGCGTGGGCCACCACACCCGGCTAAAGCCAGAATTCTTAACCAGTACCCAGCAGTCCATCCACAATCTTAACAATTACCCTCTACTGCCCCTTGGGCCCCCTGTCCCCAGAAGCCTGGTCAGCCAAGACTCACATCCCTAGGTGGCTGGCAACCACCAGAAGTGGCTTTCTCAGGGATACTGCCATTTGTTTTCCTGTTCCTGTTCGCTCCTGCTGGAACTCTAGGGCTGTTTTTCTGCCAATATTCTTTTAACTGTTGGAAAGAAGAGCAGTAATACTCATGAGAACCGTCAGCCCCTACAGCCACATCCTCCTTTACAGTTTTTACAAAATACACTTACACACCATCTGATTTAATGACACCAACAACTGTACAAGGTGTTGTCACACTCATTTAGTGACTGAGAAGGATTGATATCATGGCTAGAAAAAAAAAAAGAAAAAGGCAATACTGGAACTTTGAAACTCAGTCTTCTGACTCCAAGCTCTGAGGTTTTGCCAAGAATCAGCAGCTGCCAGGGACCAAAACCAGAGGCAGAGGTAGAAAAGTAAACATTAAGTAGGCAGGAACTGTATGCCATGTGGTTTAGAGTCATACATCCTCACACGTCTGTTAGTGTGAAGAAGTGCACCAGTACCTCTCAAACTCTTATATCAATGTGTCCTCATGGCAGAAGGCAGCCTTTCTCTTAAATCAGAATTTATCAGAAAGAGGACAACCCAAGCCTCATTTCAGAGAGAGGTCTGGTATACTCTTAGAAACCTATGTGACTGTCATCCCTAAGTACATTCATGTTTTTTCTCTTGATCTCAAGAGAATCAAGGGAAACTGATGCTTCAGAAAGATGTCCCACATTTATCCTGTGGCACTCAAAGTACCCAAGGTTGAGATAATATGAGGAAGATTCAAGGTGTCAAGTTCAGTTTCCCAAGATCTATTCCACAGAAGATGAGCAAATGTCACTTCAGAGACCACTGACTGAAGGAGAGTCTGGTCCCAGAACCATGGAGAATTAGAATATGAGGTGGAGAACTCAGAAAAAAATGTTAAAATCTCTCTGGAAAGTAGAAGCCTGGGAGAAAACCAAACCAAACGCATTCTCTCATTGCCACCCAGAGATACTGTCAACGTTTTGAGTTCATGGGGGAAGTGTAGGCTTTTCCCACCGTCAACATCTGTAAGGGAGTGAGGCAGCCTGGAACCTCTTGCTCCTAGGTCCCATAGTCTCCATTCCCCTTCCAGCTGGAAATTTGTGCTGTGACCAGAGGAACCAGAAACGGGGTGAGAACGCTTAGGGGACTGGGTCGTAAGATCAAAGGCCAGTCTTGCAGTAACAGCAGTTACTAGGTGGACTGTGACATCACAACATTCCACTCCTCCTGGTCGGGGGGAGGGACCATGTCAGCACCATGTCCAAGTCGCTGCTCCACGATGGGGGAGGGAAGCACAGGGTTGGGACCCAGCTCCTTGGAGACGCCAGCACAAAGAACCCAGGGAGGTCGACCTTGAGGCAGCAGGAGGGGAGGGCACAGTCTGCAGCAGGGAGTCCCAGGAGTCACCAGTCCAAAGTCACCCAGGGATGACTGGCGAGGGTGGGGCCTGGCTCCTTGGAGATGAGAGCCCAAAGAGCCCAGGGAGATCAAGCTTGGGGCGGCAGGAGATGAGGGCCCAGTAATGGAGCGGGAAGCCCCAGGACTCACCCACCCAAAGTCACCCTGGGGTGATTGGCGAGGGCAAGGACTGGGCTGCTTGCTGAAGGGGTGGGGCTGACTGACAAAACTTTGGTGGGGGTAGCCCAGAGGCACCGGGGTAGGGGGGACCAGTCCAGTGTGCCTCAGGAGTCGTATAGACTCTGGCAGGGGTCTTGTCATCAGAGGGGATCTGTGGCTGGGTTGAGGGGCTATGACCTAGTGCGTTTTTACCTTTTTCTTGGCTGCAGCCAATTTGTTGTGTTGAGTTTCTTCTGCCATCGCAGGGTGGGGAGGGAGGCAGGGTTGGGGTCACAGCAGCAAAATCTCAATGAGAACCGATCAAGGCCTCCAGTCACCTACCAGGCAGCTGTGTGACTGAGCCAGAGGAGGCGTAACCAGGGCCCCAGTAGAATGCGGAATAGGGGCGTGGCCTTAATGCTCCAAGCCCATTGGTCAATGAGAAAGATGAAAAGGAAAGGGGGCGTGGCCAGAAAGCAGTGTGTCCAGAGGGACCTGTGGCTCACAAGGAAAGCTGCCCATGGCAACTGCTCTCCCCACCCACTCTAAGAGAGGGGAGAGGCCTCCCACTCTGGAAGAGAAGAGGGGCCGGCTTTTGCTTTAAAAGCTTTAAAACTTTAAAAAATATATGTGTGTATACTTTATATATATGTGTGTCCGTGTGTGTGTATCTATGTTTTTCTCCATAGCTGTCTTCATTATCCAGCTTCTATGCAAGGTCCATGATTTTGGCCTATATTTTTCATCTTTGATTACAGTACAAAAATTACCAGTATTACCTTAACTGAGATACAGATCCTATAAAAATGGAAAATGCATAGCATGCTTGATGATTAATGAAGCAGACTATATTATCCAACATTCTAATAAGATAAAATAATCACAATGATTTCTCTTTTTTGGAAAAATGTTTCTCTTATTCTCCTACGTTTTCGTTAAGATTTTTTTTCTTAAACAAGAAACATGTCTAATATCTGTAAAAACACAAAGCTTTTTGGGCAGGGTGCAGTGGCTCATGCCTGTAATTCCAGGACTTTGAGAGCCCAAGGTGGGTGGATCATGAGGTCAGGAAATCGAGACCATCCTGGCTAACACGGTGAAACCCCATCTCTACTAAAAATACAAAAAAGGCCGGACATGGTGGCAGGCACCTGTAGTCTCAGCTACTTGGGAGGCTGAGGCAGGAGAATGACATGAACCTCTGAGGTGGAGCTTGCAGTGAGCCAAGATCATGCCGCTGCTCTCCAGCCTGGCTACAGAGCAAGACTCCATCTAATAATTAAATAAATAAATTAATTAATTAATAAAAATAAAAAATTAATAGTAAGAGCAATGTGAACAAAAGATGCAATAAAATAATTTAGAAAATACAAGCTATTAAAAAAAAGATTTTAAAACTTGTGCAACAAAGTCAAACAGCACCCAACGAAAATGTATACCCTTACATGTTTGTTTAAAAAGCAATTTAAATTACATTGATCCACTAAACTAGGAAAAGCAAAGCAAACAAAAAGGGGGAAATAATTAAGACCTAAGGAAAAAGGAAAAAGAAAAACCACTAGATTTAAAAAATAAAACTAAAGGAGGATTCTTTCAAAAGACTGAGATAATAAAACAGTCAAGCCTCTGATAAGTAATCAAGATAAAGAAAACTTTGAAGAGAAAAGGGCATATAGCCACATGTGAATATGATGCAAAAAGTGAAAACTTTACACATCTTTACAACACCTTAGAAGTATGGATGACATGTTCATTTTTTTTTTTTTTTTTTTTTGTTTGAGATGGAGTCTCGCTCTGTCACCCACGCTGGAGTGCAGTGGCGCGATCTTGGCTCACTGCAAGCTCCGCCTCCCGGGTTCACAACATTCTCCTGCCTCAACCTCCTGAGTAGCTGGGACTACAGGCGCCCGCCACCACGCCTGGCTAATTTTTTGTATTTTGGCTTAGTAGAGACAGGGTTTCACCATGTTAGCCAGGATGGTCTTTATCTCCTGATCTCGTGATCCACCCGCCTCGGCCTCCCAAAGTGCTGGGATTACAGGCATGAGCCATTGCACCCGGCCAAAGTTTTCATTTTTTTTTTTAAGATTCTACAGTCACAAAAACTAACTGAAGAAGTGGAAAATCTGGAGACCAATACGCAGAAGAAGGAAAAAGACAAAGACTCATCCTCCAAATTGGATATTTATTTAAACCAGAATTTGTCAGCCTCAGCAATACTGATATATTTGGCCAGATAATTCTTTGTGGAGGGTTCTCCTGGTGTGTTGTCGGACATTTAGTAACATTCCCTCTACCCACAGAATGCCAATAAGACCTCCCGACCTTGACCAGTTGTAACCACAAAAATGTCTCCAGATATTTCGAAACGTCCCATAGGAGGCAAAATACTCCTGCAGTTGAAAATTACTGTGTAAACCAGATCTACATCCTAGATCTTAGAAAAAAGATGTAAAGCTTCCCAACTCAGCCCTGCATACCCTTGATACTGAAATGAAATAACAGCCTTATTGGAAACAAACAAAACTATAATCTTATTTAATACAGAAGTAAAAATGCAAAAATAAAATATTACCACAGCCATTCTAACAGTGTTTATTATAGGAATGCAAAGATGATTCAAAATTAGGAAAAATTCATTAGGCAATTCACAAATTATATTTCTACATATAATTGAAGGCAAAATCATGAAAAACAAAGTAGCTCTATATGCATTAAGTCCATGATCTATTCAGTGAAAAACACAAGTTGCAGATGTCTTACAGAAGGAAAACTTAACACTGAACACATATTCTTACCATCTGCTCTTTGTCCTGAGGCTCCAATAGAAATACAGTGAAGAATAAACATTGTATAAGCACACAATTACAAAAAAGGAATGGGGTTACCAACAGAAGAGAATTCATCTTCATTAGACAATGACAGTACATGGAAAATGGTTAATTCATGGAGCAAAGCAAACAAAGGTGGAGGTCAGGGGGATACTGAGAACAAGGAGGCTAATCTGTCCCACAGCAACCTGGAAAGGTTCTAGACCCAGACACGAGGTACCCCCGACAGTGGGACTGATAGGCAAGACTGAAAACAGAGATTAAGCAAAAGCCCGGATAGAGAACACATTTCACAGGCCCTGAAACACACTGCTGGCCCCATCTCCTTAAACAGAACCCAAGCAAACGTATCCACCTCAGGCAAGACAATGTAGATTTTACATCCAGAGGAATGGAGTAGTCATCCAGCCATCATTTATGATTGCACCAGGAGATAAGATAGAGGGATGGAGGATAACAATTAGGAATCAGCATACATTCCCCCTAAAAGCTATCAGTTGACAAGTCTTGGCCACAAAGAACTCCCAATCAATTTTGATTTATTTTTATTTTTATTTATTTATTTTTTTTGAGACAGGGTCTTGCTCTTTCGCCCAGGCTGGAATGCAGGAATGCAGTGGCATGATCAGAGCTCACTGCAGCCTCAACCTCCTGGGCTCAAGCAATCCTCCTGCCTCAGCCTCCCAAGTAGCTGGGACTGCAGATGGGTGTCACCACACCTAGCTATTTTTTTTTTTTTTGTAAAGATGGGGTCTCACTATGTTGCCCAAACTAGTCTTGAGCTCCTGGGCTCAAGTGATCCTCCCACTTCGGTCTCCCAAAGCACTGAGATTATAGGTGTGAGCCACCACACCCCGGCTCCCAGTCTTTTAGTACCTCTCTCAAATATGAATGAGCAAATAAAGGAATGAGAAAAAGACTACAGGTCAGGCGCGGTGGCTCATGTCTGTAATCCCAGCACTTTGGGAGGCCAAGGTGGGTGGATCACCTGAGGTTGAGAGTTCCAGACCAGACTGACCAACATGGAGAAATCCCATCTCTACTAAAAATACACAAATTAGCTGGGCGTGGTAGCACATGACTGTAATCCCAGCTACTTGGGAGGCTGAGGCAGGAGAACTGCTTGAACCTGGGAGGCAGAGGTTGTGATGAGCCGAGATCACATCATTGTACTCCAGCCTAGGCAACAAGAGCGAAACTGGGTCTCAAAAAAAAAAAAAAAAAGACTACAAATGATAAGCAACATAGAATAGATATTTAAGGAAAGGCTTTAAAAAGAAAAATAAGACCAAAATAAACTAAGAAAAAAAATTATTAAAGAACAAAGAGATGCCAGGGAGAAGACAAAGAGTATCAAAATCACTTCATAAAGACACTTGTGAATATATTACATGTATAAAACAAAACAATATGAATAAGAAATAATCAGAGAAGAAAAAGTTCTTAGAACTCATGCTCCATCTTGGGAGTTGGTCTCCAATGAGCCATACCTCCTGTCATCATGTCCTTAGACAGGCCCATCCCATAGTCAATCTGGGTTGGCCCCAACACTCACTTTAACCTATAGCATGTGGTAGAAATGACACTGGACCTGTTCCAGGTCTAAGCCTTAAGAACCCCTGGCAGCTCCATTTCTGTGCTTCTGGAAGCCAAAAATAAGAATTGGCTACCCTCTTGGAGAAAGAAAAGCCACATGAAGAGATTCGAGAGGATGAGATGCTATGCAGAGAGAAAGGCCACATGAAGAAACACCAAAGCAGCAGACCTGTGGGTGAAGAAGCCGTCTCAGACATTCCACTGCAGCTGAGCATCCAGATGACCAGTCCCTAACACTGTCTGACCGCACAGTGAGAGCTGCCAAATAAGACCAGCAAGAAAACTGTCCAGCTAGCCCCAGTTAATCCATACAGTAGTGACAGATAGACATATGTGTAGTTTTACGCCATTAAGTTTTGGGATAATTGGTTAAGCAACAATAAATAACCAAAACAAAACTTAAAGTTATGATAGTCCAAATAAAATTTCCTGAAAGTCGAAAGATAAGAAAAATATTCCAGAACTTAAAATTTAAAAAAAATTTAGAAATAATGTGAGATACCAGACTCAAGACAAGAGGTCTAAAATCCAATTAACAGACACTTCAAAATGAACAAATAAAATGGAAAAGAGAAAGTTAACAACAAAAATATGACAAGATTCAAGACTCCAACTTTGAAAGAGCCTATCCATAGGCCTGTCCATTTGGTGTACCCAGCACAATGAATGAAAAAAGACCCACACTAAGTACACTGTTGTGCTATTTCAGCTCAACAAGGAAAAGACAAACTCCTAAAAGCTTCCAGGGAGAAAGTCATGCATAAATAAGTGAAACTCAGGATGGCATGAGGCTTCACCACCACGACTGGTTAGAAGACAACAGCACAGACTTTGAAATTTTAAGGTAAAATTATCCTCAACCTAGAAATATATAATCAACCAAACTATCAATCAAGTGTGAGGGTAGAATATGAGAGACGTGAATACTGATGGGGATGTGATATGCAGCAGGCACTGTTCTAAATGGTTTACATGTACCAGTTCAATAAATCCTCATAGCTCCCTAAAAACATAGGTACTACTACTATTACTGGTTCCCCCATTTTGCAAATGGAAAATTCATGCATAGGGCAATTAGGGAATCAGCCCAAGGACATACAGCTAATAAGTAGGAGAACCAAGATTCAAACCTATCTCGGACTGGCTCCAAAACTCAAACACTGGGTCATATTTTTTTGGAAGCTAGAGCTCAGAAAAGATACCACTGCATGCTTTCTTAGAGTTTTATTTGAGGATGTTGTCAGGGAAAATGAGAAAGGTTAAGCCAAGAAAGATGACATGGGATCCAGGAAACAATGGATCTACTCTAGGAGAGGAGATGTGAAAAACCTCAAGATGGCATCTGCACAGCCAACCGAAAGAACAACCTGCCAAGATGGGCTCAGAGGAGCCAAAGGCTTCAAAAGAGAAGGAGATCTCACAGAAAGGGCTACAACAGCATTTTTTTAAATTAAAAATTACTACTATGAGGAAGACCTGCAAAACAAAAAGCAGCGCCAAGAAAAGAAATATCCTATCCTAAATATTCTAGAAAACTTGGCTTTATTCTACAAAGTCCTAATGATAATTAGAGATTACTTATATGACTAAAGATAATATTTGAGGAAGGGGAAGTGGGTGGTATAAGAGCTAAATTCTCATGTATTTTAGTAAAAAGTAAATAACTGATGCCTAAATAGGTAAATCCAGGAAGAAGTTAGAGGTGGTGGTGAGCTAGTGGAGATTTCTGTTGCTTGCAGGAGATAACATTTGGGCGAGTCCTTAAGAAGCATAGACAGATGTAAGGAGATGGCATTTCTAGGTAAAGGTAATTGAATAAGCAAAGACAAAAAAAGAAAGAAGCAAAAACATTTATGGACACCAGGAATATTAACAACAAAAATGTGGTGGTATGGAGAAGGGCAATTGTTTGCCTGTCATAGTAAATATCAGCAGCTCCAAAGAATGAAAGATTATTTTTAGTACCTAAGACAGAACAAAACAATTCAACAGGAACAAAAAAACCTAATTTCTAAATAAGTTGAATAACAAAAAAAAATCATCCTAGTTTGACTTTTGCTTGAGACAATTTATTTTATCTCTTGAACACTACAGAATTTACTTTACCTGTAAATAATACATTATTATTATTATTATTATTATTATTATTATTATTATTATTATTATTGAGACAGAGTTTCACTCTTGTCACCCAGGCTGGAGTGCAATGGTGTGATCTTAGCTTGCTGCAGCCTCCACCTCCCAGCTTCAAGTGATTCTCCTGCCTCAGCCTCCCGAGTAGCTGGGATTACAGGCGCCCACCACCACGCCTGGCTAATTTTTGTATATTTAGTGGAGACAGGGTTTCACCATGTTGGTCAGGTTGGTCTCAAACTCCCGACCTCAGGTGATCCACCTGCCTGAGCCTCCTAAAGTGCTGGGATTACAGGCGTAAGTCACCGCTCCCAGCCTAATTATTTTTATTTGTCTACTTGACTTTTTTTTCTATCCTTACCTGCACCTCTTTCCTGGAGTAGGAAAATACAGGAATTCATGAGTCCATCCCAATATGGACTCCAAGATGCTCCAGGCTGTCTCTCTTACTCATCACGAGTCTATATTACACACCCAGCACAAAGTGGACAGCCAAACAAAGAAAATCTTGGAGTAAAAATGGCCTGCAACAAAACTATGGAAACAGTGAAAAGATCAGTCATTGCCAGGGGTTGAAGGGAGGGACGAATGAATAGGCAGAGCATAGAGGATTTGGGGGCAGTGAAACTACTCTCTATGATACAATAATTATAGACACATGTTATTATACTTTCAACCAAATCCGTAAAATATCCAACACACCAAGAGCGAACCCTAATGTTAACCATGGACTTTGGGCAATAATGGTGCATCAATATAGGTTCATTGATTGTAACAAATGGACCACTCTGGTGCCCATGTTGGTAGTGGGGAAGGCTGTGAATGTGTAGGGGCAGGAGCTATATGGGAACTGTCTGTACTTTCTGCTCAACTTTGCTGTGAACCTAAAACTGCTCTAAAAATGATCTATTTAAAAGAGAGAGGAGGCCAGGCGCGGTGGCTCACACCTGTAATCCCAGTACTTTGGGAGGTCGAGGCGGGAGGATCACGAGGTCAGGAGTTCAAGACCAGTCCGACCATCATGGTGAAACCCCGTCTCTACTAAAAATACAAAAATTAGCCAGGTGTGGTGGCGCACACCTGTAATGCCAGCTACTCAGGAGGCTGAGGCAGGAGAATCGCTTGAACCCAAGAGGCAAAGGCTGCAGTGAGCAGTAAGCCAAGATCGTGTCATTGCACTCCAGCCTGGGCTACAGAGGAAGACTTAGTCTCAAAAAAAAAAAAAAAAAGAGAGCGAGAGAGAAAGGAAATGGCCTAAGAAACTACAAAATACCACAAGATGGCACTCTTTCTCTCGGAAGCTTCAATGAGGGCTGCATTTCCAGAAATTGCTACTGCTGAAGAGTGTAGCAGGGATTGTGACTGCCCCCGGCCCCGTTATTCATGAAGCTAAAAGAGCTTCACAATGTTGTCCCAGCCCAACCCCAGGTTTATACTTTCCATGGCTGTTATTAAAGATAGGTATTATTATGATTCAGGTGTGATGAGGCCAACAGATCAGGAGATGACTGCTGCTGGAAAGAGAGTTTTTTACTGTTCCCAAGAGGAAGGGGCACCAGGTAGGTCAGGAGACAGAGCAGGAGGAAAACGAGGGCAAGAGCCTTTCTTGTGGTTTCCACGGGAAGGGACAGGTGAGGCAGGGTAAGCAGACTTAGCACTGACTGGTTTGAATAATTTCTGGGGCATGATTGACTGGGGCATACGGCTGTCCGTAGTATTCTGGTAGCTGGCCCTGGGGTGACTAGGGCAGGTGGATCCTGGCCCAGAGTATAGGAGTCTGAGAAAGGAGGGGGCTGGGGTATGAGCACTGGATTGCTTGATTTTTTTTTTTTTTTTTTTTTTTTTTTTTTTTTGAGATGGAGTCCCGCTCTGTCGCCCAGGCTGGAGTGCAGTGGCGCGACCTTGGCTCACTGCAAGCTCCGCCTCCCAGGTTCAAGAGATTCTCCTGTCTCAGCTTCCCCAGTAGCTGGGATTACAGGCATGTACCACCATGTCCAGCTAATTTTTTGTATTTTTAGCAGAGACAGGGTTTTACCATGTTGGCCAGGCTGGTCTGTAATGGATTGGTTGATTTGTGTATGAAAGGCAGGCTTTCAGGCAAGTTCTTTGCTATCTCTAGGAACTGGCTAACCCTGGAAGACGCAGTCTCTCCAGGGTCACCAAGGCTCCAAAATGACAAAGCATCTGAACCACATGGTTAGTAAAATGGAGTATAGTGACACAAAGTTATACTCTCCAGTTCACAAACGAGCTCAGAAGCAATTCCAGGAAAATTATTTTCTTATGGTTACTATTGTCAGGCCACTCAAAGGAGTTTTGATTTCCTGAAAAGGAAATCTTCCACACAGATGCTATAGAAAAAGATCTAATTGCTTCTATAAACTGGCAAGAATATTTCCATAACTACAGAACTTTTTGCCAATTTCCCAACTGGAAAAAAGTAAGATGAATTTGAGCTCCTTTAAGTCACTCCTCTTTACCCGCATGGTCTTAAGGTGACTTTTAGAGAGAGGACACAGGCAATGTGAGTGGGAGAAGGGCCCAGGTGCCACACCTTACTTGTACTGGCAGATGGGGAGGAACAGCACAGACCGCACATCTGAGAGAAGAACTGGTTACCCGCAGACAGGGCCAGGAGTGTCCTGAGGTTACTCCAGGGCCTGAGAGCTTCCAGGCAGGTGTAAACATGAAGGCTGGCTTGGAGCAATCATATTATATCTGCACAATCCGAAGTGAGGCATTGTCTGTGGCAGCAGCCTCCCTGAGCCAGCAATAATCCCTTTTTCTAATCTGGTTTAATTAAATGGACACCAGGCATGGATCAGAAGAGAGGGGTCATTTATGGGATTGCATTATTTAACCAGGTGATCACTTAGAAGGTTTTGAGTTTCTAAAACAAAAAAAGAGACTGTGCTACTAAGAACTGGCATGCAGTAGACAGTTTAATAAAACTGAAATGCCGGCCGGGCAAGATGGCTCACGCCTGTAATCCCAGCACTTTGGGAGGTCAAGGTGGGTGGATCACCTGAGGTCAGGAGTTCGAGACCAGCCTGGCCAACATAGTGAAACCCCGTCTCTACTAATAATACAAAAATTAGCTGGCTGTGGCGGCATGCACCTGTAATCCCAGCTACTCGGGAGGCTGAGGCAGGAGAATCACTTGAACCCGGGAGGCGGAGTTTGCAGTGAGCCGAGATTGTCCCACTGCACTCCAGCCTGGGCAAAGAGCGAAACTCGGTCTCAAAAAACAAACAAACAACACACACACACACACACACAAACCAACTTTTCTTTACTGTGTATAGCTTTACTGCAATTCCCTGCCTAACCCCGAACTACGTGGTGGGAAGTGTAGGGATAGGAGAGCAGCGCAGTTCCTGATAGGGCTTCCTGCCTTATGATGAGACCATTGAATACAGACTGTGAGCCTGTTATATTCAAAGTGTTGAAAGTCATCATTTGAGGGTGTGGGGAGCTGGGGAAATGATTATTTGGAGATAAAGGAGGGATTTACATTGATCAGGGGTTAGCCAGACTGCATCTCTTTTCGTCTTTTGAAGTTTACTGCGGCAAGGGGTTGATTAGTGCAGCACAATTGTCTTGGGACAGGACGGTCAGCATTGGGCAGCTCCTGGCTTTAATCTGAAGCCTCCCTTCCTCCCGCAGATCTGTAATAATTCCAGGTGGCAGTATGGTTTTGGTTGTAGGTGTCGGTGCGGTGTGGACATTGCCCACGGAGGGCACAGAGCAGCAAGACCCAGGAGGGAGATATTTCCCGAGTTCTCCACACACCAGGATGTTTGAGAGAAGAGCCAAGTCTTGGTTTTATGACAGTGAGACAAGAACACAGAGAGAAAAGGAGAAGAGGAACAAGTGGCTCTCGGATACTGATGAGTTATAAAGAGAAGATCCTGAAGGAATTCACTGTGAGTCAGGCGCTCCCGCACTTGGCGTCTGATGGCTGTTCTCCTTAAAGGAGTACCGAGAGATCCTCCCTCAGGATTGCTATCCCAAGAGAGTGGAGGCTTTTCTCCTGTAGCTCCTTTTCAAAGGTGCAAGTGCCTTCTGTGCTTTCTGCTCTCATCTGGAGGAATTCTGCCCTTACCTACTCACCTGTTTTTTTCTTTATTACAAAGGTAAGGACATAGTTTGCTCTAAAAAGTAGTAAGCTTAATTATGATCTAACCAAAATATCAGGTACCCAGCCACAGTATGTAATCATGAGTTTCAACCCTGCATTGATTTTTACTTTAATAAAAATACCCAATGCTTCTCTCTAAAATCTCGTGATATAGAAGTAAGCATCTGTGATGCCCAATAAAACCGTGCACAGCTCCTGACACAACCTGAGGGATGATTTCTAATCATCTTATAGAAATATTTATATCTTTCTTGTTTTAATGAGGATTTTTAAGTGCAAGACATAAAATATTAATAGGTTAAGGAAGCTGGACTTAGCTTTCATTCTGCACGTAGAGGCACAAAAATGATCATGGTTCTTCAAAATGCTAGAGTTGACGTATGATCTACCAACTCCATTCTTGGTTCCTAAACTCAAGATAAATGAAAATGTGTCCATGAAAAACTGGTCTAAGAAGGTTCATAGCAGCATTATTCATAATAGCCAAAAAGTAGAAACAACCCAATTGCCCATCAACCAGATGGATAAACAAAATATGGTCTCTCTGCACAACAGAATATTATTTTGTAAAAAGAAATGAATTACTGATGCATGCTACAACACAGATGAACCTTTAAAACTTTATGCTAAGAGAAAGAAGCCCATCACAAAACGTACATCTGTAGGTTTCCGTTCCTATGAAATGTCCATAATAGGAAAATCCACAGAGACAAAGTAGATTAGTGGTTGCCAGGAGCAGAAGTAGTGGGGGAATGGGAAGTGACTGCTGACAGATACAGTATTTCTTTTTGAGATAATGAAAATGTTCTGAGATTAGATTATGATGTTTGCACACAACTGTGAATATGCCAAAAACTACTGAACTAATATAAATATTTATATATAGTTATATATATTTAATATATTAAATATATGTTAATATTAAATATAAATGTTATATAATGTTATATAAATATAAATATGTTATATAATATGATATAAATATATATAATATAATATATTACATTATTATTATATAATAATATTATAATATAATATAATATAATATATAATAAAAATAAAAAATAAAAAAATAAAATAAAATAAAATAAAAATATAAAAATAAATTTAAAAAATAAAATAAAATAAAATAAAAATAAAAAATAAAAATAAAAAAATAAAAAATAAAAAATAAATAATAAAAATAATATAATATAATATTATATATAAATATATAATATAATTATTATATTATTATTATATATCATTATATAATATATTATTATAATAATTAGTATTATATTAATATATGATATATCATATATTATATAATATATGATATATCATATATTATATAATATATGATAATATAATATCATATATTAATATAATATATTGTATTAATATATTATAATATGTAATCATATATAATGATATATTAATATAATATATAGTATATATTTTATATTAATATATTATATATTATATATATTATAATAAATATATAATATATAATAAATATGTTATATAATATGCTATATAAATATAAATATGTTAATATTTAATATAGTAAATATTTTAAAATATATTAAATATGTTACATATATTTAAAAGGGTGATTTCTGTGGTATGCACATTACATCTCAATAAAGTTGTCATTTAAAAAAATTGGCATGGGGCAGGGTGAGGTGGCTGACGCCTGTAATCCCAGCACTTTGGGAGGCCGAGGCGGGTGGATCATTTGAGGTGAAACCCTGTCACTGCTAAAAATACAAAAAAATTATCTGGGTGTAGTGGCACATGCCTATAGCCCCAGCTACCTGGGAGGCTGAGGCAGTAGAATGGCTTGAGCCTGGGAGGCGGAGGTTGCAGTGAGCCAAGATGGTGCCACTGCACTCCAGCCTGGGCAACAGAGTGAGACTCCATCTCAAAAAAAAAAAAAAACTGGCATGGAAGTCTTCCCAACTGTTTCTCTTCTCCCAGCCTTCCAAAGAGAGACCTATAATTGCCTATTCTAATTTCCCAACCTCCTTCCTTCTCAAGAGAAAAGATTCTTTCTTGCTAGGAGAGGGTTTGGGTTGACCAATGTCATAAAGAAATGAAGAGTGGGGGAGGGAAAGAAGAGTGTGAGAAAGAAAAGGTGAACAGGGCTGGTCAGAAGAGAAGGGTTTGGGGAAGGTAACTGCAGCGGATGTTCTGGGAAAGTTGCAGGAGTAACGGGGACAGATGCAAGAACAGGGAATTCCTATTTTGTGATACGATGGCCTGTGTGCATGTGGACCTATTCAGGTTTTAGAGAATTGCAAGAAAAGGATTTGAACTATTTTGAAGCAGCATTTGGTTGCTGGTCTTCATTTGCCTACATTTCTCCAAGACAGAACCATAAGGGCCCAGGCTTATATTTTAAGCTTTTGTAATAAAGTTAAGCTTTTATATTTTACAATATATTGACATCATATATTTTAAGATTTGTCTCTGGAAAAATTGCCCTTGGCTTTTAGGATAGTTGTGGCAAATTGTGGGTTAATTACAAGCCCTTCCATTCCACAGCCCCCATAACATTGAATAAAATAATCAATCCCCTGAAAAAGTCAAGTTGGTGAAAATGAATACTTATGAATGGCTTCTTATGTTACTTTAGGCTGTCATGTAATACAATTTTTTTCTGAGAAGTATTTATTCATCTATGTAGCTGAATGAAAGCTACATGTTTTTGCAACTTCCATGAGAATCTAAAACTACTTAAAAGTTGTATTTTAAAAAAAGATATAGCAATTATATTACCAGAGTTTAACTGGAGAGATTGTTTTTGAGATTTTTTTTTTTTTTTTTGAAAAATAAAATTCTCAGCTGGGCGTGGTGGCTCACGCCTGTAATCCCAACACTCTGGGAGGCTGAGGCGGGCAGATCACCTGAGGTCAGGAGTTCGAGACCAGCCTGGCCAACATGGTGAAACCCCATCTCTACTAAAAATACAAAAATTAGCCAGGCATGGTGGCAGGTGCCTGTAATCCCAGCTAGTCGAGAGGCTGAGGCAGGAGAATCACTTGAACCCAGGAGGTGGAGGTTGCAGTGAGCCGAGATCATGCCATTGCACTCCAGCCTGAGTGATAAGAGCGAAGCTGTGTCTCAAAAATAATAATAATAATGTATTATTATTATAATACCTTATAATACCTGTGTCTCAAAAAAAAAGAAAAGAAAAGAAAGAAAGGAAGGAAGGAAGAAAAGAAAGAGAGAAAAAAGAAAATCTGAAAATGTTCAAGTTCTTTTGCTACCTGAATGTCATACCAGTGGTCAGAATGTAGACTTTCAGACTAATGTTTGTAAGTGATGCCCTGGGTAATAATCAATCCCAGGCTATAAAGCAAGTACTTTGCAAAGTCTCAAGTCCCTCTCAGCACTGGGTGATCCATCTGTGTTCAATGGGGCTCACCCTTTGTGGGTGCCCCCAAAGAGGGTGATTTATGATCGGTTATAACGACATCCAACTTCAGAAGGAAATCCATTTCCTCTCACTGTATGGGGTAGACTCAGCTCATATAAATTCTGAGGAAGCCTTATAGTTCTTGTGATACAAAAACAATCAGCTGCCGTGATTAGAAACACAGACTATTAAATAACTGCATCCTAGGGTAGCACAGCAAGAAAGCTCCAAGTGAGCAGTGTGGCTGCAGAGTGCTCCGTAGAAGGCAGGATTATCAATTCAGCACAAAGCTGAAGGCAAGAACCTGCGGTATTTCGCTATCATGGCTAGTGATATTCATGGGGCCTGGAAGTCCTATACTGTCTCTTCATGTTTTATATCCACATTTTAATGTTGTTTGTGGACAATACTGGTTGTTGCAACAGGTCACTTGTACCATAAAAAGAATGACTGGCACCTCTAATTACAGGGGAAGAGCCACCTCCCAGGGACTGGGGAGTAGGGGCAAGAGGCTCATCCCTACAGCATTTCCCACCTCTTAAAGTGGCCACCACATTTCTTTTGTTCCTGACCTTCTCCCATTGGGAAGATGAGCAAGAGCTAGAGCTAGAAGGGCAATTGAAGTGTGAACATACCAGGAAAGCTCAGGGAAAGTGGTTCCCGAAACCATCTTTCCCATAGCTTGTCTCTTGGGATGGGCTTTTCCACAGTGACGTGATTCAGTGTGATTGTATGCTTATGTGTTTACAACCAGCAGGCACAGGGCTGCCACTGACTACACGATGATGGGAGGATGGACGCCGCCTTCAGGAGCTGGAGGAGCAGAAGACGTGAACAAAGGTGGAGGGTGGTTTGGGCAGGGGTGGGTGAAGAGGTGCGTGGGGCGGGCTTTGAGAGTTAAAGGGGACCCACAGAAGGTTTCAATCCATGTGCTATCAGCTCTTTGCTGGGGACCATTGCCTCTTGGGCCTGATGGGAAGCAGGGTGGAAAGGCCTATGAGGGAACCAAGTGGCAGAAGCGTTCAACCAGGTGTGCTGTGAAGGTGCTGTCCAGGCAGAGGCAGAAATCATGGTCAGATCCCGAGGAAGAGCAAGACGAGTTCAACTGGTGAGTCTTAGAAGTCAGCCAGAACCCCCTCTGATTCTGGTTCCCAAGCTCAAGAGGGACCAAGCCCAAACCCAAGCCCAAGATGGGGAAGTCGTGCGCATCATCGGTCAGAGGCTCAGGAAGAAGCCATATTTGAAAGTGATTCTGGTGCCTCCTTTTCCTTCCTCCCCTGATTCCATGAAGCCCTTTTTTAAATATTGCAAAGAATGTGGGTATTTCCACCAGCAGTGTAAAAGTGTTCCTATTTCTCCACATCCTCTCCAGCACCTGTTGTTTTCTGACTTTTTAATGATTGCCATTCTAACTGGTATGAGATGGTATCTGATTGTGGTTTTGATTTGCATTTCTCTGATGGCCAGTGATGGTGAGCATTTTTTCATGTGTTTTTTGGCTGCATAAATGTCTTCTTTTGAGAAGTGTCTGTTCATGTCCTTTGTCCACTTTTTGATGGGGTTGTTTGGTTTTTTCTTGTAAATTTGTTTGAGTTCATTGTAGATTCTGGATATTAGCCCTTTGTCACATGAGTAGGTTGTGAAAATTTTCTCCCATTTTGTAGGTTGCCTGGTCACTCTGATGGTAGTTTCTTTTGCTGTGCAGAAGCTCTTTAGTTTGATTAGATCCCATTTGTCAATTTTGGCTTTTGTTGCCATTGCTTTTGGTGTTTTAGACATGAAGTCCTTGCCCATGCCTATGTCCTGAATGGTAATGCCTAGGTTTTCTTCTAGGGTTTTTATGGTTTTAGGTCTAACATTTAAGTCTTTAATCCATCTTGAATTAATTTTTGTATAAGGTGTAAGGAAGGGATCCAGCTTCAGCTTTCTACATATGGCTAGCCAGTTTTCCCAGCACCATTTATTAAATAGGGAATCCTTTCCCTATTGCTTGTTTTTCTCAGGTTTGTCAAAGATCAGATAGTTGTAGATATGCGGCATTATTTCTGAGGGCTCTGTTCTGTTCCATTGATCTATATCTCTATTTTGGTACCAGTACCATGCTGTTTTGGTTACTGTAGCCTTGTAGTATAGTTTGAAGTCAGGTAGTGTGATGCCTCCAGCTTTGTTCTTTTGGCTTAGGATTGATTTGGCGATGCGGGCTCTTTTTTGGTTCCATATGAACTTTAAAGTAGTTTTTTCCAATTCTGTGAAGAAAGTCACTGGTAGCTTGATGGGGATGGCATTGAATCTATAAATTACCTTGGGCAGTATGGCCATTTTCACGATATTGATTCTTCCTACCCATGAGCATGGAATGTTCTTCCATTTGTTTGTATCCTCTTTTATTTCATTGAGCAGTGGTTTGTAGTTCTCCTTGAAGAGGTCTTTCACGTCCCTTGTAAGTTGGATTCCTAGGTATTTTGTGGAAGACAGTGTGGCAATTCCTCAGGGATCTAGAACTAGAAATACCATTTGACCCAGCCATCCCATTACTGGGTATATACCCAAAGGACTATAAATCATGCTGCTATAAAGACACATGCACACGTATGTTCATTGCGGCACTATTCACAATAGCAAAGTCTTGGAACCAACCCAAATGTCCAACAATGATAGACTAGATTAAGAAAATGTGGCACATATACACCATGGAATACTATGCAGCCATAAAAAATGATGAGTTCATGTCCTTTGTAGGGACATGGATGAAATTGGAAATCGTCATTCTCAGTAAACTATCACAAGGACAAAAAACCAAACACCGCATGTTCTTACTCACAGGTGGGAATTGAACAATGAGAACACATGGACACAGGAAGGGGAACATCACACTCTGGGGACTGTTGTGGGGTGGGGGGAGGGGGGAGGGATAGCATTAGGAGATATACTTAATGCTAAATGACGAGTTAATGGGTGCAGTACAGCAGTATGGCACGTTTACATATGTAACTAACCTGCACATTGTGCACATGTACCCTAAAACTTAAAGTATAATAATAATAAAATAAAATTAAATTAAATTAAAAAAGAATGTGGGTATTTCCTCTCAAAGCCGCATGTTCAGAAAAATAGCAGCATGCACTTTTGAAAAAGGGCCACTCTATTCCTAGCCGAGACAAGCACTTATTTATTTTGAACAACTGGTAATGACTTATTTTTCAATGAATGAATGGATGTTTGTTTAGAGAAATGTAAACTGAATAATGTTTGTTCTTTTGTATACAATTTGGGATAGCTAAATCTCCAGCAACATATTGTTATAATTTTAAAAAAGAAAAGCAACCAGTGGGTGAGCTTGCCAGAAATGTGATACCCATTTGTGTTATAATGCAGAATAAACCCATAGGACCTTACAAAATGCATCTGCTGCAGAAGAAAAAGCAAGGGTTGGAACTCAACCCGATCGTAGCAGTGCTTTTGACACTGAAGATCAAGAACAAAGTCTCCAATTATGTAACAAGTATGTTAACATTCTCGGTGTGTTTGTAATCTTTAAAAAGGCCTGTCTTTTTACTTTTCATTTTCTTCCTCTCCTCATAGTTCTTGTTCCACTGCGTCCTTTGGCTACTTACACGTTGTTTTGCTGATGCTAATATTTTCTAGGACATACTTAGGCCACTGTGTGATTTTTTTGGTTGTTCCGCAGTATGAGAAGAATGGTATTTGACTGTGGGCACTTGACTCCATTTGACTGTGGGCACTTGATGCCGTTGAAGTGTGTGCCTGGTGTCTGTTCTTAGTTTTTGTTCTTTGCTGGAGCCTAAAACAAGATGATGCAACTCATTCCGAACATTCCAAATAACTCTGCCCTTCAGTAGTAAACCTCTAAAATATGAGTAAGAGGTTATAAATTAAGCGGTCATTCTCTAAAATGTGTGCTAATGCTTCTCCGAAAGGAAAACAAAAATAGTCTTAATTGCTGGTGAGACATTTTGAAGTTGCTCCAACATAAATGGCCTCCAGCTTCTCTTTTGGCTCATAAATTATGTGTTTTGTGGGCTAGAGTAACACTTGAACTGCGGTAAGCCTTCATGGCTATTCCTTGCAGGTACAGACTGTCTGATAGGAAGAATTTGCATAAAATGAGAACACAAAGCAACGATCCAAATGGTCCCTACTCCATGCAGTGTCCTTCCCACCTCTGGAGGCATGAATGGAGGCTGGGCATGGTGGCTCATGCTGTAATCCCAACACTTTGGGAGGCCAAGGCAGGCAGATCGGTTGAGGTCAGGAGTTCGAGATCAGCCTGGCCAACATGGTGAAACCCTATCTCTACTAAAAATACAAAAATTAGGTGGGTGTGGTGGTGGGAGTCTGTAATCCCAGCTACTTAGGAGGTGGAGGCAGGAGAATTGCTTGAACCTGAGAGGCAGAGGTTGCAATGAGCTGAGATTGCACCACTGCACTCCAGCCTGGGCAACACAGCAAGACTCTGTCTCAAAAAAAATAAAAATAAACAATAAAAAATAAAGGCATGAATGGAATGTCAATAGTTGGTATGTAAGCCATATGTTTTCTTTAACTTGCTTATGGCATATAAGCATCCAAGGCACAACCATGAGTAAGTATTGTAAAAAAATATAATATACAACTCAACATATACTATGTTTAAATAGCATATACAATTAATTTTACCTCTAATCAGGTTTGTTATTAGAAATATGTACTTTGGGCCCCCATTATCACAGTGTGTTCATTTAGAAAGCACACAGACTGCTTTCCAACTTTTCTTTTGCTGGATAGAGACCAATGTAATCGCAGGACAAAGCCCTCCAAGGTCCCTGAGCCTGACGTGGGTGGACTTGGGTTCCCTGTGATAGCAGGCTCCTGAAGAGCCAGGAGGCTTTTGCTGGCTGGGGCTGAGCTGGTGGTTCTGGGGTGGGCCCCCTCCATGGAGACATGAAGTCCTGACAGCCCCATCCAGGAGGTAAGGTTTGCCCCATCACCCACTGCCCTTCCTAATACAAGATTCTGGACTGCAAGTGCCTCTGGGATTTGACAAAAATGTGATTTCTGTTTCTTTTCCTCTTCTACTTCCTGCTTTCAGTATGGAGAGAGAGACAGAGCCTCATTTATATGTAACTGTAATATGCACACATGCTGAGAGAAAGAGATCTATTTTAAGGAATTGGCTCACACAACTATGGGGACTGGCAAGTCCAGAATCTGTAGGGAAAACTGACAGGCTGGAAATTCAGGTAAGAGTCAATGTTGCAGTCAGTCTTGAATCTGAATTCCATGGGGCAGGAGACTAGAAACTCAGGCAGAGTTTCCATGTGACAGTTTTAAAGAGAATTCCTTCTTCCTCAGGAAACCTCAGTCTTTGCTCTTAAGGCCTTCTACTGATTGGATGAGGCCCATGCACATTATGAAGGGAAATATGTATTACTCGAAGTCTACTGATATAAATGTTCATCACATCTGGCCAGGCATGACTCCTCACACCTGTAATCCCAGCACTTTGGGAGGCCGAGGCGGGTGGATCGCCTGAGGTCAGGAGTTTGAGAGCAGCCTGACCAACATGGTGAAACCCTGTTCCTACTAAAAATACAAAAAAATTAGCTGGGTGTGGTGGTGGGCACCTATGATCCTAGCTACTCGGAAGGCTAAGGCAGGAGAATCGCTTGAACTCAGGAGGCAGAGGTTGCAGTGAGCCAAGATCATGCCATTACAGTCCAGTGTGGGTCACAAGAGTGAAACTCTGTCTCAATAAAAAAAAAAAAAAAGTTCATCACATCTAAAAAAATACTTTCATAGCAACATGTAGGCTGATGTTTGACCAAACAACTGGGCACCACGGCTTGGCTAAGTTAAGACAAAATTAAGCATCACAAGTATTGTGCAGCCTTGGGCAAACTGCTAAACCTTTCTATGCCTTAGATTCTCATCTGGAAAATGAGGATAAAGAACAGCACCTGTCTCATAAATTTGTCGTAAGGATTAAATGCACAAAAACCTGTAACCTCCTCTGATCTGTTCTTCTGTGCCCCAAACTACTCTATGCCTGTCATATCTTTGGCACTCAAGTCATGCTAAGTGGTAACTGACTCAGCAGCTTGTAGACTGCATTTTTCTGCTTACCTCCTTTTTTACTCTGAAGACAACCATCAGGTCCAAGGCTTCCAGTACTTTATGCAACTAGTCCATGCGTACCAGGCCTGCTGACTAAGCTAATCCCACCACCGCTTCCGCACCTTCAGTTTGCCTGGGACTGGCCCCCCAACCAGCCCCCAGAAATACCTGAGGCACATGTACTGAATTAAACAGTGCTGCAGATCTTTCTAGATTTTTACTTTCTTTCTTGTGTTTTGTGGAAACACAGTATGCTGATTCTTATTCCTTGATACATCCTACCTATCCCTGGGTCCTAGCTCCTTCTTCCTTCTGTCTTTTCTTTTTTAGTCCTTTACCCAGGGACAGTGTTAAGATGGTGTGATAATTAATTTTATGTGTCAGTTTGGCCAGGTCAGTGCCCAGATCTTTGGTCAAACATTATTCTGGATGTTTCTTTTTTTTTTTTTGGATGAAATTAACATTTAAATTGGTGAACTTTGGGCTGGGCACGGTGGCTCACGCCTGTAATCCCAGCACTTTGGGAGACCGAGGCAGGTGGATCGCCTGAGGTCAGGAGTTCAAGGCCAGCCTGGCCAACATGGTGAAATCCCGTCTCTACTAAAAATACAAAAAAAAAATTATCCAGGTGTGGTGGCGCACGCCTGCAATCCCAGCTACTCAGGAGGCTGAGGCAGGGGAATCTCTTGAACCTGGGAGGTGGAGGTTGCAGTGAGCTGAGATCACGCCACTGCAATCCAGTCTGGGCGACAGGGCAAAACTCCATCTCAAATAAATAATTTAATAAATTAATTGGTGAACTTTGAGTAAAAGCAGATTACTATTCAAAATGTGGGGGATCTCATTCAATCAGTTAAAGACAATAGAACAGAGACTAACCCTTCCTGAGAAAGAAGGAATTCTGCCAACAGACTGCATTTGGAATCTAACTGTAACTCTTCCTTGGGTCTCCAGTCTGCTGGTCAACCCTGCATAGTTTGGATCTACTACTGCTTCACAGTCTCTTAAGCCAATTCATTAAAATACATTTCATCAAATTTTATATGTGTATATAAATATACACACATATATACTGAGATGTTTATCTCAATATCTTTGTGTGTGTGTGTGTGTGTGTGTGTGTTTGTATTCTGTTGGTTCTCTTTCTCTGGAGGAATTCTAACTAATACAGATGGAAAGAACAGTCCTCAAATCATAGCTCTATGTTGGCCCTGAGAGCTGAAGTCTGGGAGCCAAAGTAGCCCCCCTGCTATAGCTTTCTTTCTTTGAGTTTCTAAGGCTTTTGGTCTTCTGATTCCTGGGGAGGATCAGCACCTTCTCTTTTTCCAGCATTTTCAAGGTCCATGTCTGCTGCAAACCTTTCCCTCAGAGTCTGTTGATACAGGTGCCCATGGGGTAAGATATGTACTGGAGTAGTCTAGGAATAAAGACCTGAGTCCTTTCTGCCCCCATCCCCCAGCCTAAGTTCCAGAGCTATTTCCTCTTCTGGGTTTAAAACTAAGCCAACAATATTCCTACACTTCCATTTCCCAAGGAACTGTTATAGCCAACCCTGCCTGCATCCTTAGGTTGACCCCCCTCTCTGTAGCCGTGACCTGTGCTCTCACCAGCACAGGGAAGAATGGATGGCCCCTGGTCCATTCTTCCCTTTCTGCCCAGGCTAATCTCTCTGACTTCATTACCCTTTTCTGGTCTGAAAATCTAAATAGGGTATTCCCAACCCTGCTAGGAAACGTGGAAAACATGCCCTACTGGGGCCTTATTTGGACATTCTGTCTGTATTGGTTTATCTTTATATCACCACTCCCTGTGTGTTCACTGCTTATTGCTAACAATGTCTGCGTACTTCCCCGCATGCTCCCTACTATTAATATATCCCGCCATGAATTCAAGAGTAGAGTTCAAACTTCCCTACCTACTGAATAAATTACAATAATGTCGGTTAGGTTAACCTACAAGGTGCATAAAGTCGATTTTGTTTATTAAAAATAAACCTGCAACTTACAGATTTTTCTGCATCAGTGAAACTTTGGTCTAAAAATATAATATAATCATCTCATACTCTTTTGAAATATAGTCCTGTGGAAAATGCATGTTGTTATTTTATCACACTAGATATGATAGTATGGTATTATTAAACACCTAGAATGTCAGCTCTTTTTTTTTTTTTTTTTTTGAGACAGTCTTTTTCTGTCACCCAGGCTGGAGTGCAGTGGTGAGATCTCGGCTCACTGCAACCTCCGCCTCCTGGGTTCAAGCAATTCTCCAGCCTCAGCTTCTCCAAGTAGCTGGGATTACAGGCACGCACCACCACACCCAGCCAATTTTTGTATTTGTAATAGAGACGGTGTTTCAGCATTTTGGCCAGGCTGGTCTCGAACTCCTGACCTCAGGTGATCTGCCCGCCTCAAATATGCCTCATGGGAAGAACAGGAATGTGGATAATGTCAAAAAACAATTTCTACTTGGGTTGTGAGTCAATGAATGGGGGAAAGTTTTTCTCCCTAATGGATTTTGCCATATTAACATCAAAATCAATTGTGACTCCGCTGGCTGTCGAGGACATGTGAACGGCACACACATCTGCTGTGGCGAAAGCCCTCCCTGTGACCTCGGGGTGGGACCATGTGCTTTCCCAAATCCTTGAGCTCAGCATTGGAGGACAAGGTGGGATGGAATACGACCGCTACCACACGACATGTCACAAAAGCCGGGCCGGAAGGAAGTTCCTCAGAGTGGCACGTTCCCACTCCGCAGTTGAGACTGATTTCAGAAAATGCACTCTGATTGCTCTGTGATTTTTCTGTCTCCATGCCATGAATGGCTAGAGAGAATGGAGTTAACTGGGAAACTGGGACACAGCAGACTTTTGCTTTTAAAACCTCCTTTTTCTGTTCATTCAGCTGTCAAAACAGACAACCTTACTCACTCACAGAAGTGGACGTTGAGGAGAAATACAACAGAGGAGATAGAAAAGCATAACTGATTTTGAGCTTCATCACGGGATAAACTCAATCTGTAAGTGCAGAGAATAACTCGGAAGAGCTTCTGCACCTCCCCACACGCATCACTGTGCATTCACCAAGGCGACAGTATCCAGGACCTCGGATCCACCAATGAGAAGCCCACAGCAGCAGCCTGGAGGACAGCTGGTGACTGCCGGAGACACAGGTGACACGCCATGTCTGGACAAGGCTGAAGCATGCAGAGAGAAGCGAAGCCCACGTTGTGCTTTGGCTCACAAACATTTAATCTGCTGAAAAGGGAATCGTGTGGGAGAAGTAGAAAGAAATGCTGGTCATGTATTATACCTAGAATTTTTCACTCCCTGGTATCATGAACCCCAGTTCCCCAAAATGGCAGGCTTGGAAACTGAGGTTCTGAGCTGAAGTGACTTGCTTCAGGCCCCGTGTTCTGTGCCCTTTCCAGAGCCTGTGGCCTACAATGACCTGGTGCATCTCACCCACAGGGTGCATGTGCCCAGACACAAACCCGAGATGGGCCGGCCTGGTTCTTAAGCTTCAGGATGGAAACACAGGCCTCCCACCTACCCCTGCCCACCGGGGCGTCCGCCTTGGATAGGAAACGGCCAAACTACCACCCACACGGGCATGGTCATCATGGCAACATCGTACGTATGGAGGGTCCTGGCTCTTTGGTTGATTAAATCCTTGGGCATTTTATTTTCAAACTCCCCTTGTCCTCCACTGAACAGACCTGGACAAATGGGATGGGAGCCTCCTCTGTTTCCATACACCCTTGCATTGGCCCCTGTTTACATGCTTATCAGAATGTATTGCCCATTTTTGTTTCATTCCTCACCTTCTTCCAGCAGCCCTCACCCTCCACCCCCTCCTACCCCGACATACACACAAAAGGGGAAGGAACCTTTTCAATCCACCTTTTAATTTCAGAGCCCAGCTCAGCCTGGGATGGAGCTCTCTGGTTGTCCTGCAGTGAGCAGAGGTGAAAGTCACACTGGCCTCAGACCGTGCTCTGCAGGGACCAATTCTCTGTCCCAAAGCCGGGGCCTCCAAGCGCTGGATTTGACTTCCTCACATCACATTCCTTCTTGAACCTATTCTGTACCCCACTCTTCCGTTAAGGTTGCCAGTGAGAACCTTCTTGGTTCTCATCTTTTGGCCTTTCATTAACATTTCTCTTGGGTTCTGAGGCTCACACTTCCCCCTGTTCCTCCTTGCTCTCCTGCCCAGCTTTTCCTCTCTTTTTCTGAATCCTGGATCCTGTATCCTTATATTGCTCCGGGGCCCCAGGTCTTCTTCATTGCACACTCTCCGAGTGTTTTCCTGATGATCTCATGGGCCTCTACCCTATAAGTACCATATTTGCCTCTCCAGCCTGACCCCTCCCTGAACCCCAGACCCTCCAATTCACTGCTTATTCACAGAAGCCACTTGCAGTCTAACAGGCAGCCCCAACAACACATGCAAAACCAGGCGGTGGCTCACGCCTGTAATCCCAGCACTTTGGGAGGCCGAGGAGGGTGGATCACCTGAGGTCAGGAGTTCAAGACCAGCCTGGCCAACATGGCGAAACCCCGTCTCTCCTAAAAAAATACAAAAAATTAGCCGGGTGTGGTGGTGGGCGCCTGTAATTCCAGCTATTTGGAAGGGTGAGGCAGGAGAATCGCTTGAACCGGGAAGGCGGAGGTTGCAGTGAGCAGAGATAGCGCCATCGCACTCCAGCCTGGGCAACAAGAGTGAGACACCGTCTTCAAAACAACAACAACAACAACAACAACAACTCAGAACTAGCGCCCCACCAAACCCATTACTTGCTCAGGTCTTAGCAAATGGCCATTCTGTCCAAAGACTTGAATCATTCTCCGCCCTTCTCTTTCCCTCACTCCACATCCCAGCCACCAGTATTCCTGCCAGCTCCACCTTCAAACTGTGTTCAGGATCTTACAACTGCTCACCATGTTGTCTTCCTCCGAGTCACTGCCCAGACCCTGGATTCCCTGCACCACCGTCACCCCATCACCCGCCTCTCAGCCCCCTGTAGACACATCAGCCTTCTCCTGGTTCTGGCTCAGGACTTCACACTCCCTGATGGTCACATATCGTTCAGAGAGACTTTTCTTTTCTTTTCTTTTTTTGAGACGGAGTCTGGCTCTGTCGCCCAGGCTGGAGTGCAGTGGTGCGATCTCGGCTCACTGCAACCTCCGCATGCCAGGTTCAAGCGATTTTCCTGCCTCAGCCTCCGGAGTAGCTGGGACTATAGGCTCGCGCCACCACGCCCGGCTAATTTTTTGTATTTTTAGTAAAGACGGGGTTTCGCCGTGTTAGCCAGAATGGTCTCATCTCCTGACCTTGTGATCCGCCCGCCTCGGCCTCCCAGAGTGCTGGGATTACAGGCGTGAGCCACCGCGCCCGGCCCAGAGGCTTTTCTTACCATCCCCTCTAAAACTGTACCAACCCCCACTCCAGCGCCCTCTATCTCTTATCCTGCTTTGTTTTCTTTATAGCATTGATCACTCTTGAGCATGTTTTTTGTTTTGTTTTGTTTTGTTGTTTTTGTTCTGCATGTGCTTGTTGTCTGTTTTCTCAGAATAGAATGCAACCACCATGACGATAGTGGCTTTGTGTTATTCACTGGTATGTTCCCAGTACTCCTAGTTCCTACAGCAGTGCCTGGAACATAAAGGTCTTTAGTAAATATTTTTAAATAAATGAATAAAATATTGGACTGAGGCTTAATAAAATATATCAAAATACCAATTTCCCCACTGATATAGAAATCAGATTTAGCAAAGTATGGCAGTGGACCAAATCCAACCTGCAGCCTGTTTTTGAAATAAAATTTTAACGGAACACAGCCACATCCATTCATTTACATATAGTCTGTGGTTTCTTCCATGCTAGCCACCAAGGTTGAGTAGTTGCAACAGACCGCATGGCCCCCAAAGACTAAAATATTTACTATCTTGCTCTCTACAGAAAAAAATTTGCCAACCCCTTATGTAGATAATACTTCCTACCTCTTCTTATGGTTTAAAAAGTAATAAAATAATGAATGCATTAAACAATCATTCCATTGTTAATCCACTCATACATACTTATTGAAAAAAGAGCCTGTAATCCCAGCACTTTGGGAGGCCGAGGCGGGCGGATCACGAGGTCAGGAGATCGAGACCATCCCGGCTAACACGGTGAAACCCTGTCTCTACTAAAAATACAAAAAATTAGCCGGGCGTGATGTCGGGCGCCTGTAGTCCCAGCTACTTGGGAGGCTGAGGCAGGAGAATGGCGTGAACCCGGGAGGCGGAGCTTGCAGTGAGCCGAGATCCCGCCACTGCACTCCAGCCTGGGCGACAGAGCGAGACTCCGTCTCAAAAAAAAAAAAAAAAAAAAAAAAAAAGAAAAAAGATAAAATTGTACAGAAGTGTGTAGGGTAAAAAGTGACAGCCCTCTTTCTCCAGCCACTAGGAGGTAGCCTGCTAGCATCTGGATTATTTCCAGGCCTTTTTGAAGCATTTCCATGCAAACCTCTGTACCCCTTGAGTGCAAATTTGTTTTGTTTTGACTTTATTTTTTTAATTGACAAATAAAAATTGTATATATTTGTGGTGTACAACATGATGTTTTGATATATGTAGACACTGTGGAATGGCTAAATCAAGCTAATTAACATATGCATTACTTCATATACTTATCGTTCAAATGAGTTTTGTTATCAAGATTTTGCTAGACTTGGAAGGAGAAGGAAAACTTTCCATCTGTTCCTGTGCTCTGACAGTTTGAATAACTGGAATCACATGCTCCTTGAAGGTTCACTAGCATCCCCCATAACACTACCTATATCTGCCGCCTGTTTCAGGGCCGGACCTCTGACTACCTTTTCCATTTCTTCAACAGAACCAGCAAGGATTTGGGTCTTCTGACTCTTTCGTTAATTGTGGTAGTTTACATTTTTATAAAAATATTCATTTCTTACACATTTTCCAATTTATTTCTATAGAGTTGATTACAAGTTTTAAATCTCTTCCCTATTTATAGTTATATTTCTTTTCTAATTCTTCCTTTTTTTTTTCTGGGTCAGGTCTGCCAGTAGTTTCACAGTTGTATTAGCTATTTTTCAAAGAACTCGATTTGGGGCTTAACAAATTTTGTTGTTTGCCCTGTTTGTTTGTTTCATTAATTTCTGCTTTTTTATTTTAAAATTTCTACTTTCTATGCTTTGTCTCCTAATATTTAGAGTTCATTTATTTTCCCTTGTCTTCTTACATTTTTTGGCCACATCCTGCTGGCTTTACTACACTGAGCCCTTGTCCCAGCATAAACTGTTGGCAATCGCAACCATGATTTCCTGGTTTACGCATAAATAACAGAAAGCCTCTCTGTTTTGCTTTGTTTTTATCTCCAAATACATATAACTTTTTCTTTCTTTTTCTTTTTTTTTTTTTGATTGGGGATATTCTTTTCTTTGTTATTTCTAATTTCTGGTTTTATTGCATGGTAGTTAGAAAATTAGCCTAAATGTTTTCCGCTTTTTGAAATTCATTGAGACTTTTTGGTTTATTACTATGTCAATTTTTGTAGATAGTATACGTGTACTTACAAAGAGTGTATATTCTATACTGAGTTCAAATTTCTGTATATTACTACAGAGTCAGCCTTGTGATCTCAAAATCTAAAACTGCTTTTTGTCTATTAAATCAGTTCTTTCCTGAGAAAGTTACTAAATCCTCTCATTTTGACTGTTAACTTATCAATTCATTTTTCTTTATATATTCTGATAGCATGTTGTTCAGGCATAAAGATTCATTGCTCTTCTAGTGTCTTCGTATTCTTATGTGTAAATATAAAATCTGTCCTATTGAATATTTTTGGCTTTAAATTCCATTTTTTTAATTTCACATTTCTCATCTTTCACAGATTTTGTAAATAAGTGACTACCTTTGTCATTTAATTTTCAACATTCCTGAATAATTTTATTTTAGAATACTTTTGTGAATGTTAGTGTGGTTGTATATTTTATTTACTTATTTATTTATGTTTTTAGTGACAGGGTCTCCACTCTGTTGTAGGTATTTATTTTTAGCATGTCTGATGGCCCATTAGTAATATTAATAGTGATAGGAACGTAGCTAAGCAGTATTGAGTCCTCTCAATTCAGGTATTCTACTGAGCACTTTACCCGCGTTATTTTATACAGTGCTCAGACCTAGCCTATAGGTAGTTCTTCTGGTTGTCCCCAGTTAACAGCTGAAGAAACTGAGGATTTGAGTGATTCCATGACCTACCCAAGATCAGAAAGGATTGGGCAGGATTTGAACCCAAGTACTCTATGAGCACTACACATTGGTCATATTAATTATAATTGCTGACTTATTCGGCTTTATCCCTGTCATCTTGTTTTGCACTGTATTCTAAGAGAATTCCTCTATTCAGTCTTTCAGCTCTCTGATAAGATCTTCGGTTAGGCCCATTCTTTGTGAAACAGTCATTCGATTTTTTATTTTAGAATGTGTTTTTAATTTTCTAGAACTGATTGCTTTTCTGACATAGCAACGAGTTGACCTGTGACTAGACAGACTGACATTTAGATTCTCCGAGTTGCTTGACTTCTTAGTAGGTATCCTCCTTGTCCCCACTCCATGCATCTGTTACCTGAGAGTACTGATTCTATTCTCCAGCCCCAACATCCTCTCTTTCTCTCTCTCTCTCTTTTTTTTTTTTGAGACAGTATCGCTCTGTCACCCAGACTGCAGTGCAGTGGTGCGATCTCAGCTCACTGCAACCTCCGCCTTCTCCTGCCTAAGCCTCCCGAGTAGCTGGGATTACAGGTGTGTGCCACCATACCCAGCTAATTGTGTGTGTGTGTGTGTGTGTGTGTGTGTGTGTGTGTGTGTATTTTTAGTAGAGATGGGGTTTCACCACATTGGACAGGCTTGTCTCAAACTCCTGATCTCTGGTGATCTGTCCACCTTGGCCTTCCAAAGTGCTGGGATTACAGGCGTGAGCCACCGCGCCCAGCCCTCTCTTTCTCTTTAGCACTACCTAAACCTTTAGTACAATTTCTTGTTTTATTTTGGAGCAATGCTAGCAGGTTTATTCTGCACCCAAATTCTAGAACTGCCACCAATCTGATTCCATCTACTTTATATCTTCAAGAATGTTTTGTCTCTTCTGATCTCTTAAAAACATCCCTTCCAAATATTTTTCCCATTCTGTAGGTTGTCGTTTTACTCTGCTGATTATTTCTTTTGCTGTGCAGAAGCCTTTTAGTTTAAGTCCTGTTTTTCTTTGTTCATTTTTGTTGCATTTGCTTTTGAGGTCTTAATCATAAATTCTTTGTGTAGGCCAATGTCCAGAAGAGTTTTTCTTAGGTTTTCTTCTAGGATTTTTATAGTTTCAGGTCTTACATTTAAGTTTTTAATCCTATCTTGAGTTAATTTTTGTATATTGGTCCAGTTTCATTCTTCTGCATATGACTGGCCAATTTTCTCAACACTATTTATTGAATAGGGTGTCCTTTCCCCACTGTATATTTTTGTTTATGTTGTTAAAGATCTGTTGGTTGTAGGTATGTGGCTTTATTTCTAGGTTCCCTATTCCATTCCATTGATCTATGTGTCTATTTTTTACTAGTACCATGCTGTTTTGGTTACTATAGACTTGTAGAGTAGTTTAAAGTCAGGTAATGTGATGCCTCCAGCTTTGTTCTTTTTGCTTAAGATTGCTTTGGCTATTCAGACTCTTTCCTGGTTCCATATCAATTTTAGGATTTTTTTTTAATTTTGTGAAAAATGACATTGGTAATTGATATTATTTGGATCTGTGTCCCCACCAAATCTCATGTGAAATTGTAATCCCCAGTGTTGGAGGTGGGGCCTCGTGGGAGGTGGTTGGATCATGAGGGCAGTTTCTCATGAATGGTTTAGTACCATGCCCTTTTGGTACTGTATAGTGAGTGAGTGCTCATGAGATCTGGTTGTTTAAAAGGGTGTAGCACCTTGCCGGTCTCTCTCTTGTTCCTGCTCCCACCATGTGAGACTCCTCACTCTCCCTTTGCCTTCCACTATGATTGTAAGTGTCCTGAGGCCTCCCCAGAAACTGAGAAGATGCCAGAGTCATGCCTCCTGTACAGCCAGCAGAACTGTGAGCCAATTAAACCTTTTTTGTTTAAAAATTACCCAGTTTCATGTATCTGTAGCAATTTGAGAACAGACTAACACAGTAGTTTGGTAGGAATTGCATTGAATCCATAGATTGCTTTGGGCAGTATGATCATTTTAACAGTATTGATTCTTCCAATCCAGGAGCATGGGATATTTTTCCATTTGTTTGTGTCATCTACAATTTCTTTCATCAGTGTTTTGTAGTTCTCCTTGTAGAGATCTTTCACTTCCTTGGTTAAATATTTTCCTAGGTATTTTTTTCATAGCTATTGTAAATGGGATTGAGTTCTTGGTTTGGTTCTCAGCTTGGTTGTTATAGGTGTATAGAAATGCTACTGATTTTTGTACCATTGATTTTGTATCCTGAAACTTTACTGAAGTAATTTATGAAGTCTAGGGAGAAAATATTTGCAGACTCTGCATCCAACAAAGGACTAATATTCAGAATGTACAAGGAACTCAAACAACTGTACAAGAAAAAAATAACCCCATTAAAAAGTGGGCAAAGGACATGAATAAACATTTTTCAAAAGGATATATACAAGTGACCAACGAACATATGAAAAAATGTTCAACATTACTAATCATCAGAGAAATGCAAACTAAAACCACAAAGAGATAAAATCTTGGCCGGGCGCGGTGGCTCACACCTGTAATCCCAGGACTTTGGGAGGCTGAGGCAGGCAGATCACAAGAAGATCGAGACCATCCTGGCTAACACGGTGAAACCCCGTCTCTACTAAAAATACAAAAAGAAAAGAGAAATTAGCCGGGCGTGGTGGTGGGCGCCTGTAGTCCCAGCTACTCGGGAGGCTGAGGTGGGAGAATGGAGTGAACCCGGGAGGCAGAACTTGCAGTGAGCTGAGATCACACCACTGCACTCCAGCACGGGCAACAGAGCAAGACTCCATCTCAAAAAAACAAACAAAAATCTTACACCAGTCAGAATGGCTATGAAAAGTCAAAAAAACAACAGATGTTGGCAAGGATGTGGAGAAAAGGAAACACTTATAGACTGTTGGTAGAAATATAAATTAGTACAATTTCTATGGAAAACGGTATGGAGATTTCTCAAAGAAATAAAAGTAGTACTACCATTTGATATAGGAATCTCACTCGTGGATATCTGCCCAAAGGAAAAGAAATCATTATATGAAAAAGATACCTGCACTTGTATGTTCATTGCAGCATTATTCACAATAGCAAAGTCATGGAATAAACGTAAGTGTCCATCAATGGATGACTGAATAAAGAAAATGTGGTGTATATATGTACATCATGGACTACTGCTCAGCCATTAAAAAAAATGAAACCATGTCTTTTGTAGCAACATGGATGGAACTGGAGGCCATTATCTTCAGTGAAATAACTCAGAAACAGAAAGTCAAATAGTGTATGTTCTCACTTATAAGTGGAGCTAAACAATGTGTACACATGGACATTGAGAATAAAACAATAGACATTGGAGACTCCAAAAGGTGGGAGGGTGAGAAGGGGCTCAGGGATGAGAAATTACCTAATGAGTGTCATGTACACTATTTGTGTGACAGTTGCAATAAAAGTCCCCGACTTCACCACTATGCAATATATCCATGTAACACAACTTCACTTGTACCCCCTAAATCTATTTTTAAAACACAAAAAGCACCTTTTCTAAATTTCCAATGCTGCTACAGAATTACTCTCCATTTTATATCCCTTTGGTCCCTGAAATAGGATTTAAACAGGGAGGAAGGGTAAATTCTCATGTTTAGTCAGTCATCTTCGACTGGAAATCTTTTCATTTTTTCTTACTCACTAATTATGGCTGTCATCAACTAAGATATCAAAAGGGAGTTGCTCTGTTTTCCTTTCTTTCCTCTGGACTATATCAGCTGAATGTCATCTTAGCAAATGGAAACCAAAACCCACATTCTTCTCATATGGTGGACAGGGACAGTGTCACTCCTCACAGCAATAGTGTCCCTAAAATTGCTAAGATAGACTAGACAGCAGAGTGGCACTCTCACACGTGTGGCCTATAAACTGACCACCCCAAGGGTTACATCACCAATGATGCTGAAAGGTAGGTTTCAAGTGCCCAAACTGTTCTCTTCACATTTTTTTTCTTTTTTTCTTTTTTTTTTTTTTTTTTTGAGACGGAGACTTACTCTGTTGCCCAGGCTGGAGTGCAGTGGCGCGATCTCAGCTCACTGCAAGCTCCACCTCCGGGGTTCAAGCAATTCTCCTACATCAGCCTCCCGAGTAGCTGGGATTACAGGCGCCCACCACCATGCCTGGCTAATTTTTGCATTTTTAGTAGAGACGGGGTTTCACCATGTTGGCCAGGCTAGTCTCAAACTCCTGACCTCAGATGTTCTGCCTGCCTTGGCCTCCCAAAGTGCTGGGATTACGGGCGTGAGCCACTGCACATTTTCTTTTTAAATTTTAACTATTTCTAATTTTTAGATAAGCAGTGTATTCACTTGGTCCCAAAATCAATGGGTTCAAAGTATCAATGGTGAAAATTCTCCCTTCCACCTTCTCTCCTATCCAGTCCCCTTCCCATGAACAGTCATGATTAACAGATTTTTGTACATACTTCATTCTAGAGATATTTTTTTCATGCAAAAGCTATACATATTTTCCTCATTTAAGAAAACCACAAATAGTAGTATAATGTAGACATACTCTACAACTCACTGTTTTCACTGAGCAATATGCAGTGGAGATGAATCCATGTCTGTTCATAAAGAGCTTCTTTATTCATTTTTAGAGCTACAGAATATTTCTTTGTGTGGCTGTACTGTTATTTATTTAAGCAATCCCCTGTTGACTACTGTTTAGCTTATCTCGTCTTTGCTGTTACAGTGTCACCATGAAGAGACTTGTGCACACATCATGTCACATATCTATAAATATAAATGAATTCCTAAAAGAGAATTGCTGGTTCAAAGGGTATTTGCATGCAAAATTTTCCTAGATGTTGTCAAATTGTGCCCTGTAAGGGTTACAAACAATTTAGACTCCCACAAGTAATTTGTGATTGTCCTTGTTTCCCTGTATCCTCAGTAATACAATGTGTTATCAAATTTTGAAGTATTTGTTGGTCTAGTGGGTGAAAAATTATATCCCATTGTAGTTTGTGTGAAATTACTTATTATGAGTGAGACTGAACATCATTTCATCTTTGAAGATCCATATGCATTTTCTTTTCTCTCTGTTCATATCCTTTTGAGAAAAAGAAAATCACTTTTATCTGAGAAATGCAAGTCTTTTTAATTATCAGGTCCAGAGAGACATTAAAATGAGACAAGGCCAGGTGCAGTGGCTCACATCTGTAATACTAGCAGTTTGGGAGGCCCAGGCAGGTGGATCGCTTGAGCCCAGGAGTTTGAGACCAGCCTGGGAAACATGGCAAAACCCCATCTCTGCAAAAAATACCAAAAAAAATTTGCTGGGTGTGGTGGCACATACCCTTGAAATTAAATTGCCATTGTAACATTATTAAGAGATGGGACCTTTAAGAGGTAATTAAGCCATGGGGGCTCTGCCCTCATGGGTGGGATTGATGTTATTATAAAAGAGTGAGTTCAGCCCCTTGCCCTCTCTCTTGCCCTCTGCCTTCCACCATGGGATGATGCAGCAAGAAGGTCCTTGTCAGACACTGACCTCTCAGGAATTCCCAGCCTCCAGAACTGTGGGTTAATACATTTCTATTTATTGCAAATTACCCATCTCAGGTTATGGCAGCACAAATGGACTAAAACATACAGCAATGAAATTATTCTTTATATGTGATTTGAGTTGCAAATGCTCGCCAGTTTACTGTTTGTCTTGTGACTTTGCCTGGGGAGGGTTTTTACATGTGGATTTTTTCTTTTTGATTTTAGAATAATTGAATCTATCAAACTCTTCTGTGATGGCTCCCCAGTTTTATGTTGTACCTAGAAATGCCCTCCCCAGCATTTGATTCAAAACAAGTATGATTGTTTATTCTAATATTTTATGGTATCTTTTTTTTACATTTAATTTTTTAATCAACTAGAATTTATCCTGGAGTCAGGTGTGAGATCCGAATTTAACTTTATATTTCCTTAGAGTTTTTCTTTCCACATTAACTTTAGAATCAGATTGTTTCGCTCTCCCTCAAAAAAGAAAATCCTGTTGGGATATTTATTGGAATTGCATCAACTTTATTATTAACACACTCTCCACTATGGTTACTGTTTTGGTGGTGAATCTTCCTTTCCAAGATTACAGATTTCCACCTCTTTGACTTTTCTTTGTATCCCTCAGGAGTGTTTTGAATTTTTTTTTTTTTTTTTTTTTTTTTGAGACAGAGTCTCGCTCTGTCGCCCAGGCTGGAGTGCAGTGGCACAATCTCAGCTCGCTGCAAGCTCCGCCTCCCGGGTTCACGCCATTCTCCTGCCTCAGCCTCCTGAGCAGCTGGGACTACAGGCGCCAGCCACCATGCCCGGCTAATTTTTTGTATTTTTAGTAGAGATGGGATTTCACTGTGTTAGCCAGATGGTCTCGATCTCCTGACCTCGTGATCCGCCTGCCTCGGCCTCCCAAAGTGCTGGGATTACATGAATTTTTCTTTATATGAACGATGCACCTAAGAATAATCTATTCCACTGAGATAACGTTGCAATTTTAAAATGAAGGAAAGAAAGAAACCCTAGCATCTCAGTAGGCCAGCCTAACAACGCTTCCTTCTTGTTCATGCAAAGGCAAGTTGGCAGGTGATCCCCTCCATCCTGTGATTCAGGTATCCAGGTTCTTTTCACCTTGAGATGTTGCTCTGAAACAAGGGGCCTCCAAAGCTCCTGCAGCAGGGGAAGAGAGCCTGGAGTAGCACCCAAGCTATTAATTCCCTGGGCCTGGAGGTCACACACTTCTTTTTTCATTTTATTGGCTACACTCATCACAAGACTACCTAACTGCAAAGATACTGTTAGTCCTTTGCAAAGGTAATCCCGTCATGTACCCAGGAAAGAAAGGAGGACAAGATATATGTAACACTGGCAGTCTCTTTCACACCAGCAAAACTATTAACCACAAGGGTAAACTAAAGAAACATTTTGGTCATACAAAGTCTCAAAACATTTCATTCCAAGGCAGCTTCTCTCAGGAAACTAGTAGAGTGGAGCCTCCACCAAAATAAGAGAGCAAATCAAAGAAGAGGAATATATGGGATAAGGAGACAAAGAACCCAACCCAAGATTGAGTCAAAGTGAATCCCCAGGATGGTGGTGAAGAACATCCCAGGAGGCAGCAAGACTCCAACTAAAAGCGTGTGCTGTTTTTGCCTCTGCAAAGGAGAAAGGAACCAACAGAAAGGAAGCTAACCAAGAGCCAAGGAGCAGCACCCAGACCAAATTAGGCAGATGAGCAGCCTGTATCCAGCTCTGTCTGAAGCTGGGTCTGTTCCTAGGGAGTTTAGTTACATGAGTCAGTGACTTACCTTTGTGCTTTGGCCAGTTGAGGGCTGGTTTTTACTTAATAACAAAACAATTCCAGTCTGAGACCAGGAGACCACAGAAATGGAAGAAATAAAGCTAGTTCTCAGGGAATTTTATTCTTTTTTGTGTGTTCTTTTAAAAAACATGTTTAGGACGGGCACTGTGGCTCATGTCTGTAATCCCAGCACTTTGGGAGGCCAAGGCAGGCAGATCACGAGGTCAGGAGATAGAGACCATCCTGGCTAACACGGTGAAACCCCGTGTCTACTGAAAATACAAAAAAAAATTAGCTGGGCGTGGTGGTGGGCGCCTGTAGTCCCAGCTACTCAGGAGGCTGAGGCAGGAGAATGGCGTGAACCCAGGAGGCGGAGCTTGCAGTGAGCGGAGATTGCGCCACTGCACTCCAGCCTGGGCAACAGAGCAAGACTCCGTCTCAAAAAAAAAAAGTGTTTATATTTGACATATAATAATTGTACACATTTATGGGGTACAGTGTGATGTTTCACTACATGTATACATTGTATAATGACCAAATCTGGGTAGTTAGCATATCATTCACCACAAAATTTACATTTATTTCTGGTGATAACTTTCAGGATCCTCTTTATTAGCTCACTTGAAATATACTCTACATTGTTATTAGCTGTAGTCATCGTACTATGGACGGGAACACCAGCATTTATTCTTCCTGTCTAACTGTAACTTTGTGCCCATTGACCAACCTCTTCCCATCCCTGTTTCCCCTCCCCAGGCTCTGGTAATCACTGTTTTGCTCTCTACTTCTATGTGATCAACCTTTTTGACGCTACATGAGAGAGATCATGTGGTATCTGCCTTTCTGTGCCTGGTTTATTTCACTTAGCCTTATGTCCTCCAGGCTCATCCATGTTGCTGTGAATGACAGGATTTCATTCTTTTCCCACGAGTTTTTAATCTTGTTAAGGACATTTTAACTGTCATTAACTACAGTGTATATTGTCTCTGCTTCTAGACTGTCATCTCCTCAAGGACTATGTGTTTTAGCTAAATTCCTTGCATGCAGTGGGCCTTAGAAGCTGGGCAATTTCAGAAATGAAAATCACACTGTGAAAGTTATTCACAGTTTAGTATTAAGTGAAAGAAGTTAAGTGGGAAGCTAATTTGCTCATTTTAAAAAATGGGGCTACTTGGGAAAATATTTTAAATGGCATTTTAAGTGTTGGGATTTCAGGTGAAATTTCTTATCTTATTTTTGTTTTTTGGTTTTCTTCATTTTCTGCCATGAATATTATTTGTTTTGTAATGAAAAGGTATATATAAAAAATTGATTGTGAGTTCAAACAATGCTATCTGTCAGCATTAAGCATGAAAGTACACTAAAGAAACATTTTGGTCTTGGTTTGGCTGCTATTTTACAAAAGCATTCACTAATTTTTTTTTTTTTTTGAATGAGAAAACATTTATTCCATCTCCAAACAGCATCCCAGGGCCGGGCATCTCCCCTACGACTTTATAATACACTCGGCACAGACAGAGTTTGGGAGCCATGGGACACCTCTGCCCTCCCCAGGCTTCCTAAGTAACAACTGCAGAATATTTACATAAAGCTGGGTGTTGTCAGGCAAAGCCATTCCCTGCTGCCAGGGGTGGGAGCAAGAAGGAAGTGCCATGAGCACCAGCCCCGCCTTCACACCGTGGGAGGCAGCCCAGAGGCCACCGGCACAGGGTGGTGGCCCCCAGATCATACAGCAGTGGACACAGGGGAAGCAAACCTGAGTGAGGACACAAGAGCCTGGTCCGGCTCCGCTGCACAGGGTAGGTGTGACGGCCCCCACGAGTCTTTGGCAGAGAACGCAGGTAACAGCGGCTCCCACGGCCGGACCCGGGCCGGGGGGAAGCTGAGGCACTTGTCAGTAGCACATGGGTGCCTGCTGGCTTCTAGCCACTCCAGGCGGGGATGGGGTCATTAAAAGCAAGGAAAAACACTAGCTAAAAACCCTTTCCTAAAAGTGCCCTGGAGGAGTGAGCGGCTGACTGAAGCCCTCTGGGCACAGGCACGTGGGGTGTGGCTCGGCCAGCCCCCGCCGGGCTGTAAGGCTCCTTAGCTGTGTGTCAGCTGCACAGGATGGAACAGGTGAAAGAGGGGGTTTGGCAGTTCCAGGAGGCTCATGGGAAAGTCCAGGGCAGAGGGGAGGGCCCTCTCTGTCCCCCTTCCCACCCTAACCGCCACTCAGTACACAGGGGGCGGCTGGTAGCCCTCGGTGGTCTCCGCATTCTGGGTGAAGGGTGGCTGTTGGTAGTTGTCCACAGATGCACCTGGGTAGGAGGCGTAGGCAGTGTTGGGGTCCGGACTGGGGTCGACGTAGTTCTGGATGAAGTCGTCCACGCCAGCCTTGTAGCGCTGGTAGGTCAGGGAGGCCAGCACACCCCAGGAGAAGATGGAAAAGAAGCTGAAGGTGATGGCTGCCCTCGCAGAGTCGGCCCCCACCAGCACGTCCTCCGGGTCGGTGACCGCCCACTGGTTGGTGAGGAAGCAGAAACCAACAAACCACAGGAAGGTCCAGAGAGCTGAAAAGAGCAGGTCACCAATGACGAGGTACTTGCGGTCAGTGGCGTTGCTGATCTGGGGGAAATACGCGTCGACCACCAAGAAGGCCGAGGCCAGGAAGGCCAGCACCCCGATGGCACTGCCATAGCGGCAGGCATCCTCGTTGTGGTTGAACACGCAGTACATCTGCTTAGACTTATGGGTGTTGCTGTAGCCCTCGCCATAGATGCAGGAGAACACGATCAAGGCGAAGACTGTGGAGGGCGGGAAGGCGGGGCCCGGGACGCTAAATGCCCGCCCCGCTCGCCGCCAGGGCCCGGACGCGGCCGCCTCCACCTGTCACGCTCGTGGGTTAGGGGTCCCGCCGGGCCTGGCGGCGGGGGGGGTCCTCGGGGTGCCCCCGGCCCGCCCTCCCCGGGCTCACCAAGCACAGGGCGCGCGCCACCACCTGCGGCTGCGTCAGGAAGGGCCGCAGGTCGAAGGAGCCGCCCGCCTCGGCCACGCCGTAGGCCCCGCTCTCCATGTCGCCGTCGCCGCCCAGCATTCACTATTTAAATACTGTAACATTTTCCCATCTTTTCTTTTTAAGAAAATTAAAATTGAGTGTGAGAATTTCTCTCACATTCAATAAATCATATCACTGTGGTATAAATATATCGCTATAATATATGAAGGTTTTCTTTAAAGATTTGTTAATTCAGTAAGCAAAACAGGACAGACACATTATGAATTTTAAAAAATAACTTAGGCCTAAATATTAATATTTATTCTTCAGACCCTTTATTGTTGAGATATGACATCTACTAGATATGATATCTACTAGATCAAACCTAGATTCTTAGGTTTACACAGGCCAAACAAATCAGTGTCCCTTCTGTAAAATAATACTTGAAGCAAGAAAAATATATAGAGATTCACATTGAATCTGGTTTATGCTTAAACTAGACTTAGTCCTGTAAATCTGAAAATGTGCTTATAATTACAAGTATTCTTAAAATGTGTGTAAGTGCCTTTTTATGTTTGAATTTGATCTAAAAGTGCCTACATTGCCCGTAACACTCTCAAGCTTTCATAGGAGCAATAGTTCCTTAAAAAATTTTTTTTCTCCACATTCCATAAATCTCACTAAAGACAATTGTTTTCCAATAACACGTACCATGTGAAAGGTATTTATTTTCCAGACCGCATTTACTGGAAGAAATGCACAAACCACAATTGTTCAGAATAGGAAAAATATAAAATAGTGCTTAGAATCTTACGGTAGTACCCAAAACTACCCAAATTGCTGTAATTATTGTGAAAAAAGTAATCACAGTATTTGTTCAATATTTAAAAACACAATTTATTGAGAATCCATATTGAACATGTCTGAGTTCTGGGAACATTTTAAAATTTAATATTGTCATATGAGCTACTAATACTTTGTTTACATTTTCTCTGTGAACTCACCCTTCTAACAGCTTACAGTTAAAGTGTTTGTAATAGACCACTGACCTGGCTTTGCTGGCTTCGGGCTACAGAAAACTACAGTCCTCACTTAACACAAGGGTAGAAATATAGCACCACTAGATGGTACTATGAGGTAATTATTAAATTCCACATTATTTCAACTGAGCATCGACAGTGATTTTTTTCTGCAAGGAATAAATCACTCTTACTAGTCTTACCATTCCCATTAGCACCATCTACTCCTAACTTTAATTTCCTAAATCACCCCAGTGGGAAGAACTGCCAGCCTTTGATTCATAACAAAATCTTTTACATAAAGTTTTTGAGGTTAAATAAAATGTGGCTTCTGGGAAGTGATATTAATTCCCCGTTTTCTTTCACAATTACCTTGAAGCTCAACAATATGTAAAGGAATGTAAACAAGAGTTTTCATAGCCAACTGAGCGATTAAAAGACAAAATAGCATTAACAAAAACCAGTTTTGCCATTCTTCATGGTATATATAGTTGACAGCTAAAGCTTTTGTTTATTTTCATTGTTAAGTCTTACATGAAAGAATGTTTTGGTAGATAGGGTGAATTTTGTCTTTATCGATATGGTTCAAACAGCCAGCCTGTGGTTAATACTCTGTTTAATCAAAGCATTGCAGTTCCCAGCAGCTTCTCCGATGGGCATTAGCCCTGGGCTCAGTCACCCAGGAAAACACAATGGTTTCACTTCAGAGAGTATTTGAAGCCAACTGCACCCTGTGCTGCTAAATGTTGCCATTTTCCACTGAAAAGAATTCCACACTAATCATGTGTGAAGGTCATTTTGATTCTGGTTTGTAATACGTAGATACTGTTCCTATCTGCTTTTGTGGTCAATTGGTAAGAATGGTAATTCTCCAAGGCCTAAGTCAGCTCAGCTCACAGTAGCTGCATTAGAAAAACTGTTTCCCCTTCAACCAACCCAGCGTCTGAAAGATTCACATCAGGTCAGAGAGCAAAAATAATATAGACAAAAATCTGTTCAATAGGAAATACGTTGACTTGGAAAATCCCCAAATTAAATAACTGAAAAGTTATGTTTAAGTTTATAAATCTTTTAGTATTTTCATTATGAAAGAACATGTTCCAGTAATGATTAATCATTTAGTTCAGTACTCTGAGAATTAAAGAATGCAGCCAATTTATAATAAGGAAATATTTCATTGTCTAAATAAAAATTTGAAAATTGAATGTTTATTGAACATCATAGTGCAAAGTGTTGTGGGGAATGCAAAAATGTAAAAGGTAATTCTTACCCTCAAGAACACATGTGCAGACATCCTCATTAAAGAAGACAAGCATGAATTGTTCAAAACAGTACAAGGCCCCATATACCTAGATAGCAGACTGTCAGTCAGCAATGTTTAGGGTGTTGGATAAAAGAAGGCTCTTTGTGAGCGAGCATGAAGAGAGACTTCCTGGAAGCAATGTGACTTGAGCAGCTCACAGATCGCTGGTTCTTGCCCTGGCTGTGTATTGGAATTGCATCTGGAACATCAAAATACACTGATGCCGAGCCCTGCCACAAGGGATTCTGATTTAGTTTATCTGGGTGCTCCCAGGTGAATCTAATAAATCATTGCCTTAGTGTTGGTCACATTTCTGGCTGATGGTTCAAGAATAGAGCCTGAGCCAGAATGTAAATCAACCACATCGCTTCGCCCAGTGTTTAGTTCTGCTGGCGATGGTCTCGTGACATGTTGTGAGCCATGAAAGAAGCAGTTGGATGACTTCCCTTCTGGTGCAGGGTTCTCTTCTTGGAGCCACATGTTGGGGCTGGCATGACTTTCCGTTTAGTCCACCTTTCCCCCTTTTCAATGCACTTTATGTTTGTAAGTAAAAAATCCATCTTGGCTGGGCGCGGTGGCTCACGCATGAAATCTCAGCACTTTGGGAGGCCGAGGCAGGCGGATCATGAGGTCAGGAAATCGAGACCATCCTGGCTAACACGGTGAAAACCACGTCACTACTAAAAATACAAAAAACTAGCTGGGCGCGGTGGCGGGCGCCTATAGTCCCAGCTACTCAGGAGGCTGAGGCAGGAGAATGGCATGAACCCAGAAGGCGGAGCTTGTAGTGAGCCGAGATTGTGCCACTGCATTCCAGCCTGGGCGACAGAGCAAGACTCCATCTCAAAAAAAAAAAAAAAAAAAAAAATCTTCCAATCTTCAGGTTGAATAATGCTGTAATCCCAGTAACTTGGGTGGCTGAGGTGGGAGGGTCGCTTGAGCCCAAGAGTTCAAGACCAGCTTGAGCAACATAGCAAGACCCCATCTCTAAAAATAAATGTAAAAAAATAAATTCCATCTTCAGTTTTGTTCTTTCTGTATTCTGCAGCCTTGTCTGCCTGTGCATGCCCTTTAGCATAGGACATGGTGCAGAATATGTGCACCATAAAATTTTTTTTGACTCTTTATTGTGGAAATTTTCAAACATGTACAAAGTAAACAGAATAGCGTAATAAACCCCTATGCGGCAAATACCCAGCTTCGACATTCAGCATTCTGCCATTCCAGGGTCTTCTGTAGCTCACCCCACTCCCCTGCCCTTACTCAACCATTAATATTTTTACAGTTTTATTGAAGGTAAAATTGACATATATCAAAATGCCATAATGACAAAGTAACAAAAATTAAGTGTATATATATATATATATATATATATATATATATATATATACTGGGCTCACTGCAAGCTCAGCCTCCCGGGTTCACGCCATTTTCCTGCCTCAGCCTCCCGAGTAGCTGGGACTACAGGCACGCGCCACCTCACCCAGCTAATTTTTTTTGTATTTTTAGTAGAGACGGGGTTTCACCATGTTAGCCAGGATGGTCTCCATCTCCTGACCTCGTGATTCACCCACCTTGGCCTCCCAAAGTGCTGGGATTACAGGCATGAGCCACCGTGCCCAGCCGATTTTTTATTAATTTATTTATTTTTGAGATGGAGTCTCCCTGCGACACCCAGGCTAGAGTGCAGTGGCACCATCTCAGCTCACTGCAAACTCCACTTCCCAGGTTCAAGCGACTCTCCTGCCTCAGCCTCCCAAGTGGCTAGGATTACAGTCATGCACCACCAAGCCCGGCTAATTTTTGTATTTTTAGTAGAGATGGAGTTTCACCATATTGGCCAGGCTGGTCTCAAACTCCTGACCTCAAGTAATCCACCCACCTTGGCCTCCCAAAGTGCTGGGATTATAGGTGTGAGCCACCGCACCCGGCCTTATTTTAACAAACACACACCTCTGTAACTCACACCCCTATCACGATATAGAGCATTTCCATCACTCCAGAAAGCTCCCTCATGTCCCTTTCCAGGTAACTAACCAGGGCAACAAGTATGACCTTTATTTTATCCACTTTAGATGAATTTTGCCTATTCTAAAAAGTCATCTAAGTGGAGCATACAGTCTTTACTCTTCTGTGTCCAGATTCTTTTGTTCCACATAATTTCTACAAGGCTCATCCATTTATTAATAATAAATATTTTTGGCTGGGCACAGTGGCCTGTAATCCTAGCAGGCCACTTGGGAGGCTGAGGTGGGTGGATCACTTGAGGCCAGGAGTTTGAGACCAGCCTGGCCAACATGGTGAAACCCCATCTCTACTAAAAATAAAAAATTAGCCAGGCATGGTGGCAAACGGCTATAATTCCAGCTACTTGGGAGGCTGAGGCACAAGAATTGCTTGAACCTGGGAGGTAGAGGTTGCAGTGAGCTGACACCACACCACTGCACTCCACCCTGGGTGATGGAGTCAGACCCTGTCTCAAAAAAAAAAAAAAGAAGAATGAGAATGAGAAGGAAAGGAGAGGAAGAGGAAGAAGAGAAAGAAGAAGGAGAAGGAGAAGGAGGAGGAGAAGGAGGAGAAGAAGAAAGAGAAGAAGAAGGAGAAGAATTTTTTGACTTCCAGACTAGAAAGTGACAGTGAGAGCAGAGGGCTCACAGTAGAGAACACATTGGGCGAGCAGGTTGGCCTCAGTCTGTGGAAGTCCTTGGAAGTCAGGAAAAGCGACCTTTACTCTATTTTCCTGGTGCCAAGTTAACAGCCTTTTTCATAATTGCTGAGCAGGGCCTGGGAACTGATTCTCTGCCACCATGTCCTACTCCCCACTGCTTTCATGAGTCACCACTGTGCCACTGAGTAGCGGTGCCTATTGCCAACTCTACTTGGAGCTGGTGCATGCACATCCCCTTCTGAAGAGCTGGCATAACTCCAAGTCCCATCCCACACCCCCTGGAAGGATGGGAAGACCAAGCTCAGAACTTGGCACATGCCTCTGAAAGATCGTTCATGCCTCCTTGAGGTGGTGGAGCTGGAAAGGCAAAGGTCAGGAAGATCAGTCAGGAAGCCATGGGCCAGGGCTGGGTGCCAGGAGCAGTCAGGGCCCTGATTTGGTAACTTTGGACCTGGCCCTGTATTGCTAGGGAATGGAATCAAATTATCTTACAGGGCTGCCAAGGCTGTTTTGATTTGTGCGGGTGCAATGCAAGGTCAGGAATGCCACAATCCAACTATCAAATGCAAGAGCGATAAAAAATTTGCTGACCAGATCAGCTTAGACATGCAGCATTTAGGTTCTGGAATAGAAATCCAGGTCAGGGACACAGAAGACTACAGTCTGGACCCAAGCCAAGTTTGGGAGCACAGGAAGTCCAAGGTGAAAGAGTGAGTGGAGTGTTATTTCCCAGCAAAAAGCTAGAGCAGGATTAGACTGGAGAAGCAGTTGTCCAGCAGGAGAAAGGGTGCCTGGAGGCATGTACCAAACAATAGCTTCCTCCCTAAGTGGACCATTACCTTCTCTCAAATTCCAGAAAAGCATAAATTTTGAGGACTTGGAAGGGTGGGAAAACTTCTAGGTGCCTTATGGTAACTGATAGGATCAAAGAGTTGGAAACTGGGTGTATTAATTATCTGTTGCGGCATAACAAATCACACCAAAACTTAGTGGCTTGAAAAGCACGTTTATTATTTCATAGTTTCTGTGGGTCAGGTATCCAGCCACAGTTGAGTTGGATTATCCAACTCAAGACTTCTCACGAGGCCACTGTTGGTAAAGAATCAAGAACCTCATCCTAACATCTTGCAAAGAACTGAATCCTGCCAACAACCATGTGAGTGAGGTTGGAAGTAAATCCTTTTCTTGTTGAACCTTCAGATGAAACCACAGCCCTGTCTGACAGCCCTGTAGCAGACTCATTTGTTTTGCAGACATGTGCAATGAAGCTAAGAATACATGTCCTGAACATGGTCAAAACAGGATGCTTCCTAATCCATGTCCGTGGCTTGCCTTCTTTCTAGAGCTCTCCCATGGCTCAAATGGCTGTGGATTCTGGTTCTGATGCCATGCCATTAGCTCATACACCATGATTACAACTGAATTCATCATCTGGGTCCTAAATTATTTCCATCCTCCTGTCCTATTTTGGTCAAGAGTATTTCCACTTCTCCAGTCCCCTAGTATGGTAGGCAGCTTCCAGCATGGCTCCCAGCGACCCCTGTCTCCTTGTCTTCATGCCCATGTGTAGTTCCTTCTCCTTGTGTATATGGGCTGGACTCGTGACTTGGTTTTAATGAATAAACACAGCAAGGGTGATGGATGCCACTTTGGAAATCAGATTATAAAAGACAGTGACTTCCATCTTGTTCAGATTCTTTTCACGTGCTTGCTCTGACAAAGCAAACTGGAGAGATTCACGTGGCAAGAAACTGAGTCCTGGAACCAATACCCCCCAGATGCCAAGGGATGACTGTTTTGTTATTGTCATTATTGTTGCTTTAAACAATTGTTCATCGGAAGAGATCAAAGCTTCGGAGACCATTTTGGCTCTTTCCACTCCTGTTTCCAGTAGAGCTAATCCCTATATCGTCTTCTTTGTGACTGTGAGATTCTCATCTTCATCTCACTCTCCACACCCCTCCTGGGTTCAGGCCTTGCTGTCCTCAGGCCAGGGGCACATCCAGCCCTCATGCTTGTCTCCATGTGCCCCTTTGTTTACCAGATCTCCCTTCTAAAACACTTCTTGTCACCTCTGTATAAGGCACAGTTCAGGGTCACTCTTTGTGTAAGGCACAGAGCTCTCAACCCACCCTTGGGGGCTCCTACCGCCACCCCTTTGTCTTTCCTGACCAAGCCTCACCCAGCCAACCCCATGGTCCCTCTTCCATGCCCACTGCTCTGCTGATCTCTGCCTCTGTGTCCTTCTCCTCTCGTGTGCGTGGAAGCGGTGCCCAATTCCCCTGTCTCTGAGACCTCCCATCCACCAGGATCGTTGACTATTGACTTTCCGCAGCACTTTTGTACTTGATATTTCCACCCTCTCTTTCTGTCTTAAATATTGACTTGAAATCATTATCTAGTCATTTTTAAATCATAGATATCACTCACTGAAGATACAATTAATCTTCACAACTGCTGTGCAAAGTAGATGTGATGATCTCCATTTTATGACTGGGGAAACTGAAGTTCAAGGCCACACAGCTAATAAAAATCACTGCCAAAATCCAAGCCCAGGCCCATATACTCTTTCCCACCCAGGGCTCCACTGACTTCCCCTCCATTTGCCTGGGAAACACCTTGTTCCCCAAGTCTTCTGAATCCCTACAATAATTGGGGATTTTACTCTAGGGTAGAAAACAAAGTGATATGTGCAAATTTCTGACAGACACATACATTTCAACCACAATTTATTAAATATTGACCAAGTTAAATGGATAGCAAGGTTAATTTATATTTTGTAAAACAAAGTAATGAAAATGTTATATTTTTGGTAACACTGCATGTCCGTATCAAATATAAGTGTTGAAAATTTTCCATTTCTGGTCAGTTAAGTCTGACTCTGTTCCATTAAATATCTACATTAAATGAAGTACCATACTGTCTTAAGATTTATGCATTTATATGAATAGACTCCAGGGTGTAGCACTTTAATCTATAAAAAGTACTAACTAAAAGTAACCGTTGCCATGGCAACACACTGCATGCATTAGTAGCCTTCAAAGGCAAAGCACTTTTGGAAATGAGCATTTACTGATGCCCCAGACAAACCGAAACTCAATGGAATGGATTTTAAATCACCGTTAACACTTGGAACTTCATTCCTAGGTTTAAAGTAGATCACGGAGCTTCACAGCACATATATTATTTTTCACTTAAAAGAGAGTATTTCATTAGTGAGTGACTGCTGATTTTCTATACACATTTTGAGAAACTCAAAAAGATAGATTTTAAAGTGAATCTAGATGAGCAAGGTCCTAGAAGAGCTATGAACATTTGGCAACACAAGAGTGAGGGAGAATAGAGCACTCTCCCTGCGTGAAGTCGTTGCACAAAGTCAGAGTGATAAGACAATTTGGTCCTGGCAGAGGAAACATAAAGAGATGGATGCAGCCTGCAAGAGCCCAAAATTGCCCTCATGGACCTTGGATGGGCACAGGAAAGCAGTGGCACACAAGACCTGTGGGGAGACGATGGATGTGTAGATGAATCTGTTAACAGCAATGATGGGGAAAACCCCTCACTAGATGGAGAGCATAGGGTTGGATCCCTGCCTCACGCTGTGTAGCAAAGGCAAAGTCCTATTGGATTCACTACCCACATATGAAAAGGAAATCCACAACCCAGATACCAAAAGGTGAGGGGAAATATCTCTGAGACCTCAGGGAGGAGATTTCTTAAACAAGACTCCAAATGCACATATTACAGGGCAAAATATGATGAACACAACCATATAAAAACTAAACATTTAAGGTGTATTAGTCCATTGTCACACTGCTATAAAGAACTAACTGAGGCTAGGTAATTTATGAAGAAAAGAGATTTAATTGACTCATAGTCCTACAGGCTGTACAGGAAGCATGGTTCAGAGGCCTCAGGAAATTTACAATCATGGTGGAAAACGAAGGGGAAGCAGGCACGTGTTACCATGGTGGAGCAGGAGAGACAGCAAAGGGGGAAGTGCCACACACTTTTAAACCATCAGATCTCGTGAGAACTCGTGAGCTGAGGTAGGAAGACTGGCAACACAGTGAAACACCATCTCTACAAAATTTTTAAATTGACCAGGCATTGTGGTGCATGCCTATACTTCTAGCTACTTGGGAGGCTGAAGCAAGAGGATTGCTTGAGCCCAGGAATTCAAGGTTACAGTAAGCTATGGTTGTACCACTGCACTACAGCCTGGGCAACAGAGCAAGACCCTGTCTCAAAAAAGCCTAAACATTTCTGTTCAGTGAAGACATCTTAATCAAAGTTAGCAGAGAACAATTTTCTCGAAGAAGATATTTGAAATGAATAAAATTGACAAGGGATTAATATACAGACCAACACTATCCAAGAGAATTGGCTGTGATGATGGAAATGGTGTAGGTCTATGCTGGCCACTGGATAGTTGTGGTTACTGAGCACTTGAAATGGGAGGAGGGTGACTGAGGAGCTAAATTTTTAATTCTATTTAACTTTAATAATAATTATTATTATTGTTTTAGATAGGGTCTCTGTCACACAGGCTGGAGTGCAGTGGTGTGATTACAGCTCACTGCAGCCTTTACCTCCTGGGCTCAGGTGATTCTCCCACCTCAGCCTCCTAAGTAGCTGGAATTACAGGTGTGCCACCACACCTGGCTAATTTTTGTATTTTTAGTAGAGATGGGGTCTTGCCATGTCTCCCACGCTGGTCGTGAACTCCTGAGCTCAAGTGATCCACCTACCTTGGCCTCCCAAAGTGCTGGGATTACAGGTGTGAGCCACCACGCCCAGCCTAATTAATTTCAATAGCCACATAGGACTGGTGGCTAACGTATTAGCACAGATCTAGAATATACAAGTAACTCCTACAAATCAATAAGAAAAGAGAAAACTCAAAATATGAATAGGCAAAAAGAAACAAATGACTTCATCTTAATTTCTTACCTTAATTCTCCTCTTCTTCCTCCACTTCTTTGCTTATTTTATTTTTATTTTGTCGTATGTATTTCTTTCTTTATTTTTATCTATTTATTTATTTATTTTTTTTGAGACAGAGTCTTGCTCTGTCACTAGGCTGGAGTGCTGTGGCGTGATCTCGGCTCACTGCAACTTCCACCTCCCAGGTTCAAGCAATTCTCCTGCCTCAGCCTTCCCAGTAGCTGGGATTACAGGCACGCGCCACCACACCCAGCTAGTTTTTATATTTTTAGTAGAGATGGGGTTTCACCATGTTAGCCAGGATGGTGTTGATCTCCTAACCTTGTGATCCACCCACCTGGCTCTCCCAAAGTGCTGGGATTACAGGCATGAGCCACCGCGCCCGGCCCCTGTTGTATGCATTTCTATAATCCACCCCAAATCCCTCTTTGGCAGTGAGATGGAGCATAAATATATATAACAACAACCCCCACTCATGGATGGGCTGATCTGACTGAGGCTGGTCTCACTGGATCTTTGAGCTTTTATGAGTCGGGCCGGCACTGGCTGTGGGGAGGAAAGGGGGTCCACATCCTCACATCATGTGCAGAGGCCCTGTCATCATGGCAAACTCTTTATGCAAGTCTGTGGATCAACAGAAATCCCAAAGACTCCTAAGACAGTGAACAAAGGACTCCACTGTTTTTTCAGCCCCACACAGGCTGACACTTAGAGGACATGCTGCATTCTTCTGTGATTTTTACACAACTGAGAAGAAATTTTAACTTTGTTTAAAGCTAATACATCTTTTACCGGGCGTGGTGGCTCACACCTGTAAACCTAGCACTTTGGGAGGCCGAGGCGAGAGGATCACTGAAGCTCAGGAGTTCAAGGCCAGCCTGGGCAACATATTGAGACATTGTCTCTATTTAAAAAATAATAATAAAGCTAATACATCTTTAGTCAAAGAGAAAATGGAAGAAATGACAATTTATTACTTAACTGAACAAGAACAAAATTTCATTTTATTCTTGTCATTGCACCCTCAGAGAAACATAATTGAGGTGGAAGGATCCAGAAGAAAGGAACCAGTGATGATGAGGACAGAGGGCTCTCCACGGGAAGGTGGGAGAGAATTTAGTTCTCTGTGCCGTGAAGATGGGATTGGAGCCATACATGTGAGTGCGTCACACATGTGACTGAGATGTGCAAGTCCCTGAATGATACAAGTGAATGAAGGGGAAATGCAGATAAAACAAATACTGTTTTGTTCAGACAAATGCTTTCAGGAAGAAACTTTGTTTCCTCTATTGGACAACAATAGGTAGTTTCTACTCCAAAGGTATTAAATTTAAGGACATGAAATTGTCAGTTTTGCAGGACAAAAACAGCCAACAAAAATGGCGATTTCACCTGGTTCAACACGGTCCTTAACTAGAAAAGGCATCATAGCCTGCCTGAGACATGAGAAAAGAGGTCACAGTCTCTCATTACAGTGAGGTCTCAGGACCCCGGCCTGGAAAGAAAGGGAATTGGTTAGCACCCAGATCCAGAGTCCACGTTTCAGGGAACCAACAGGCAAGCCTCAAGTCCAAAAGGGTGTAAACAGAGTGGCCAGAACCCAACCTTCAGCACAGCGTCTGCAGTGGAAGGCAGCCACACAGTGAGGAGTACTGAGCAAAGAGCCTTCAGGTGTCTATACCATAAAAGAAAAAAAAATGAGCTAGGAAACCCCCAAACCATCCAGACAATAGACAATAGAGTCCATTGATCTTTAAAACTCCAAGTCCAGTTTTGAGGTTTACATGTACTTTTGTTGAATTGCTTCATCTTTAGACTAAGTGAAGGCAGTTAGGAGAACATGCCCCAGTGTTTTTAGGTAACTCCACAGAAGACAATGCATCTTCCTCAGAGATGTTCCCACACTGACCGTGCAGTAGCTCCATCCAGATGGGTCATAGTGCTCAGAGGTGAGGTGTGGGTGCTCAGAGCTCAGGTTGTGGGTGATCAGAGGTGAGGCAGAAGCCTTGCAGAGGAAGGCAGCTTTGAAAGAAGTGTAGGGGAAAGTGCAGGAGGATCCAATTCTAAACTCCCGTTTGATTGGCTGTGAAATTTCTTCTGTTTTATATTTTGTAATGCAAAATAATGGTGTCTGTTTTTCTTTCAATAAAAATGCATCATAGGCCAGGTACGGTGGCTCAGCCTGTAATCCCAACACTTTAGGAGGCCAAGGCAGGGAGATTGCTTGAGCCCAGGAGTTCAAGACCAGCCTGGGCAACATAGCAAGACCCCCATCTCTATAAAAAATTTTTAAAAAAATTAACTGGACATGGTGGCAAGTGCCTGTAGTCCCAGCTACTTGGGAGGCTGAGGTGGGAGGACGACTTAAGCCCAGAAGTTCAAAGCTGAAGTGGGCCGTGTTTGAGCCGTTGCACTCTAGCCAGGTGACAGAGTGGGACCCTGTCTCAAAAAAAAAAAAAAAAAAATCATAAAGGCATCCAAACCAGAAAGGAAGAAGTAAAATTATGTCTGTTCACAGACATGATCTTATATGTAGAAACCCCTAAAGATTCCACAAACTATTAGAACTAATAAACAAATTCAGCAAAGATGCAGAATATACAGAATATAAAATCAACATATAAAAATCAGTTGCATTATCATACACTAAAATGAACAGTCAGAAGAGGAAACTAAGAAAACAATTCCATTTCTAATAGAATCAAAAAGAATAAAATACTCAGAATTAACCAAGAGGCAAAAGACTTGTACACTGAAAACTACAAAGTGTTTCTGAAAGAAATTAAAGAAGATACAAATAAATGGAAATACAGTACATGTTCTTATATTTAAAGACTGAATATAGTTAAGAAGTCCATACTAACCAGAGCAATCTACACATTTTGTGCAATCCTTGTCAAAATCTCATGGATGTTTCACAGAAATTAAAAAAAAAATTCATCCTAAAATTCGTATGGTATTTCAAAGGATCTTGAATAGCCAAAACAGTCTTGAAAAAGAATAACAAAGTTGGAGGTCTCATATTTCTTGATTTCCAAATTTATTACAAAGCCATAGTACCTTTATGGCATAAAGACACACATATGAATCAGTGGAATTGAATAGAGAGCCCAGAAATAAACCCTCCCTCCCATATATGGTTAAATGATTTTCAACAAGAGTGCCAAGATCATTCAAAGGGGGAGAACAGTCTTTTCCACAAATGATGCTAGGAAAACTGGATAGCCACATGCAAAAAATAATGAATTGGATGCTTTCCTTATACTATATACAAAAATTAACACAAAATCGATCAAAGACCCAAATGTAAGAGCCAAAACTATATAAGCCTGAGAAGAAAACATAGAGGAAAATCTTCTTGATACTGAGTTTGGCAATGATTTCTTGGCTATGACACCAAAAGCACAGGCAACAAAAGTAAAAATAGATAAATTATATCAAAATTAAAAACTTTTGTCTGTCAAAAGACAAAAGTCAACAGAATGAAACAGTCAACAGAATGAAAAGGCAACCTATGGAATGGGAGATAATATTTGCAAATCATACATCTGACAAAGGGTTAGTATCCGGAATATATAATGACCTCCTACAACTCAACAACAACAAAAAGATAACCCAGCTTAGAAATGGGCAATGGACTTGAACAGACAGCTATCCAAATAATGTATGTAAGTGTACAACAAGCATAGTCAAAGATGCTCAACATCACTGATCAATAAAGAAATGCAAATTAAAACCACCGTGAGATACCACCTCATACCCATTAGAATAACTGCTTGCAAAAAAAACCCAGAAAATAGCAAGTGTTGTAGAGAATGCAGAGAAATTCAATTTTTTGTGCCCTGTTGTTGGCAATGTAAAATGGTGCAGCAGTTTTGAACAACGCTATGGCAGCTTCTTAAAAAATTAAATACAGAATTACCATATGATACAGCAACTCCACTTCTGGGTATATAACCAAATAATTGAAAAGATTGCAAAGAGATATTTGTACAATCATGTTCATAGCAGCAATGTTCACAATCGCCAAAAGATGGCAACAACTCACCTGTCTATCGACAGAAGAATGGCTAAGCAAAATGTGGTCTATGCATACAACGGAATATTATTCAGCCTTAAAAAGGAGGACAATTCTGACACGTGCTACAACGTGGATGAACCTTAAGGACATTATGCTAAGTGAAATACGCCAATCCAAAAGGACAAATACCGAATGATCCCATTCATATGACCTCTCTAGAGTAGTCAGCTATAGAAACAGAAGGTGGAATTGTGTTTGCCAGAAGCTGGGGAGAAGGGAAAATGAGGGGTTGTTGTTTAATAGGTATAGTTTCAGTTTTATGAGATAAGTCCTAGAGACTGGTTACCCATTAATGTGGATATACTTAACACTAGAGAACTGTACACTTAAAATTGTTAAAATGGTAAAGTTTTGTCATGTGTATTTTACCGCAATTAAAACTTTTTAAAGCATATATCATGAAGAAATATCCTATTTAGTTCTCAAACATCTTCAAGTGATTTAATAATTGTTTATGGTAACACATGATTTAAATGTTTAACATGAGACTACATTTATATAAAACTTGTACAGTCATTTGACTGAATTTGCCAATCAAGTTAGGTGAACTACTCAATGATTTTCTTGTAGAAACTGCAAAAATCGCCCCCTTGATTTAGACATCCTCATGGTATAATTTACAGATTTGAGTTAGTTGGTGGGAATGTAAATTAATACAGCCACTATGGGGAAAAGTATGGAGGTTCCTCAAAAAAGACTAAAAACAGAACTACCATATGATCCAGCAATCCCACTGCCAGTATATACCCCAAAGAAAGGAAATCAGTATATTGAAGATATATCTGCATTCTCATTTATTGAAGTGTTATTCACAATAGCCAAGATTTGGAAGCAACCTAAGTGTCCATCAACAGACAAATGGATAAAGAAAATGTCGTACACATACACAGTGGAGTACTCTATTCAGCCATAAAAAAGAGTGAGATTCTGTCATTTGCAACACTGTGGATGAAACTGGAGGTCATTATGTTAAATGAAACAAGCCAGGCACAGAAAGACAAACTTGACCTGCTCTCACTCATTTGTGGGAGCTAAAAATTAAAACAATTAAATTCATGGAGATAGTAGAATGATGGTTACCAGAGGCTGGGAAGGAGGAGAGGGAAGATGGTTAATAGCTACAAAAATATGGTTAGATAGAATTAATAAGATCGCATATTTGATAGCACAACAGGGTGACTATAGTTAACAATCATTTATTGTACATATAAAAATATCTAAAGTAGTATTATTGGAATTTTTGTACCACAAAGCAATGATAAATGCTTGACATAATGGCTATGTCATGTTCCCTGATGTGATTATTATGGATTGCATGCCTGTATCAGAATATCTCATGTACCCCATATATATATACACCTACTATGTACCAACAAAAATAAAAAATAAAATACAGTAAAAATATTTGAGGCCAGGTGCAGTGGCTCACACCTGTCATCCCAGCACTTTGGGAGGCCAAGGCAGGTGGATCACTTGAGCTCAGGAGTTCACAACCAGCCTGGGCAATATGGTAAAACTTCATCTGTACAAGAAATACAAAAATTAGCCAGGGGTGGTGGTGCATGCCTGTGGTTCCAACTACTTAGGAGGCTGAGGTGGGAAGATGGCTTGAGCCCTGGAGGAAGAGGTTTTAATGAGCCATGATCACGCCATTGCACTCCAGCCTAAGGAATAGAGTGAGACCCTGTCTAAAATAAATAAAGATTTGTGTTAGAATAAAATTCAAACCAGCTTCAGCCACCAAACTGTGGTTTTCAGCAAGTCTCTTCACGTCCATAAATCTCAGTTTCCTCATCTGTAGTGTGGATTGCTTTGAAAATTGAGTGAAAATATGAGTGTCTGTTTTCTTCTTACATCAGATTCATCCACTTTCCCCTCCCTTTCTTATGCTTGCTCAGGATATTGGGTTCCATGATGTAATCCCAAAGTACAGAGGAAAAAGTGAGCCAGACTCTTCATCATAGGCCCATTCCTGAGCACAAAGCAATTCTGATAGAATCTTCCAGAGGAGAAGCAAAGAAGTGAGGCCAAGAGCAGGCAGGTGGGGCAGCAACCGCAGGGCCTTCCCTGGCCCTGCAGCCCACTGGGACCCCAGCCAGCCACTTCTGGTGGGCTCTGTTCAAGGTTCTCCACCTTCCTCCAGATCTGGGTTGTAATAGTAATTATGGTGACCTTCATTTTCAAAGCCTGAGCTACAAGGCCCTGGAGGTCATGGCAAGGTGAGAAAGGGAAAGTCTTGCCCCTCTTTCCAGGTCTTTCCTGAAACTCAAGGGGAGAATTATGCTTTAAAGTTACTTTAGAGCAGTAGTTTTAATGTGCTTAGTTTTCCTTTGCCTATGGGAAGCAAATTTCTTCTAAGAAATCTTGAAATATTTTTGCTCATCTTGGTATTTTTGAATACAATGATTTTCTTTGTTTTGCTTTTTTTTTTTTTTCTTTCTTTCTTTTTTAGATGGAGTTTCATTCTTGTTGCCCAGGCTGGACTGCAATGGCACGATCTTAGCTCACTACCACCTCCACCTCCCGGCTTCAAGCGATTCTCCTGTCTCAGCCTCTGGAGTAGCTGGGATTACAGGTGTGCGCCACCATGCCTGGCTAATTTTTGTATTTTTTTTTTTTTTTTCAGTAAAGACAGGGTTTCACCATGTTGGCCAGGCTGGTCTTGAACTCCTGACCTCAGGTGATCTGCTCACCTCAGTCTCCCAAAATATTGCGATTATAGGCATGAGCCACTGTGCCCAGCCTGGATACAATGATTTTCTTTAGCATACAATGCAGTGTAATGACATAGAGGTTGTTGATGCTCAGAGATTCAATAACCCACTCATAATGTAGTAACTTTCCCCAGCCGCCTGTTATTTGCCTGGAGATAAAAATAGGTAGAGATTTCAACGTCAGAGCAAAGAGCCACTTATTGTATCTATTTAGTGTGTTATAATTAAAACTGTTGTGAATTCTGCAGCTTCATTTTGCAGAGGTTGAGAAAACCTTTTTTCAGTTTGGTTCAAGTAAATTCACACTCCCGAATCCCGTTTTGTGTTTTAGGATCTATAAAAAATGAACCTAACATTAAAAACAAAATGCAACCACACCATTGTGATATGCCTGGCCCTGTGTAGAAACTGAAGGGGTGTGTGCGAAGCCCAGCAAATATCCAAATGACACATTCATAAGCTCAGCTGAAGCTTTGTAAGTAAATTCTAAACCAAGGATGTTGTTATTCACACATGCTTTTCTTCTCAACTTTCGATTGAGGTCAGCTCCCTGACCCCATCATCAACTCTACTCTCACCTTTGAGATTGAGTTCTTTTTTGATCAATTCAACTATTGTAAGAAAAAAGAGAAAAAAAACATTGCCAGTGAGAGAGGTCACTAAAGGGGATTCAGTCTATTTACCACCCAGAGTGTTTGGAGCTGGCTGGAGCCTTAGAGACGATGGGGACATTTGCCCTTGGGGTGCCCTAGAAGAGCAGCTCAATCTCCATCTTGAGGAATCTTCCATTGGGCAACAGGGAGGACCTCCTTTTCTCTCTTCCCCAGTGTAGTCCAGAGGTCAGCCCATTTGCTCCGAGGCACTGACTCTTGAGGACATGCTAAAAGGAACTGGGCACAGTCGGAGGTCATATGGCTGTAGCAGTCTCGGCCACCACAGTAGGTCCTGCGGGGGCTCTTCCTGCCTCTCTCCTGTGTCCTGACCTCCCAGAGCTTCCTGGTCCTGCTGCTCCTGAGGGTAGAGTCAACACTTGGCATGCATCTGTGGGTATGAATGCCTCCAGCCAGAGTATCTGGTGGTTTGGGAGAAAATAACCTTGATGTTTAAATAAAACCAATGCAATTGTCCCATAGACAGTTTTTTTTTCTTTTGATAAACATAGAAATTCACCCTTCTAGTCTTAAAGCTTGAAACTTATATTTGTTTTATCCGAGTTCCTTCCTCAGGAAAGGAGCTTCAGATCTCAAAAAAAGTACCAAAGAACTGAAATTCACCAGACCGTCACATCAGACAATAAGATGTGGGACCCCTCATTCACCATGATTGCTTCCTTGCCCCTCCCTAGTTCCCGTTTTCTTACACACGGTTACATTGCTTCCCTGCCATATAAACCCCTAGTTTTAGTTAGTCAGGGAGATGCATTTGAGACTGAGTTCCCATCTCCTCTGCTGCAGAACCCGACTAAAGCCTTCGTCCTTGGCAATACTCATCGTCTCAGTCATTGGCTTTCTGTTCTGTGAGCCGCAGGACCCAGACCAAACTCCCGGTGTTTCGGTAACAGAAACAAACTTGGGGTTGGATTCCAGTTCTGCCTCTTACAGGATATGTGTCCTTAAACAAGACTTTCCCCTCCATGTCTCCTTTTCCTCATCTGTGCAGTGGGCACAGAGGCCTTGCCTGGCGTATTTACTCTCAATGAAACCTGAATGTGGGAGCACCGTTTGTACTGTAAAATGCTACACATCGGAGAACTGATTTTACCGTTGTAAACCAAAAGCCTTCAAGCCACACCAGACTTGGATTTGAAATGGCTTCACTGACTTGTCACCTCACCCTAGACTGCTAATAGTGACATCACCCATCTTTCCTCTGCCTGAAAGGACAGCAGTCGTGCAGACTTCAGGATTGGCTTAATCCAGGCGCTCCAGTTTCTTCCGGGCCATCCCTCAAGTGTCTGCCCCATCTTTACTTCTCCCCATAGTGGTGTCCAGAGGAGGCAAAAGAGACTTCTTCCACAGCTCTCTCAGGAGAAAAAAAAAAATTCCCTGGAAAGCCCAGCAAAATTCTCAGCATGTCCATTGGCCTGAGTTGGGTTTCATGCCCCTTTCTGAACTGACCTCTGGCAAAGAGAATGGGTGACCCTTTGACCAGCTACTCCCAGATCTGGGGGTGGAATCCACTTCCCCTGAGTCACATGGATTCCATGAAGTGTGTTTGTGGGTAGGTAGGGGAAAGGGTATGGTGCTGAAGAACTGCACAAAATCGGAGTTCTCTTAGAAAGGAAGCAGTGGTGAAGAGATAACATATGCACATAGAAGAGTCTGGGTGAACACATGTATGTTCAGTGTATGACCTGTTTTTGTTAAAAAAGTGGGGGATGAGATAGGGAAATATACAAATATACAAGGGAAATATACAAATATGTTATAAATACAAATATACATATTTGTGTATGCAAAAAATATATTTGGAAGGATAAACAAAGAACCTGTTCATGTGGCTTTCTCATGGGCAGGACCCAGATATCTGGAGACAGGGATGAGAGAGAAACTTTTCACTCTACACTCATTTATATTGCTTCAATTTTGAACCATGGGAATATATTGCTAATTCAAAATAATTAATAAGTCAATTTTTTTTTTTGAGATGGAGTCTTGCTCTGTCACCCAGGCTGGAGTGCAGTGATGCAATCTCGGCTCACTGCAACCTCTGCCTCCTGGGTTCAAGCTATTCTCCTGCGTCAGCCTCCCGAGTAGCTGGGATTACCGCCCCGACTAGCTAATTTTTGTATTTGTAGTAGAGATGGGGTTTCACCATATTAGCCAGGCTGGTCTCGAACTCCTGACCTTGTGATCTGCCCACCTTGGCCTCCCAAAGTGCTGGGATTATAGGTGTGAGCCACCGCACCTGGCCAATAAGTCTATTTTTTTTAAGTGGAATTCAGAAGCATGAAAGTGTGATGGAACATAATCTGGACCCTCTTAAGGACTTTGTCGAGAATAAGGTGAAGCTATGCTTCCTTATTCATCCTAGGGCCCAGTGGATAACTGTTAACCGTAATATTTACACACACACACACACACACACACACACACACACACACCCCAAACATTAATTTTCAAAGGCAATGCAGTCTGAATTCATGCTTAAGAAGGGAAATCATCTAACTGGTTCATAATCTGAACTACAGTCTCTGCTTCCAACGGGAGAATCATTTTTTTTTTTCATTCCAAACCTCTAAAACCCAGTGATCCTCAACCAAGGGTGATTTCACTCCCAAGGGACATTTGACAATATCTGAAAACACTTTTGGTTGTCAGAACTTGGGGCATTTAGTGGATCAAGATCAGGAATGCTGCTAAACATCCTACAATGGACAGCACAGCCCCCTCAACAAAGAATTATCCAGCCCAAAATGTCAATAGTGCCAGTGTTGAGAAATCCTGCTTTAAGACAAAAAGTACCAGAAAACAGCACAGGAATCAAGCTTTCAGTGGCCACCATTTAGTAAAATGCCTGTCTTTGAAATGGTCACTTGCCTTACTCTCCGCTAGCTAAAATTCTTATGCATGAAAAAGGAAGAAACGTGGAAAGTGATGCTATCCTGGAACATGAGATGCCCCAGGACTTAATGAAGTAAAGACATCAGCCTCCCAGTCAGAGAGAGGTTTGCTTCATTCACTTTCAGGGAACGTGGCAGCCATCCAACTATGAGGCCAAGCTCTTCCTTCTTAGCACTCTACTCGTGAGCAGTTGGATGTTTTCTTTAGATTAATGTTCCAAAGTGCCAAGCATTTCTCTAAAGTGTATAAATATATCAGATCCTCACACCAGCATTTTGAGGTAAAAACATACTTATCTCCACTTCCCAGGTAAGGCTCTTAGCTTGCCACAGTCACATACCTCAGAAGTTGCTGAGCTATTATCTGATCCCTGGCATCGGGCTCCATACTCCGAGGGCTCTACAGCCTCCATATACTCAAACCATAATACACCTCCATGTACTTTGGTGAGAACAATAAATTACTAAGTGTAGATATTGCAAAATTGTCCTCCAACAGGATTACTCTGATATATTTTCCAATGAATGATCCATGGGAGTGACTGTTTTACACATCCTCATCAACATTGTGTATCACCAGTTTTTAAATCTTGTAGTCAGCCATTAGTTCTGTTTTTCATTTCCTCAGAATGAGGTTGTGCATGTTTTCATGTGTTTATTTGCTCTTAGTATTTCTTTTTTCCGTGAGATGCTTATCCTATTTTTTACTGCTGTTGATTGTTTCAGATTGATGACTTCTTTGTTTACTAGGAACACTTAACCATTGTTCATCATGTATCACAAATATTTTGCTCAAATTATTTTTTATTTTTTTATTGTACTTTTCTTTTTCTGAGTAAAGGATCTTAATTTTTACATCTTCAGATTTATCAGTCTTTTCCTACTTGGCTTCTTGAGTCTGATGTCATCTTCAGAAAGTTTTTTCCTATAAAAGATAATAGAGAGATTTGGCAAGATGGCTGAATAGGAATAGCTGAGGTACCCACTTCATCTCATTGAGACTGTTTAGGCAGTGGGTGCAGCCCACAGAGGGTGAGCAGAATCAGGGTGGGGCATCACCTCCCCCAGGAAGTGCAAGCAGCCGGGGACCTCCCTCCCCAGCCAAGGGAAGCTGTGAGGGACTGTGCTATCCAGCCCAGGTACTATGCTTTTCCCACGGTCTTTGCAATCCACAGAACAGGAGATTCCCTCATGTGCCTACACTACCAGGGCCCTGGGTTTCAAGCACAAAACTGGATGGTTGTTAGGGCAGACACAGAGCTAGCTGCAGGAGTTTTTTTGTTGTTGTTGTTTTCCATACCCCAGTGGTGCCTGGAACCCCAGAGAGACAGAACCGTTCACTCCTCCAGAAAGGGGCCTGAAGCTAGGAAGCCAAGAGGTCTTGCTCAGCAGCTCCCACCCCCACGGACCCCAGCAAGCTAAGAACCACTGGCTTGAAATTCTTGCTGCCAGCACAGCAGTCTGAAGTTGACCTGGGATGATTGAGCTTGGTAGAGGGTGGGGCATCCACCATTACTGAGGTTTGAGTAGGCAGTTTTCCCCTGACAGTGCTAAGGAGGCCAGGAAGTTTGGACTGGGCAGAACTCACCACAGTATGGCAAAGCAGCTGTGGCCAGACTGCTTCTCTAGATTCCTCCTCACTGGGCAGGGCATCTCTGAAAGAAAGGCAGCAGCCCCAGCCAGGGGGCTATAGATAAAGCTCCCATCTCCCTGGTACAGAGCACCTGGGGGAAGGGGCGGCTGTCAGGGGCACAGCTTCAGTGGACTTAAACGTTCCTGCCTGCTGGCTCTGATGAGAGCAGCAGATCCTGACAAGGAGGATTCTCCCAGCACAGTGCTCAAGCTCTACTAAAGAACAGACTGCCTCCTCAAGTGGGTCCCTGACCCCTGTGTATTCTGACTGGGAGACACCTCCCAGTAGAGGCTGACAGACACCACATACAGGAGAGCTCCGGCTGGCATCAGGCTGGTGCCCCTCTGGGACGAAGCTTCCAGAGGAAGGAGCAGGCAGCAATCTTTGCTGTTCTGCAGCCTCCACTGGTGATACCCAGGCAAACAGGGTCTGGAGTAGACCTCCAGCAAACTGCAGCAGACCTGCAGAAGAGGGGCCTGTTAGAAGAGAAAAACTAACAAACAGAAAGCAACAACATCAACATCAACAAAAAGAAGCTGCACACAGAAACCCCATCCAAAGGTCATCAGCCTCAAAGATTAAAGACTATCATTTTTTTATTGTGTCTACTTGATTTTTCTCTCTTTTCTTCTTTATTAGTCTAGCTAGTGGTCCATCTATTTTGTTAATCTTTTCAAAAAATCAGCTCCTGGAGTAATTGATTTTTTGAAGGGTTTTTCATGTCTCTATTTCTTTAGCTCTGCTCTGATCTTAGTTATTTCTTGTCTTTTGCTAGCTTTTGAATTTGTTTGCTCTTGCCTCTCTAGTTCTTTTAATTGTGATGTTAGGGTGTCAGTTTTAGATCTTTCCAGCTTTCTCTTGTGGGCATTTAGTGGTATAAATTTCTCTCTTAATACTGCTTTAGCTGTGTCCCAGAGATTCTGGTACTTTGTCTCTTTGTTCCCATTGGTTTCAAAGAACTTCTTTACTTCTCCCTTAACTTAATTATTTACCCAGTAGTCATTCAGGAGCAGGTTGTTCAATTTCCATGTAGTTGTGCCATTTTGAGTGAGTTTCTTAATTCTGAATTCTAATTTGATTGCATTGTGGTATGAGAGACTGTTTGTTATGATTTCCATTCTTTTGCATTTGCTGAGGAGTGTTTTACTTCCAATTATGTAGTCGATTTTAGAAAACATGTTATGTGCAGCTGAGAAAATTTATACTCTGTTGATTTGGGGTGGAGAGTTCTGTAGATGTTGATTAGGTCTGCTTGGTCCAGATCTGAGTTCAAGTCCTGAATATCCTTGTTAATTTTCTGTCTCATTGATCTGTCTAATATTGACAGTGGGGTGTTAAAGTCTCCCACTATTACTATTTGGGGGTCTAAGTCTCTTTATAGGTCTTTAGGAACTTGTTTTATGAATCTGGGTGCTCCTATATTGAGCACACATATATTTAGGATAGTAAGCTCTTCTTGTTGCATTGATCCTTTTACCATTATGTAATGCCCTTCTTTGTCTTTTTTTATCTTGGTTGGTTTAAAGTCTGTTTTATCAGAGACTAGGATTGCAACCCCTGCTTTTTTTTTCCTTTCCATTTGCTTGGTAAATATTCCCCCATCCCTTTATTTTGAACCTATGCGTGTCTTTGCATGTGAAATGGGTCTCCTGAATACAGCACACCGATGGGTCTTGACTCTTTATCCAGCTTGCCAGTCTGTGTCTTTTAATTGGGACATTTAGCCCATTTACATTTAAGGTTAATATTGTTATGTGTGCATTTGATCCTGTCATTATGATGCTAGCTGGTTATTTCACACATTAGTTGATGCAGTTTCTTCATAGTGTCATTGGTTTTATATTTGGTGTGTTTTTGCAGTGGCTGGTACTAGTTTTTCCTTTCTATATTTAGTGCTTCCTTCAGGAGCTCTTGTAAGGCAGGCCTGGTGGTGACAAAATCCCTCAGCATTTGCTTGTCTGTAAAGGATTTTATTTCTCCTTCACTTATGAAGCTTAGTTTGGCTGACTATTAAATTAAATGCTGGGTTGAAAATTCTTTTCTTTAAGAGTGTTGAATATTGGCCCCCACTCTTTTCTGGCTTGTAGGGTTTCTGCAGAAAGATCCACTGTTAGTCTGATGGGCTTAACTTTGTAGGTAACTTGACCTTTCTTTCTGGCTGCCCTTAACATTTTTTCCTTAGTTTGAACCTTGGAGAACCTGATGATTATGTGTCTTGGGGTTGCACTTCTTGAGGAGTATCCTCAATACTTCTCTGTATTTCCTGAATTTAAATGTTGGCCTGTCTTGCTAGGTTGGGTAAGTTCTCCTGGATAATATCCTGAAGTGTGTTTTCCAATGTGGTTCCATTCTCCCCATCACTTTCAGGGACCCCCAATCAATACTAGTCTATTCGGTCTTTTCACATTGTCCCATATTTCTTGGAGGCTTTGTTCATTCCTTTTCATTCTTCATTCTCTAATCTTGTCTTCATGACTATTTCACTAAGTTGATCTTTGATTTCTGAATCCTTTCTTCTGCTTGATCAATTTGGCTATTGATATTTGTGTATGCTTCATGAAGTTCTTGTGCTGTGTTTTTCGGCTCCATCAGGTCATTTATCCTCCTCTCTAAACTGGCTATTCTAGTTAGCAGTTCCTGTAGCCTTTTGTCAAGGTTCTCAGCTTCCTTGCATTGGGTTAGAACATGCTCCTTTAGCTCAGAGGTGTTTGTTATTACCCACCTTCTGAAGCCTACTTCTGTCAATTCATCAATGTCATTCTCCATCCAGTTTTGTGCCCTTGTTGGAGAGGAGTTGCAGTCATTTGGAGGAGAAGAGGCATTCTGGTTTTTGGAATTTTCAGCTTTTTTGTGCTGTTTTTCCCTCATCTTCATGGATTTATCTATAAATTTTATTGTGTCAAATAGACACAATAAAAAATGATAAAGAGGATATCACTACTGATCCCACAAAAATACAAACTATCATCAGAGAATACTATAAACACTTCTACACAAATAAACTAGAAAATCTAGAAGAAATGGATAAATTCCTGGACACATACACCCTCCCAAGACTAAACCAGGAAGAAGTCGAATCCCTGAATAAACCAATAACAAGTTCTGAAATTGAAGCAGTACTTAATAGCCTACCAACCAAAAAAAGCCCAGGAGATGGATTCACTGCCGAATTCTACCAGAGGTACAAAGAGGAGCTAGTACCATTCCTTCTGAAACTATTCCAAACAATCAAAAAAGAGGGAATCCTCCTAACTTATTTTATGAGGCCAGCATCATCCTGATACCAAACGCTGTCAGAAACACAACAAAAAAAACAAAATTTCAGGCCAATATCCCTGATGAACATCAATGAGAAAATCCTTAATAAAACACTGGCAAAAAAATCCAACAGCACATCAAAAATCTTATCCACCACAATCAAGTCAGCTTCATCCCTGGGATGCAAGGCTGGTTCAACATATGCAAATTCTTACAACTTATACAAAAATTAACTCAAGATGGATTAAAGACTTAAATGTAAAACCCCAAACCATAAAAACCCTAGAAGAAAACCTAGGCAATACCATTCAGGACATAGGCATGGGCAAAGACTTCATGACTAAAACACCAAAAGCAATTGCACAAAAGCCAAAATTGACAAATGGGATCTAATCAAACTAAAGAGTTTCTGCACAGTGAAAGAAACTATCATCAGAGTGAACAGGCAACCTACAGAATGGGAGAAAATTTTTGCAAACTACCCATCTGACAAAGGTCCAATACCCAGAATCTACAAGGAATTTAAACAAATGTATAAGAAAAAAACAAACAATCCCATCAAAAAGTAAGCAAAGGATATGTACAGACAGTTCTCTAAAGAAGAAGACATTTATGCAGCTAACAAACATATGAAAAAAACTCATCATCACTAGTCATTAGAGAAATGCAAATCTTTTGCTATCATCAAGTTTTGATGCAAATCTTTTTGATACCATCAAATTTGATGCCACAATGAGATACCATCTCATGCCAGTTAGAATGGTGATTATTAAAAATTCAGGAAACAACAGATGCTGGAGAGGATGTGGAGAAATAGGAAACCTTTTGCACTGTTGGTGAGAGTGTAAATTAGTTCAACCACTGTGGAAGACAGTGTGGCAATTCCATGAGGATCTAGAACGAGAAATACCATTTGACCCAGCAGTCACATTACTGGATATTTACCCAAAGGAATATAAATCATTCTACTATAAAGACACATGCACACGTATGTTTATTGCAGCACTATTTACAATTGCAAAGACATGGAACCAACCCAAATGCCCATCAATGATAGACTGGATAAAGAAAATCTGGCACATACACACCATGGACTATCATGCAGCCATGAAGAAGAATGAGTTCATGTCCTTTGCAGGTACATGCATGCAGCTGGAAACCATCATTCTCAGCAAACTAGCACAGGAACAGAAAACCAAACACTGCATGTTCTCACTCATAAATGGGAGTTGAACAATGAGAACACATGGACACAGGGAAGGGAGCATCACACACCGGGACCTGTCGGGGGCGGCGGGGAAGAGGAGAGAGAGCATTAGGAGAAATACCTAATGCATGCGGGGCCTAAAACTTAGATGAGGGGTTGATAGGTGCAGCAAACTACCATGGCACATGCGTACCTATGTAACAAATCTGCACGTTCTCCACATGTATCTGAGAACTTAAATAAATTTTTAAAAAATTCCCAAAACTCACTAGAAAGGTTAACATTAGAATTCAGGAAATGCACAGAATTCCTGTGAGATAGTATACAAGTCAATCATCCCCAAATCACATAGTCAACAGATTCTCCAAGATCAATATGAAAGAAAAAATATTAAAAGCAGCTAGAGAAAAGGGGCAGGACACCTGCAAAGGGAACCCCATCAGGTTGACAGTGGGCCTTTCAGCAGAAACCCTTAAGCCAGAAGAGATTGGGGTCCTATATTTGGCATTCTTAAAGAAAAGAAGTTCCAACGAAGAATTTCATATCCAGCCAGACTAAGCTTCATGAGTGAAGGAGAAATAAGATCCTTTGTAGACAAGCAAATGCTAAGGGAATTCATTGCCACCAGACCTGCCTTACAAGAGGCCCTTAAGGGAGTGCGAAACATGGAAATGAAACACTGTTACTGGCCACCACAAAAACACACTTAAGTACATAGACCATTGATGCTATAAAACAACTATACAATCAACCAGCTAACAACACAACAGCAGGATCAAATCGCACATATCAATATTAACCTTGAATGTAAATAGGCTAAATCCTCCACTTAAAAGACACAGAGTGGCAAAATGGATAAAGAAACAAGACCTAACTTTATGCTGTCTTCAGAGGATCCACCTCACATGCAATGAGACCCATAGGCTTAAAGTAAAGGGATAGAGAAAAACCTACCAAGTAAATGGAAAGAAAAAAGAGCAGGGGTTCCTTTTCTAATTTTAGACAACACAGATTTTAAATCAATAACAATAAAATAAGACAAAGATAGGCATTACTTAATGATAAAGGGTTTAATTTCCACAAGACTTTACTATCCTAAATACACATGCATCCAACACTGGAGCACTGGATTCATAAAACAAGCTCTTAGAGACCTATTTTGTTAGATAACCTCACAAAAATAGTGGAAGACTTCAACACTCCACTGACAGTATTAGATCATCAAGGCAGAAAACTGACAAAGATTTTCAAGACCTGAACTCGACACTTGACCAAATGGGCCTAACAGACATCTACGGAACACTCCAGCCAACAACAGACTATACATTACATTCTTCTCATCTGCAGGTGGCACATACTGAAAAACCAACCACACGCTCGACCATAAAACAATGCTCAACAAATTCATAAAACACAAAATCATACCAACCACACTCTCAGACCACAGCACAATAAAAATAGAAATCAATACTTAGAAGATTGCTCAAAACTATACAATTACATGGAAATTAAACAATCTACTCCTGAATGACTTTGGGTAAACAATGAAATTAAGGCAGAAATCAAGAAATTCTTGGAAACGAATGAAGACAGAGATACAACATACTAGAATCTCTGGGAAACAGCTAATGCAGTGTGAAGAAGAAACTTTATAGTGCTAAGTGCCCACATCAAAAAGTTAGAAAGACCTCAAATGAACAACTTAACACACCTAGAGGAACTAGAAAAACAAGAGCAAACTAACCGTAAAGCTAGCAGAAGAAAAGAAAACAAAAATCAAAGCCAAACTGAAAGAAATTGAGACACAATAAAACACACAAAAGGTCAACGATACCAAAAGTTGGTTTTTTTGCAAGAATAAATAAGATCGATAGACCACTAGCCTAAACTAATAAAGGAAAGAAGAGAAAAGATCCAAATAAACACAGTCAGAAATGACAAAGGGGACATTACCACACAAACTAGAAAACCTAGAAAAATGGATAAATTTCTCGGAAACAACTTCCCAAGATTTAATCCAGAAGAAATTAAAACCAGAACAGATCAGTAACAAGTTCTGAAACTGAATCAGTAATAAAAAGCCTACCAACCAGAGAGGGTCCTGGGCCAGAAAGATTCTACCAGATGTATAAAGAAGAGCTGGTACCAATTCTACTAAAACTATTCCAAAAAATTGAGGAGGAGAGACACCTCCTTAGCTCATTCTATGAAGCTGGCATCATTCCGATACCAAAACCTGGTGGAGGCACAACAAAAAGGGGAAACTTCAGGCCAATATCCCTGATGAACATAGATGCAAAATCCCTCAATAAAATAATGGTAAACTGAATTCAGCAGCACATCAAAAAACAAATCCAGCACTATAAAGTAGGCTTTATCCCTGGGATGCAAGTTTGGTTCAACATACACAAATCAATAAATGTAATTCATTACATAAACAGAACTAAAGACAAAAACCACATGATCATCTCAATAGATGCAGAAAAGTCTTTTGACAAAATTAAACCTCCCTTCATGTTAAAAGCCCTCAACAAACTAGGCATTGAAGGAACATACCTCAAAATAGTAAGAGCTGTCTATGACAAACCCACAGCCAACATCATACTGAATGGGCCAAAGCTGCAAGCCTTCCCCTTGGGAACCAGAACGAGACAAGGATGCCCACTCCCACCACTCCTATTCAACATAGTACTGAAATTCCTAGCCAGAGCAATCAGGCAAGAGAAAGAAATAAAAAGCATCCATACAGCAAAAGAGGTAGTCAAACCATCTCTCCTTGCAAACAATATGATTTTATACTTAGCAAACCCCATAGTCTTCGCCCCAAAGCTCCCAGAACTGATAAACTACTTCACCAAAGTTTAAGGATATAAAATCAATGTATAAATATCAGTAGCATTTCTTTACACCAGTAACACCAAATCAAGAATGCAATGCCATTTACAATAGACACACAAAAAGTAAAATACCTCAGAATACAGCTAACCACAGAGGTGAAAGGTCTCTACAATAATAATTACTGAATTACTGAATAATTGCTGAAAGAAATCAGAGATGACACAAACAAATAGAAAAACATGCCATGCTCAAGGATAGGAAGAATAAATATTGTCAAAATTGTCATATTGCCCAAAGCAATTTGCAGACTCAATGCTATTCCTATCAAACTACCAATGACATTATTCACAGAATTATACAAAACTATTTAAAAACTCATATGGAACCAAAATGAGCCCGAATAGCCAAAGCAATCCTAAGCAAAAAGAACAAAGCTGGAGGCATCCTATTACCTGACTTCACACTTTACTACAAGGTTGTAGAAACCAAAACACCATGATACTGGTACAAAAATAGACTCGAAGAAAAAAAGAGCAGAACAAAGGACCCAGAGATAAAGTGGCACAGCTACAACCGTCTGATCTTTAACAAAATTAGCAAAAACAAGTAATAGGGAAAGGACTCCCTATTCAATAAATGATGCTGGGATAACTGGTTAGGCATAGGCAAAAGATTGAAACTGGACTCCTTCCTTTCACCATACACAAAAATCAACTCAAGATGAATTAAAAATTTGAATGAAAAACCTAAAAATATAAAATCCCTGGAAGAAAACCTGAGATATACCATTGTGGACATAGGCCCTGGCTAAGATTTCATGACAAAGATGCCAAAAGCAATTGAAACAAAACCAAAAATAGACAAATGGGGACCTAATTAAACTAAAGAGCATCCTGCAGCAAAAGAAACTATCAACAGAGTAAATAGTGGGAGAAAATATTTGCAAATTATGCATCTGGGAAAGGTCTAATATCCAGATTCTGTAGGGAACTTAAATTAGGCAGAAAACAAAAAACTCCGTTAAAAAATTGGCAAAGGACATGAATAGACATTTCTCAAAAGAAGATATCTATGTGGCCAACTAGTATATTAAAAAAAGAAGACAATCCTAATTATAATGGCACCAAAAAGATAAAATATTAGGAATAACCCTAACCAAAGAGGTGAAAGACTGCACACTGAAATCTATGAAGCAATGATTAAAGAAATTAAGACAGATACAAATAAATGGGAAGACATCTCTTGTTCATGGATTAGAAGACTTAATATTGGTAAGATGTCCATACTACTCAAAGCAATCTACAGATTCAGTGCAAGCCCTATCAAAATACGGTAAACATTTTTTTACAGAAAGAGGAAAAAAATCACAAAAAATATAGAACCACAAGAAATCCCAAATAGCTGAAGCAATATTAAGCAAGAAGAACACAGCTGGAGGCATCGTACTTACTGATTTCAAAATATATTATAAAGCTACAGTAATCAGTGTTGTACTGGAATAAAAATCAGGCAGACAGACCAATGGAACAGAATAGAGAGCCTAGAAATAAATCCACACATCTATGGTCAACTGATCTTTGACAAGTGTGCCAAGAACCCACAATGCAGAAAAAGATAGTCTCCTCAATAAGTGGTACCAGGAAAAGTGAATAGCAACATGCAGAATAATGAAATTGGACCTTATCTCACACCATATATGAGAATCAACTCAAAATAGATTAAAGATTTAAACGTAAGACCTGAAACTGTAAAACTACTAGAATAAACCCAAGGAAAAGCTTTTGGACATTGTTCAGGGCAATAATCTTCTTGGATATGACATCAAAAGCACAAGCAACAAAAGCAAAAATAGAAAAGTTTGATTACATCAAACTAAACAGCTTTTTCACAGCAAAGGAGAAATCCGCGGGGTGAAAAGCAACCCCGCAGAATGGGAGAAAATATTTATGCATTCCTGTGTTCACTGCAGCATTATTTACAATAGCCAAGATGTAGAAACAACCCAAATGTTCATAGACAGCTGAATGGATAAAGAAAATGTGACATAGACATACAACACAACGTTACTCAACCTTTAAAAAGAAGGAAATCTTACCATTTGTCACAACGTGGAAGGACCCGGAAGACATGACGCTAAGTGAAATAATTCAGTCACAGAGAGAGAAATACTAATGATTCCTCTAATATGAGCATCTAAAATAGTCAAAGGTGTTGAATTAGACAACAGAACGAGGGTTACCTGGGGATGGCATGAAGGAGAAAAAAGGAGTTGTTATCCAGTGGGTATAAAGTTATAGTTAAACAAGATCGGTGAGTTCCAGAGATCTGCTGTACAATAGACTGTCCATAGCTAACAACAAGATATTGTGTCGTAAAAACAATTGTTAACAGGGTAGATCTCATGTTAAGTGTTCTTATGAAGAAAAAAAAGAGGGGACACGGGGAAAGTTGCAGATACGTGTATTACCTGGATTACAGCAATAGCAACATGAATATATACATATGTCCAGAATCATCAAATTGTATGCATAAATTTATATGCAGTTTTTTGGGGGAGATTTTTGTTTTGGATTTTTTTGTTTTTAGAGACAGTGTCTCTCTCTGTCACCTAGGCTGGACTGCAGTGGTTTGATCATAGCTTACTGCAGCCTCAAATGCCTGGTCTCAAGCAATCTTCCTGCCTCAATCTCCTCAGTAGCTGGGACTACAGGCGCGTGCCATCACACCCAGCTAATTTATCTTGAAATTTTTTTAATAAAGACAGGATCTCACTATGCTACCCACACTGGTCACAAACTCCAAGCCTCAAGCAATCCTCCTGCCTCGGCCTCCCAAATTGCTGGGATTACAGGCATGAGCCCTCATGCCAGGCCATATGCAGTTTTTTTAATGCCAATTATATCTCAACAAAGTTGGAAAAACAACAACAACAAATAACCTTCAAATCAGTAAGCGCCAAGCCCAGATGGGTTCGTTAGTGAATTCTATCAAACATTTAAGGAATAAATATACCAATTCATTACAATCTCTTCTAGAAAATAGAAACAGAGGGAATAGTTCCTAAATCATTCCGTGTGGCCAGCATAACCCTAGTATAAAAACCAGACACAGGCATTACAAAAAATCAAAATCACACACCAATGTTTTTCACAGACATAAACACAAAAATTCTCAACAGTCTGGGTGTGGTGGCTCACACCTGTAATCCTAGCACTTTGGGAGGCCGAGGCAGGCAAGTCACTTGAGCCTAGAAGTTTGAGACCAGCCTGGACAACATGGCGACACCTCATCTCTGCAAAAAATACAAAAATTAGCCAGGCATGGTGGCCTGTGCCTATAGGCCCCAATGTCCTCTCTTTCTCTCTCTCTCTCTTTTTTTTTTCTCTTGAGACAGAGTCTCGCTCTGTCACCCAGACTGCAGTGCAGTGGTGCGATCTCAGTCACTGCAACCTCTGCCTCCTGGGTTCAAGCCATCCTCCTGCCTCAGCCTCCCCAGTAGCTGGGATTACAGGCATGCACCACCACACCCAGCTAATTTTCGTATTTTTAATAGAGATGGGGTTTCACCATATTGGCCAGGCTGGTCTCGAACTCCTGACCTTGTGATCTGCCCACCTCGGCCTCCCAAAGTGCTGGGATTACAGGTGTGAGCCACCACACCGGGCCATCTTTTTAACAAAAGGTGCTTAACAACTACACATCCAAATGCAAAAAAAAGTGCATCTAGACACGGACTTTATATCCTTCACAAAAATTACCCCAAAGTGAATCATAGGCCTAAATGTAAAATGCAAAACTTAGGAGCAGACCTAGGTGACCTTCGGAATGGTAATAACTCTTTGGTTAGAACACAAAGGCATGATCCATGAAGGAACAAATTAATAAACTGGACTTCACTAAAATTACAAACTTCTACTCTGTGAAAGACACTGTCAAGAGAATGAGAAACTGGGATAAAATATTTACAAAAGACATATTGAATAAAGGACTGTATCTAAAATATACAAAGAACTCTTAAAACTCAACAATAAGAAAATGAACAACCTAATTTTTAAATAGACAAAAGATCTAAACAGACGCCTCACCTAAGAAGATATACAGACAGCAAATAAGCAATGAAAAGATGCTCGACATAATATGTCATAAGACAACTGCAAATTAAAACAACAATGAGCTACCACTACACACCTATTAGAATGCCCAAAATCCAAAACACTAACAACATCAAATGATAGCAAGTATGTGGAACAATGGGAACTCTCTTTCGTTGCTGGTGGGAATGTAAAATGGTACAGCTATTTTGGAAGACAGTTTGACAGTTTCTTACAAACGCTAACATACTCTTACCATATGATCCAGCCATCATGCTACTTGGTATTTACCCAAATGAACTGAAAACATATGCCTACACCAAAACCTGCACACAAATGTTTATAGCAGCTTTATTCATAATTGCCAAAACTTGGAAACAACCAAGATGTCCTTCAACAAGTGAATGGATAAAAACTGTGGTATATTCATATAATGGAATATTATTCAGTGATAAAGATAAATGAGCTGTCAATAGCTATTACGAAAACATGAAGGAACCTTAAATGTATATTGCTAAGTAAAAGAAGCCAGTCTGAAAAGGCAACAATACTGTTTGACAGTCTGGAAAACGCAAAATCATAGACAGTGAAAAAGATCAGTGGTTGCCAGAAGCTCAGGGACTGGGGAACGGGAAGAATGAATAGTTGTACCAGAAGGCATTTGGGGCATGGTAAAACGACTGTGTACAGTACTGTAATGGTGGATACATGACACTTTGCACTTGCCAAAACCCATAGTACTGCGCACCACAAAGATTGATTTCCTAATCTAAACTATGCACTTAAATTTTTTTTAAATTAAGTAATTCCTTTGTGTTTAAATTTTCTCTGATATTAGTACAGCCACTTTGGCTCTCCCAAAGTTAATGCTTGCATGAGATATCTTTACCATCCTTTTATCTCGAAACTCTTTGAATCAAAGTCACGTCTCTTTTAAAGAGCACATACTAGGTGGGTCTTGTTTTTTGATTTTTTTTTTTTTTTTTTTTGAGACGGAGTCTTGCTCTGTCATCCAGGCCGAAGTGCAGTGGCTCCATCTGGGCTCACTGCAAGCTCCGCCTCCCGGGTTCACGCCATTCTCCTGCCTCAGCCTCCAGAGTAGCTGGGACCACAGGCGCCCGCCACCACACCCGGCTAATTTTTTTAGTAGAGACGGGGTTTCACCGTGTTAGCCAGGATGGTCTCGATCTCCTGACCTCGTGATCCACCCTCTTTGGCCTCGCAAAGTGCTGGAACTACAGGCGTGAGCCACCACACCCGGCCTTTTTTTTTTTTTGGAGACAGAGCCTTGCTCTGTCGCCCAGCCTGGAGTGCAGTGGTGCGATCCTAGCTCACTGCAACTTCCACCTCTAGGGTTCAAGTGATTCTCCTGCCTCAGCCTCCCAAGTAGCTGGAACTACAGGCGCCCGCCGCCATGCCGGGCTAATTTTTTGTATTTTATTAGAGATGGGGTTTCACCGTGTTGCCCAGGCTGGTCTCGAAGTCCTGAGCTCAGGCAATCCACCCGCCTCGGCCTTCCAAAGTGCTAGGATGACAGGCGTGAGCCACCACACCCTGCTAGGTGGGTCTTGTTTTAAAAAATCCAGCCTTGGCCAGACGCGGTGGCTCACGCCGGTAATCCCAGCACTTTGGGAGGCCGAGGCGGGTGGATCACGAGGTCAGGAGTTCAAGACCAGCCTGGCCAAGATGGTGAAACTCTGTCTCTACTAAAAATACAAAAGATTAGCCGGGCGTGGTGGTGGGGCGCCTATAATCCCAGCTACTCAGGAGGCTGAGGCAGAGAATTGCTTGAACTCGGGAGGCAGAGCTGGCAGTGAGCCGAGATCGCACCACTGCACTCCAGCCTGGGCGACAGAGCAAGATTCCATCTCAAAAAAAAAAAAAAAAAAATCCAGTCTTAACAATCTCTGTCGTTTGATTGGGGTGTCTAATCCATTCACATTTAATGTTATTATTTGTATGGTTGAAATTATATCTGCCATTTCAATATTTATTTGTCATGCTCATGACTTCATTTTGTTAGTCTCGTGACTATTCCTTTTCATTGCTTTCTTTTGTAATAAATAGATACTTTCTACTCTATTATTTTAATTCTTGTAATTTTTGATAGTTTTAATTCTAGTTCTTTTCTTAGGAGTTGCTTCATATCTGAAGCACTTAGGGAGGCAGAGCTGCTATCAAAGCAGCCAGTTACCTTGTGGATGAAAACTGCTGTCTGCTCTCTCCCACCTGCTGGAGCCACTGGTTTCTGCTCCAATCTTCCTTTTCAGGGACTGATTTTGCCTAGAGGACCTCCTAAGTCCCAATTTGGCCTGTCGCTCAGGTTCCTGGTTTCAATCTGAGCCTGATGGGCTTAGACTTCTTGACCTGGGGCCCTTTATGCATCACCAGCTATGACCCCAAGCCTTCCTGATCTTTGAGAAGTCCTACTCATCTACCAGAAGCCAGTGACTAAGCTTCTTTTTAGATACAGAAGGCAGAAGCCTGAATCCAATAGATTGGAAAGGTTATTTCAAATGCTATTATTCTCTTATTGCTTTAAAATAGTACTGGAAACAAATGTCTCAGCCCCTACTGCTCCCATACATCATCTCATTAAATCTCTACAAAGTATTAGTTGTGTGCTTTAAATACCCTTGTGCCTGATTTAAGATAAATTATTACAGAAATTGAAACCCTGTTATGATGTGATTATTTAGTGTTAGATTTTTGTGCTATAAAACTACAGAATATCTTAAATATGTTTTCTGATAGATCTAGGGCAGCAAATCCCTTCTGGATATGTTTCTCTGAAATTACACTGAAAGAAATAAACAGCTGTCAGGAGTATGAAGGCTAAACCTTTAGACTGCTGACTCAGTGCTCTGGAAGTTACTATATGTCCTAGAATGAAAGTCACATGCCTTGACATTCAAGTACTCATTTTCTTTTTTGAGGGTCAACATAAATTAGCTGTGTGAGGTTGAAAGGAGGAAGACACACAACTGGCAAATACAAATGCATGTACAATCGCCAGCCTTCTAGTTGTCCAGGAATAGTCAAATATATAGTTAATATTCAAAATTTGGTTAATGCCTCATTTTATAATTGAGAAAACCTATTCTTTTAATGGTTCTCTTTATCTATTGCAGCTACTGAATTATATAATTATTTGTTGCTTTGTCTTGTTTTCTCCTCAAGACTCTATAGAACAGTGGTAATGGAAAGAATAGTCTACAAATATTTAACCAGTGCCTTTTGTCCTTATGCCACATTTCCTTCTAGCCTCTTTCATCTCAAAATCAAGTCAAGGGGTTTATTGCCTGGGGCCGAGAGCAGGTATGTTCTCTCTTGTCAAGAGGCTAGGCTTGAAATCCGTGCTTTGTGGATTTGGTGGATTCTTTCAGCTGCTATTTGAATGGTCTAGGTATGCCTTGCAGCTTAAACCATTTCTTACAGTGGAGATGAAGAGAGTCCTTCCATCCATCTGCTGGACCTGCTGGGCCTCAGGGCTTTCTCTGAAGTGGTAGGGGGAAGATGTCACAGAGGAAATGTAAAGAAAAGTCTACCTCGGCAGTCTACAGCGTGGTGGATAAAAAAAGAGCAGGAAGAGTCTGGCGAGGCGATCAGCCTGATGTAGGTGCTGAGTGTCCCTCACAAAGTCCCAGCATGAAAGGGGTGGCTGAGAGCCGCTGGGTGGGCCCCAAGTCCATGGTGCTAGAGCGAGGTCAGGCTGAGGCAGGGCTGGAGGTGGTTGCATGGATGGCACTACAGGCACTTAGAGGGGTCTAATCTGGGTCCATTGGGGGCTATGCCCCACAAGAGTGGTTCCTGTGCCCACGGGTCCCACCATGAACCCCCCAGCCCCAGGCCTGAGCTCATAAGTAAGCAGGGAGTCCAGAAGCCAAGCAGCCAAGGGCGTCCCTGACACCCAAAGCAATGCCACCACATACAAGGATAGCCAGACGGATCCAAGCTGAGGGCTGGACAGTGCCCACGGAGCCATTTAAAGTCTTGTGTATGTCTTTTTTTCCTCGTTTTTAATTTCATTTGACACTTATGTACAATAAAGTATTGTGTATGTCTAAAGCTTAAATCAGGTGGGCCATTTCCATTTTCCTGGGTTCTGTTGGTTTGTTTGCTTTGTTTTCCTGCTGGTAATAGGTAGTACCTGAGGAAGGCAAGAAAGGATATAAAGAAAATAAGAAACAACACTTTCTCTGCACATCCAAATTGTGGCAAGGATTTTTGCAGGTAAGTTCCAGGTGGACAGGAAGTACATTCATACACACACGTGCACACATCCATCTGCTGGCAGCCTCTGATTTGTGTAGTCGAGGTACAGAACTTAAGAGAAGTGAGAGTCGAAGTAGGGCAAGAGAACATTCACAAATGTCCAACCAGCTCCTGGTCTTTTTTGTTTTTTGTTTTTGTTTTTGACAGATGGTATGGCCCACAAGACCCTAAGATACTTATTATCTGGCACTTAACAGAAAATGTGCCAACCAATTTCAGAAATAATACATCATCATTATCAACTGTATATGCAGAAATGTTCATAATCATATCTTAATAGTTTTGAAGAAATGATCCTAAACATGATTTGCTCTTTCATTATACAGACCAGCACAAGATATACAAGATATTCAAAAAGACTCAATGTATATAACTATCCCGGCATGTACAAAAAAAAAAAAAAGGATTTTTAACATATTCACAATCAAGCATGACCTCGAGGAAGGGGGCTGGGAGGTTAACAGTTGCAGCAACACAAGCATTCTCCAAACTAAAAGAAAAAAAAATTTACCTCAGTAAATAGTCTATATATACTACAGGCTCTGGCGAAATCCGCTCTAAAAATTCTTCACCTTCATCTCCTTTTGATTTCAAATATTCACAAAGGGCACACCAATACAAAGCAATTTCAGGAGTTAACGTTTCCACTAGAATCAATTTCCTTCACTTAAAAGAAAGAGTGTAAGAGAAAGCATGATCTTTATATCATTACAAATTGAAGAGAACATAAATAAGAATAAGAAGATTTGCTTTAAAACCACTATCCTTTTAATTAGAGTCATTAACACAGAAAGGAATGAAGGAACTTAGAACAAAAAAGAACCAAATAAGCAAACATATACTAGGGGTGCATGTTGCTGGATTTTCTCATGGTAGGCTAATTCAAAAATCAAAGTAAGAAACCGAGGGGTAGAAAACCACAGCTAAAGTAGATAGTCTAAGATAAAGTAATGAGTTCTTACACCAGGAGGGGAAAAAAGAAGGGAAAGAAGATATTCATCAGACTAAAAGAAAACAAAAGGGAGGTAAGATTAAAGATATTAATATAATCTTAAGCTATGGGGAGGAAAAAAAACAAATTAATTGTAGAAGTTAATCAGTATTACATTTCAAAGAATGAATCCTTTATGTACCTGCCATCATTGTTTTTACAGATTGCCACCAGTTCACTGAGAGGAGTCATTGAAAACATGGCATTGAGGACAGAGACTGCCACTTCAGAATTTTCTACATCCAACTGCTGAAGCCACTCGAAGATATTTCCCTCAGAGAACCATAACCAGCTTTGGAGAAGATGCTTCCACATAGCTTGTTTCACAGCATCTGATCTCTCATTAAAACCTTGTTGAGGGAGCATTACTGTCTGAGCAATGGACATAGCTCTCATACGAACCTTTTCAGCTAACACCGGATAAGCCAGCTTTCTGACAGCCTCTTTCACATCCTTGGTGCACCCTACAATTTTTGGCAAAGTCTTTGCTGATGGTGCAATACATGATAACACTGCCTGTCTAAGTTCTGGATTCAAATCAATCATTTTCGATCAAAGTAGCATATGCATTAACCACTGGGCATTCATCATCCTTTGGATCCTGAAGTCGTGAAAGCGCCAGAACTGCCTGTATTCTCACATTTGGAATCTTATCTTTCAGTCTAATAAGCATGGCTTCATTAATTTTGTCAAACACACCATCATCAATCTGAGCTTCTTCTGGCATACTTCTCAAAAGCTTGTTTATGCAGCTCCTGGTTCTTGAACTAACGTAGGCATCAGCACAGCTGATTCTCATTCAGGAGAAGACAGTGCTGTGCCCAGGGGCCCCTGAGCCATTGCCCAGCTTTCCAGCTTTCCAGGAAGTCTGCACTGGAGAAGCATTCAACCTCCTCTGAGCTAACATTTTCATGTGCACACGTGATTATGAGTGTGATACAGACATTATTTTACTTGTGTAACTAATTTTTAAATCAGACTAATAAAAAAAGTTATCAGTCTAAATTTTTGCCTGTCTTTTGGACTGTTGGAATGTAGTGAGACAGTGGGATCAGTGACAGAACATCTCCCATGGGGCACTGCATCATGGTGAGGGGGCACTTGAAGTCATGGCACAGAGTAATTGCTCTCCTGGAGTGCCAGAGACGTTTCCCATCTTCCTAGCAGCCCTGAGACCAAGCACAAACAAACCCTTTCCAGACGGAATCACTATGACCCTGCCAAACCCTTTTCAGAATTTCCTAACTCTTGAACTTCATGGAGTCTCAAGAAGCTAAAGAATATTTTCCTTATATTGTATTGAATGTATTTATCACAATATGTATTATTTTTGTCTTTTACTCACAAGTTTCTCAGACAACAATGATGAAGCCCTCTTTTCTGCAACATTAGGTTAATGTGGGTTTTCGTTATCTTCAGGTTTCTTACTACGTCATCCTTCTCTAACATTGTCTTAACTCATTCCTTTCATCCCTATTTTATTTCTCATATCTGTGTCTTTGTTTTTAGAGATGTGGTCTTGCTCTGTTGACCAAGCTGGAGTGCAGTGGCGGGATCACAGCTCATTGCACTCCTCCAACTTCTGGGACCAAGCAATCCTCCCGCCTCAGCCTCTCGAGTAGTTGGGATTACAGGCACGTGGAAACACACACAGCTAATTAAAAAAAAAATTTTTTTTTTTTAGAGACAGGGTCTTGCTATGCTGCCCAGGCTGGTCTTAAACTCCTGGCCTCAAGTAATCCTTCCACCTCAGCCTCCCAACACGCTGGGATTACAGGTGTGAGCCACCATGCCCAGCCCCTGTATCTATTTTTACCTCAACTCAGTCTCCAGCAGAATTTCTAACATCCTCATTGTAATGTTCAACACTGTGTTGGGATCAGAGGTCAGAGTTTGTTTGACATGATGGCCAGCAAATCTAGCGCTGTGGGATTCTTTCTTTTGTGGAAAAGAACGCAGTGGAAGTTTGATAGGCCCAGATGCCTTGGAGCTGTTGTCGTTGGCACTAGGCAAGCTGGTCACAGCCCCGTTTAGGAGTTTAGGAGGTGAGCACCAGCAGCACTTGAGGGTATCGTCTCAAGGGGAACACTGGATGTTCCCTTTTCTGATTTTTGATTCAAAATGTTGATGAATCCAAATTCCGTAGGGCTTCCTGAAGCCTTTCCTGTCGATCTCATCCTTTGCTGAGAGAATACATCAAGCTATGGAACCACATGTGGTACACTAGACAGAGGCCACTCTTCCCACTGGAGAATTCCAAGGGCAGTCAAAGTTCTAAAGAGATGAGCTAAAATACATGGGCAGGATCTTCTATTCCAGATGACACACTCAAGGAGATGGCCATAGAATTGATTGGCTGAGGTCTCAGGTATGGGTGCAGCCTCCATCTCCACTGGTGTAGCTCGGGTACCTGAATGGGGCGGGGCAGGGGGGCTCTCTTGGCGTTTTGAGTGGGACAATTATTTGTGCAGAACTCTTCCACACATTACCAGACATTTAGTGCCCTGGGCCCCCAGGCACCAAATACCAGTAGCCACCCTCTACGTTTCTAAATAATCCACTGGAGATGGTGCCTCCTCCAGTTGAGACACAGTAGCTCTAGCTACCCAGTGTGAATGACTGATTTCACAGCACTTTGTTTAGTTAGAATGTCCTGTTTGTTTCTTTACAGAAAAGCTACATTTTAAAACTTTCAGTAAATTAGCAGCAATACTAGACCTAACTGAAATGATGCTAGTTTCCCCCTAGCTAGCTCTCACTTCCTGACAGCCTTGCAACTTGAAGTGTGGTCCTCAGACCTGCAGCATCAGTACTCCCTGAAACCTTGTTAGAAATGCAAAATTTTCGGCCGGGCGTGGTGGTTCACGCCTGTAATCCCAGCACTTTGGGAGGCCAAGGCGGGCGGATCACGATGTCAGGAGATCGAGACCATCCTGGCTAACACTGTAAAACCCCGTCTCTACTAAAAATACACAAAATTAGCCAGATGTGGTGGCGGGCGCCTGTAGTCCCAGCTACTTGGGAGGCTGAGGCAGGAGAATGGCGTGAACCCAGGAGGCAGAGCTTGCAGTGAGCCAAGATTGTTCCACTGCACTCCAGCCTGGGCGACAGAGCGAGACTCCATCTCAAAGATAAAAAATAAAATAAAAATAAAAATAAAAAAAAGAAATGCAAAATCTTCAAAATCAGAAACTGTATTTTGACAAGATCCCCATTTGAATCCGCATGCACATTAAAGTTTCAGATGCAGGGGCCATGCATGATGGCTCACGCCTGGAATCCCAACACTTTGGGAGGCCAAGACCAGCAGATCACTTGAGATCAGGAGTTCGAGACTAGCCTGGACAACATGGTGAAACCGCGTCTCTAATAAAAATACAAAAAATTAGCCAGGCGTGGTGGCACACGTCTGTAATCCCAGCTGCTCGGGAGGCTGAGGCAGGGGAATCACCTGAACCTGGGAGGCGGAGGCTGCAGTGAGCCGAGATGGAACCACTGCACTCCAGCCTGGGTAACAGAGTGAGAGTCTGCCTCAAAAAAGGAAAAGTTTTGGATTTAGGGCTTTAGAGAACACCCTGGACAATCTCAAGATAACTTGTTGTAGTTGGACCTTTTCCCCCTTGGTGGAACAAATGTTTTGGATCCTAACCCCAAATGGTACAAACCCTTCTGATTTGCACTTTCCATTTGTAATGAAAGTAGAGACTTTTCTATCAAAGAACCATCATGTTCCAACAACATCAACTAGGCTGCACTGTAATTATGAAAAGGCCAGAATATCAGGTAATCTTAATAGTTCCTAGTAGTTATTCCTATCAGCCAATGAGACAGTCAAGGCCTGGAGTTGTGCCCAGTTGCTTATGTTTTAGGGTAAAAGCTGGAAGCATTTGCTCAGGAGCTGTACTGCCTGAGGTTGCCCACCTTTCCTATTTGTCACTATTGTTATTTTATTTTTAACCAGTTGTTCTTCCTAGTCTACTGAAAACCCTGCTCGTAACACCCACCGACACCCATTTCCCATTATCTGCAGCAACAAAAATCCCAAAGGCCCCAAGAATACAAATGTGCAAAGGGAACACATAAAGGAGGGATTGTGCCTCAGCACTGCTGGCAGGATTCTCACCAGCATAAAGGGCTGCTTGTGCCGGCTGTGCTCATGGTCAGCTGACTGCTGGACAGCAAAGCATCAGAAACTCTTGAACCTGCCTGCTCCTGTCTGCAACTGGAGCAACAGTGAACTCAGACCAATTTAAGGTCCAAAAGCTCCCAGCACATAGGCCTGCCTGGGCCCGAGTGAACGTCACTTCTTTGTTGATTGTGCTGACTGAACTCTCATCTGCCCAGAAGTTAGCAAACCATTTGCCAGTTGTCAGCAAAGAAAAGGTGGGCAATCTTAACAAATTCAACTTGGGGTTATCCTTTTTTACTTCAAATCCCAGATTTTAGGTTCCCTGCAAAGTACATTTTCAGGCATATTTAGGTGAACTATGGGTGTTTTTTGTTGGTTTGTTTGTTTTGAAAGGTTATTTTTGGTCAGGTGTGGTGGCTCACACCTGTAATCCCAGCACTTTGGGAGGCAGAGGCGGGCAGATCATAAGGTCAGGAGTTCAAGACTAGCCTGGCCAACATGGTGAAACCCCGACTCTACTAAAAAAATACAAAAATAAACCGGGCATGGTGGTGTGTGCCTGTAATCCCAGGTACTGGGGAGGCTAAGGCAGGAGAATCACTTGAACCTGGGAGGCAAAGGTTGCAGTGAGCTGAGATCGTGCCACTGCACTCCAGCCTGGGCGACAGAGCAAGACTCCATCTCAAATAAAAAAAAAAAAGAAAAAAGAAAAAAAAAGAAAGGTTTTTTTTGTTGTGGTGGTAAAATATACATAACATAAAATTTACCACTTTAACCATTTTAAGTGTACAATCCAGAGACATTTAGTACACGCACATTGTCGCACCACCATCACTATCTAGTTTCAGTATACCATTTGCTCACTAAAGATGAGAAAGTAATGTAGGGAAATATCTGGAACTATCTTCAAACTAAATATAGTCAAAAGACTATTGTGTTAGGCCATTTTCATTGCTATAAAGGAATACCTGAGGGTGGGTAATTTCTAAAGAAAAGAGGTTTTTTTGGTTCAGTTTCTGCAGGCTGTACAAGCACAGCACCAGCATCTGCTCAGCTTCTGGTGAGGCCTCAGGAAGCTTTAAATCAGGGCACGCAGGGTCACGCGGTGAGAGAGAGAGTGAGAGAGAGAGAGAAGGGGGAGGTCCCAGACTCTTTTAAACAACCAGATCTCACGTGAACCAACTGAACAAGAACTCACTCATTATCAAGGGGATGGCACTAAGTCATTCACGAGGGATCTGCTCCCACGATCCAACACATCCCACCAGGTCCCACCTCCAGTATGGGGGATTACAGTTCAACATGAGATTTGGAGGGGATAAACATCCAAAACATATCCACTTCTTTCTTTCTTCCTTCCTTCCCTCCTCCCTCCCTCCCTTCCTCCCTTCCTCCCTCCCTCCCTTCCTTCCTTCTTTCTTTCCTTCCTTCCTTCCCTCCTTCCCTCCCTCCTTCTCTCTCTCTCTTTCTTTCCCTTTCTTTCTTTCTTTCTTTCTTTCTTTCCTTTCTTTCTTTCTCTCTCTCTTTCTCTCTTTCTTTCTTTTTTTCATTCTTTCTTTCTGAGACAGGATTTCACTCTGTTACCCAGGCTGGAGTGCAGTGGTACAATCAAGGCTCACTACAGCCTCAACCTCTTGGGCTCAAGGGATCCTCCCACTTCAGCCTCCCAAGTAGCTGGGACCACAGGTGTGCGCCACCACCCCCAGATAATTTTTTTACTTTAATTTTGTGTAGAGACAGGGTATCACTATGCTAACCAGACTGGTCTCGAACTGCTTGGCTCAAGTGATCCTCCTGCCTTGGCCTTCCAAAGTACTGGGATTACAGGCATGAGCCACCACACCTGGCCAAAAGGACTATTTTCTATTCACTAACAATCCACGTTATTTCTTTATTATTACATATACACATTGTTTTCTACTATCAATAGCTTTCTTACTAAGTCTGAACCATCTAAGCAAGTATAATACAAATAGAAAAGTCATTAATTATATGTGTTATTCTTCATAAATTCAAAGCAATCGTTCCACTTATTTTAATGTTTTAAAAATCACTATCCAACAATGAATGTTTTTAAAATTCTTAACTGTGTGGTGAGATAAATACTTTGCTCCTTTCATATATCCTCAAATGTATGTCTATTTATAGAACTTAAACACATACATTTTAGAGCTGTCTGACTTTATCAAAAGGCTAGTCTTTGGAAGCAAAAGACCAAAATATTGGCACAAAAAAATTGCTGCCCGGAAAATTTGGGGTTGTTATCTTAATAACATAAGTCATAATTAAGGCTATTTGTGGACCCCTGGTTGTGGGTCGATAAGGCTGTGATTAAGTTCTCATTTTTTTTAATTGGTCATAGCTTTTCATTATTCTTATCTTTTTATAGCCACCTTCCCCAACCAATAAAAGCCTCACTCTAGTTTTGGGTCTAAGGCACCTTCTTCCATAAGCACCATTCACAGGAGAAATGGTCTTTCAACCAGTCATAGTTGCTTCAGCACTTTGCTCCCATCAGCCATAGTTGAAGAACCACTTCTCCTTCTGGATGGTGCTTATGGAAGAAGGTGCATCAGGATGCAAAGGCATAAGAATGATACATTGGACTTTGGGGACTCAGGGACAAAGTGTGGAAAGGGGGTGAGGGATAAAAGACTACACGCTGGGTGCAGTATATACTGCTCAGATGATGGGTGCACCAAAAGCTCACAAATCACCACTAAAGAATTTACTCATGTACTCAAATATCACTTGTTCCCCAAAAACCTATGCAAATAAAAAAAATTTTTTTTTTAAAAAGAAGGTGCCTCAGACCCATAGTTTTCATTCTGGCACACACACATCAAACAGAGAGTCTGTTGTATCTGGGCATTTTTTGTCATTTGTAAGAATAAACTTTGCTTTCAGCTTTTCTCAGGATTTATGTATTTCTTTTCCCCATCACCCAGTGAATACTAACCAACCATAAAGGACACTACATTTAGACAATTATTCAGGTAAACAGTGACTATGTTATGAAAAAGTTAGGACAAGATAAGTTCCAAGCACTGGATTTCCACAAGATCAAACTGAATGGTTAAGCCAGATAAATGTTTAACTCACTCATTGTACCACCAGATATTTTGAAACTTTCAATAATCTATTACATACTTTTCTTTCCTCTTAAACATACTATTCTGGGCAAATTTTATTCTATGGATTGTATGTGTTATACATAAACACATGTTTCTGGGAAATAATGACTTAACATGATAGACAGGTAAAGAAGTTAGGAAGTCTTGAGTCAAGAAAAGTGTTTGAAAATATTTAGATTTAAATGAATGCCATATTGAGGAGGGAGTAGCCTTTCTTTCAGTGGCCTTGGAGGGCAGATATCTGACCATGGGAGGAGTCACAGAAAGGCAATGTTGAACTTTGCAAATGGAAGATTGTTATAGACTTTAGAATTATTCAATTGTGGAACAGGTCTCCTTTGGAGGCAGTTTGTCTCTCAAAATGCTCGAGCAAAGACCAAACCACTATAGATGAGAATCTTGTAACAGCAGCCTTGTATCAATTCGTTGTTGCTTGAACTCCTTTCTGACCTCAGTTTGCTTACGTAGCCAGAGAGCAGAGCTTGAACTTCTGGTTTATTGCTAGACTATAAAATAGAGATTGTCTCAGAGTATTTCAGTTCATGAATTTTTGCCGCTTTCTGAGAGGTAGGTCCTTTCTAAAAATGGTCACCCCAATCCATCCTATCCTGCATGCTGTTTTGTGATGTATCATTCCCAGCAAAGAAATGAAATATCTTTCCCCTTCCCTTGAATATAGATTGGCTTCATGACTTGATCTAACCAACAGAAAGCTCTGGAAGTGGCATTGTGACTTCTGGGCCTAGGCCATAAGAGGCCTAGCAGTTTCTGTTTCTGCCTTCTTGGAAGCCAGCTGGTGTGTAAAGAAGTCCAGCGTGTCCTGTTGGAGACGCTACATGGAAAGGAACAGGGTCTGGATGATGAGAGGCCACAGACAGGAGAATCAAGGTGCCCGAGCCGGCCGACAGCTTGGAACTTTCCCAGTTAGCCCCACTGGAGCTGAGATGAGCTGTTGCCATCAGCCCTCACCCAAATTCCTGACCCACAGAATTGTGAGCAATAAAATGGATATTGATTTAAGCCACTAAATGCTGGGCGGGTTTATGACACAGCAGTAGATAATTGAAACAGAAATTGCTATCTGGAAGTGGGATACTGCCATAACCAAACCCTAAAACATTTGTCATTGGCTCTGATATTGGGAGGCAGCAGAGGCTAGAAGGGCAGTGAGGAAATTGTTAGGAAGCCTGCAATAGCAGTGAGAAAATTGCTTTTGGAAGCGTGACAAAAGATGTTACATAGTAGTGAGATTTTTGGCCACATTGTCACCTGTAATGTCATGAAAGACAGAAATAAAATATAGCTAATGAACTTGATCTGAATAAGGAGATTTTTAGGTAAAATATTGAAAGTACAATTGGCTTCTTTTACCTGTGTTAAAAGTGCAGGAAGAAAGAGATGAATGGAGAGTGCAGGAAGTGCAGGAAGAAAGTGATGAAGTGCAGGAAGAAAGTTACAAAGTGCAGGAAGAAAGTGCAGAATAAAGTGCAGGAAGAAAGAGATGAATGGAAAGAAAGAACTCTTTAGGTTTTAGTAAAGTGCAGGAAGATAAAGTGCAGGAAGAAAGAGATGAATGGAAAGAAAGAACTCTTTAGGTTTTAGTAAAGTGCAGGAAGATAAAGTGCAGGAAGAAAGAGATGAATGGAAAGAAAGAACTCTTTAGGTTTTAGTAAAGTGCAGGAAGATAAAGTGCAGGAAGAAAGAGATGAATGGAAAGAAAGAACTCTTTAGGTTTTAGGCAGCAGTAAGAAGAAACAGAGGGCCCAGGACAGCATCTCCGGCCAGCAAAACATTCTCAAAGTAAGAAATGGCCAAGGTAAGTAAACATTAAAAAAAAGGTTTGTCTATAAGCTCCCTTATGATTACTATTTTAATAAGGTAAAATGCCCATCTTTTTTTTTTTTTCTTTTGAGATGGAGTCTCACTCTGTTGCCCAGGCTGGAGTGCAGTGGCATGAACTTGGCTCACTGAAAACTTTGCCTCCTGGGTTCAAGCGATTCTCCTGCCTCAGTTTCCTGAGTCCTGGGATTATAGGCATGTGCCACCATGCCCAGCTAATTTTTGTATTTTTAGTAGACACGGGGTTTCGCCATGTTGGCCAGGCTGGTTTCGAACCCCTGACCTCAGGTGATCCACCCGCCTCGGCCTCCCAAAGTGTTGGGATCACAGGCGTGAGCCACTGTGCCCAGCCAAGATCCCTTATTAAAACTTCTATAAGATTTAAGGCAGCACCTAGTAGACTTTCTCAACTAGACAGTTGGACTTCTAAGAATCTTAAGAGCATTTACCATAGCAGCCTCACATGTGGCCCAAAGTACAGAAAAGCGCATCTTAGAAAGAATTATGGATGTAGTCCTTCTGCTATGGTGTGATCCTCAATAAGACTCAACAAGAACTCAGAACTTTTTTTTAAATTTTTAAAATGTGTATATATTTATGTGGTACAATTTTGTTAGATGAATACATTGTGTAGTGGTGGAGTCGGAGCTTTTAGGTTACCCATCACCCAAATAACATAGGTTGTACCACCAAGTGATTTATCATTCTCTCTCCCTATCTCACCACCCTTCCTAATCTCCACTGTCTATCATCCATACTCAATATCCATGTTTACCCACCGGTTAGCTCCCACTTATGAGAGAAAACATGCAGTACTTGACTTTCTGTTTCTGAGTTGTTTCACTTAAGATCATAGCCTCCAGTTCCATCCACGTTGCTGCAAAAGACATCATTTCATTCTTTTTTATGGCTGAATAGCATTCCATTGTGTATATAGACAAATATTTTCTTTTACCTATCATTTGTTGATGGACACTTAGGCTGATATCTATGCTATTGTGAAGAGTGCTGTGATATACATGAGTACAGGTATCTTTTTTTATAAAATGATTTCTTTACTCTGTGTAGATACCCAGTAGCGAAACTGCTGGATCGAATTGTAGTTCTATTTTTATTTCTTTGAGAAATCTCCATGATGTTTTCCATAGAGGTTGTACTAATTAACATTTCTGCCAGCAATGTGTAAGCCATTCCCTTTTCTCCACATCCTCACCAACATCTGCCATTTTTTGTCTTTTTAATAATAGCCATTCTGGGCTGGGCGCCATGGCTCACACCTGTAATCCTAGCACTTTGGGAGGCCGAGGCTGGTGGATCACAAGGTCAGGAGTTCAAGACCAGCCTGGCCAGCATGGTGAAACCCCGTCTCTACTAAAAATACAAAAATTAGCCAGGCGTGGTGGGGCACTCCTGTAATCTCAGCTACTAGGGAGGCTGAAGGAGGGGATTTGCTTGAACCGGGGAGGCGTGGGTTGCAGTGAGCTGAGATTGCACCATTGCACTCCAGCCTGGGCAACAGAGCAAGACTCCATCTCAAAATAATAATAATAATAGCCATTTTGATTGGTGTAAGATGATATCTCATTTGGTTTTAATTTGCATTTCTCTGATAACTAGTGATGTTAAGCATGTTTTCATATGCTTGTTGGTCATTTGTGTGTCTTCTTTTGAAAAATGTCTATTTGGCCGGCCACGATGGCTCACTCCTGTAATCCCAGCACTTTAGGCCGAGGCGGGTGGACCACTTAACTAGGAGTTCGAGATCAGCCTGGCCAATACAGCGGAACCCCATCTCTAACTAAGAAGAAAATACAAAAATTAGCCAAGCGTGGTGGCACACACATCTGGTCCCAGCTACATGGGAGGCTGAGGCAGGAGAATTGCTTGAGTCCGGGAGGCAGAGGTTGCAGTGAGCCAAGATCACCCGACTGCACTCCAGCCTGGGTGACAGAGTGAGACTCTGTCTCAAAAGCAAACAAACAAAAAAGAAAGTAAAAATGTCTATTCATGTCCTTTGCCCACTTTTTAATGGAATTATTGGTTTGTTGTTGTCGTTGAGTCATTTGAATTCCTTCTAAATTCTGGATATTAGTCCCCTGCTGCATACTTGCTAAAGCCAGCTATAACTAAATGGAGCAGGGACATTATTTCAAAATGAAATGAACTCTCTGGGTCCCCAGTTTTTAGGGGCAAGCAGCAGATTGTGAAAGCTACTTCTAATGAAAATGAAGGACAACTTGGAGGGCAGAGCCAAGAGCACAGAGGATGAACTAAAGAGCCTCAAAAAAAGAGTGGATCGGGGAATTACTTCCAGTGAGCAGTACTAGACCCTGACTAAGGAACATTTTCTATCTCGGGTAAATACGCGCCTGGCTGGACTTTAGAACTGTAATGGACCAGTGGCTGCTATGTGCTTCCCATTCTTTGTCTTAGTTTGTATAACTCAGATGTCAGGAGGTTCAGATAAAATTTTCTGAGCCCTTTGCTGTGGGTGGTGGAAGACACACTCCTTAAAGTCCTTGAGGAGCGTGAAGCAGTCCAGTTCCTATTTGCTCTGATCACCTTCACTGCTGAATCGGGTCAGGGGAAGGAATTTCTCACTGCCCCACATGCGCCGCTCCTGTTGCACCCTGCGTCGCATAAAATACGTTTCTTTTTCTCAAAAGCAGCTTTCACACAAGGTGTGTGTTTATGAAGCACATTATAAGAAAGATCTGAAGTAATAGTGAAGATGGAGTCACCTCAAGTCTCCAGTCTTTGTTCTTAAAAAGTCTTCTGACCCTATCTACCAGCTCAGCTTCCAGCCTCCCGCCAAACTATTTAGCCCTCTCTCCCCCGCACCTCCAAATCTCTGTACATTCTTTTGGAGAATTCAGCTCTGGGACACAATTTGAATTTCCAAAGGCCCTGATAGACAGGAATCTCAAGCTCTTCTCTTTCTCCCACTAATCTCTCTGTTATGGGGTGAAAAAAGTCCATAGAGAGGTTTTTCCTCCACTGAAAAAGAATCACGTTGCCTTTCTCAGAAAGCAGAGGCAGTTATGGATAATTCGGACTCTATTTTTTTTCCCTTTTTCATTATGGTTAGATAGCACTCAGTGAAAACAACAATTGAGATAAGAGTTTACCTAATAACATTGAGGGCTAGAGTGGAAATCGCTAAGGAAGATAAGGTGCTGAGAATCTGAAGTTTCTTTCCACATGAAATTTAGTACTATTTTAAACTGTTAAGATTGTAGTTATAAAGAAAATAATAAAATTTTAAACTGAGATAAATATCTGCTATTAAGGACAAAAATAGGATGAAATGAAAGAAGAGGCTGAGCTGCTGCAAGGTCACCACCCACAAGCGTCAGATAATTGCTTCATATGCTGGCCATTGATTTCAATAGCTCAAGAGCTAAATCAGTACCAAACTGGAGTGAAACTCTTTTTTAAACTATTGGCTTGCATGCTTAGTTTAATTATACAGTTTTAATTACAATATTTAAGGCTAGTTACAGATGTATAATTTAGGCATATTTATAATTTTGACATTTGTATATGTACATATGAAATGCATTGTGCCATATAAGCTAAGCTGTTGAAAAATTACCAAAAGGTACTTGATATTTCAAAACCTAAGCACCAACTATAAAGGAGAAGACTAATAAACTGAACGAGATTAAAATATAAAACTTCTACTGATCAAAAGACATACTAAAAAAAAAAAAGAAAAGTAAAAAATCTGCATAAACTAGGAGAAGCTATTTGCAACACATCTAACTCTCCTAAGGGACTAATCCAGAATATATATGTATAAGAAAAAGACAACATAAAAATTATCATAAAAGACAAATGGAAATTTCACTAATAATCAGGAAAAGTCAAGTTAAAACCATCATAAGATATCATTTTATTTATTTATTTTTTGTTTTAGATGGAGTCTTGCTCTGTTGCCCAGGCTAGAGTGCAGTGGCGTGATCTCAGCTCACTGCAACCTCCGCCTCCCAGGTTCAAGCAATTCTCCTGCCTCAGCCCCCTCAAGTAGCTCAGATTACAGGAATGAACCACCATGCCTGGCTAATTTTTGTATTTTTAGTAGAGACGGGGTTTTGCCATGTTGGCCAGGCTGGTCGCGAACTCCTGACCTCAGGTGATCCACCCACCTCGGCCTTCCAAAGTGCTGGGATTACAGGCATGAGCCACCGCGCCTGGTCGAGATATCATTTTATAGTCGTCAGGTTGGGAACAAGCAGAGAGCCTCACACCATCAAGTGTTGGCAGACTATGGAATAATGTGTGGTGGGGTTGCAGTGGGAGTGTTGGAGAACAATTCAGAACTTTCCATCCAAGCTGGAGCCATACACATATGACCCAGCAATTATGCTCTTAAATCTAGAGCTAAGGCTCTTTTTAACCTGATAAAATTCATACTTCAGTAAAATTTTTTTTAAAGTATAATCATTAACTTTTTGTGTTTTTTTTTTGAGGTGGAGTTTCATTCTTGTTGCCCAGGCTGCAGTACAATGGCGCTATCTCAGCTAACTGCAAACTCTGCCTCCCAGGTTCAAGCGATTCTTCTGCCACAGCCTCCCGAGTGCCTGGGATTACAGTCTTGCGCCACCAAGCCCAGCTAATTTTTGTATTTTTAGTAGAGATGGGGTTTCAGTATGTTGGCCAGGCCGGTCTCGAACTCTTGACCTCAGGTGATCCGCCAACCTTGGCCTCCCAAAGTGCTGGGATTACAGGAGTGATGTTTCTTTTTTTTGTTTTTTTGAGACGGAGTCTCATTCTGTCGCCCAGGCTGGAGTGCAGTGGCGCGATCTCGGCTCACTGCAACCTCCGCCTCCTGGGTTCACGCCATTCTCCTGCCTCAGCCTCCCGAGTAGCTGGGACTACAGGTGCCCGTCACCACGCCTGGCTAATTTTTTGCATTTTTAGTAGAGACGGGGTTTCACCGTGTTAGTCAGGATGGTCTCAATCTCCTGACCTTGTGATCCACCCGCCTCAGCCTCCCAAAGTGCTGGGATTACAGGTGTGAGCCACCGCACCTGGCCAGGAGTAATGTTTCATGTTAAACATCATTTGCATATTTAACCAATCAAATTCCCTTGGCTATTTGAAAGTTTTATTTTAATATAACTCCCCCTCTCAAACATTCGAAATATACAAAGGGAGAGTTACAAATGTAAGAAACCTTCCTCTTAACAATCTACTACATCAGCCTTATAAATTTTGTAGAGAGAAATCTTTTTAAGCCTTTCAAAAATCATTTAAAACATTAACATAGTATGCACAGGACATCATAATGGTTACATTTAAACACAAATTACATAAGAGTACATTGGGTTTTTATACTTTCCAGAGATTATAAATTATTCATTCAGCTAAAGGGAAGAAAACAAGTATGTCAGACCAACTAACAAGGTCAAAAGCACAGGACAGTGATATGATCTCCAAATGAAAGGCACTGGAGACCATGGGACACAGGACCCAGCGTCTCTGAGTTGGGCATCTTCTTAGGAGCAAACTCTGTCTGCCCTGGCATCCACAGTTGCCAAATCCATGGCTATCAATTGTATCAAGTAGTCCGTTGAAATTAACCAATTTCAATTTCAATTTCAATTTCACAATCCAGTGATTCTCCTGCCCCACCCAACCCCTGCAAAATGACCTGCCCTTAAATTCATGAGTGCCTTTCAGGTCTTGGTTTTAAATTTCATTTTCTCTAACTCTTGTGTAAATTCCTATACTAACGCTTAAAATATTCTAATGGAATTTTGAGCTGCTTAGCTGTAATGGCATCGTCTTTCTTATCTTATTCAGAATAGTGGCTATCCAGGAGGCCTTATTTTAATATTATGCCATGGAAGCGACTTGTTCTCTTTTCTTTATTCATAAAGATTGTCTAGTTAATACATGTCAAAACCCCATATTAACAGTCCCTGCTTGAGTCTTCTCAGAATTTCTAATTTAATTTTGTGTGGCTAAAAGAGAATTGCAAAATACCCAAGCTTAGTTTCTGCTATTAATTTTCTCGCAGCCTTTCTGGGATTATTGGTCTATGGAAGCTGATTTCAGATTATCATCTCATTTTCCTGCTGTTCATTTTAGCCTTTCAGTGTATCTTTAACTCAGAAACGTCTACATTTAAAAAACTCTCATTTATAGCTCTCGCAGCTAGCACAATGCCTGGCAAATAGTATATACTCAACAATTATTGATTAATGGAATGGAGGACTAAATTGATTAATTATTATCTTTAGTAATCACTTGTACCTCAGTAATCCAAATAATTTCTAAGAGAAATTTAACATATATGGAAATGTAAGCTAAGAATTAGCACACTATTTCTATAACTGCCTCTCTTATGGTCTTTGCGAAATTTTAATACTTCCTCTCAGCCGCAACATCAATCTGACAATTAGCCTCACATTCTGAGCTTCCAATTGCTGATGATTAATAGAGCAGAATTTTATCAAAATCCTGCAATGGATATTTTGTTGTGCAAGGAGAAAATGTTATCACCAAGGGGTTTTTAATTACCAAGTGATTTGTGTCACTAACCCATGCCTGACCTTGTCCCTTCCCACCTCTTGATTAGTCTGATGATGCCAGACATGGCTCTGGGTCAAAAGCAGAAAACAGCAGATGGTGTCATACCACTTAGAGATAAAGGAAAAACAAACGAAGCTCATTTGATGGGGTAGGAGGACGGGGAGCATTGAGTAGATGGTGGTACACCAAAATCCCTGGATGTGAAGGCTGGGATCTGGATAAATTTCAGTGATTTACCTATAGACTTTGAAGAGAAACTAAAAATCTTAAAGAAACAATTGACATTTTTTTAAAAAAAAGATCATACTTACTGATGAATGATTAAGATCCTTCACGGCAAAGACTGCAGGCTGCTTACCCAATATCCTCTCTCTCTTTGTGCCTTAGAAACATAACTCAGATTTTGCTTAGGGGGAAAGTGTGCCAAGCTAAAAAGCTTTACTCCCCATCCTCCCTTGCAGTTAAGGGGCTGGTCAATGAAATTTAAATATAAGTCTTTGATTGGCGTTTCCTGCAACTCTCTTTACTGGGGTTTTTTCATGCCAATGAGGGAAGAGCCTGCTTGCCCCTTGTCTTTCCCTTTCTATTCTCCTAAAATGCAGACCTACTGGCTGGAGCTCTGGCAGATATTTTGTGACCTCGAAGATGCAAGCAACATGCTGAAGAACGCAGAATGGAAGGAAGTGCTTGGGTCCCTCATGATGTGGTGAAGCTGCCTTACCCATCCTGGACTGACAAGACTAATAATTTTTTTTTTACATCACAGAAAAAGAAGGCTTTAATTTATTTAAGCCACTATGCTAGGTTCTCAGTCACTAGTACCAACATAATTTCTAGCTGATACAGCCTAGAATTTTGTATGTTTACTACACAACAAATCAAAGATCGGTTCACTCATAAGACAAACATTTATTAAGCACCAAATGTGTGTGAGGAACTGGGAAAGCCATTATAGAGAACTCAAAAATGGATCAGACCAGGATCTGTCTTCCGAAGTCACTGTCTACTGAAGGAGGTAAGACATGTACACCTGCAATGGTAACACAAGATAGAATCACAGAACAGCTGACAATAGCTTTCAGCCTAGGAGACTTCTTGAAGAAGGTGAAGTGTGCAGATTGTGAACTGAGCAAACTTGAAAAAACAAATGCCATCGCAGTATATATAAGAGGAAAATGGCACATTTTCTTGAGAGGAGACACATATGATTGATAATTCCTCCTGTTTGTTTCCTACACAATTCATCTGTATTTAAGAGCCACCAGAGACCAAAAGTGAAAGATGCCACTAGGAGCTTTGCCAACTCTTGGCAGTGCTTGAACCAAGCACTCCATGGAAGAAATTCCTCATTTCACGTCAATGGAAGGAAACAATTAAAGTGATGTAAGAGCTGTTACCTCCACCAAACAGGAGCAGAATAATTTAGCCCTGGCACTGACAAGTGCCAGAATTCACTGCCCTGCTCCTCACTCAAATCCACCCTCGCAGGACGTAAGCAAGTATGTATTCCAGCATTCCCCAGAGTCCCTGGGTGGCTCTCCTCCATTAAATTCCTGTTTATATAATGTGAAGACTATTTCCTGTTATTATATACAAAAATAGTCTCCCAGCCTTTTCAGGTCTGAGATAGCCTCTTTCCTTTCTCCTTTTACCAGCTTTTCACTGCAACAAGTGTCATCAAACTTCCCTGATCTTTCTCTCAGCAGGTGCCTGTGTCTATGGATAGGGGAATGTGACATATCTGAAAAGGCACTTAACAGGTGTCAGAACATGTGTGCTCTAGATGGGAGTTTACTGTTATCTGTGACTTGGTTTACATCCTGGGGCTAAGATTTTTATATCTTTCACCAAAGGGAGTGTCACTAGTATATCTATAAGGCTGCTCTCACCTCTAAATATATCACTATATCTATAATTGCTTGTAAATTATCACTCACCTGACATTATGACTCTAGGCAGCTCCAATTTCCTGTAAAGACTACTTTGAGGCCAATGCCTTAGGAACTATTATGCAAGAAGATATATTTAATTTCAATGACCACATATTTTATTTCTGGAAGTTCAGTCTAGTTTTTTCAAATTAATTTTTTCTTGATACTAAGATGTTCTTGTGTTATGTGACTCCTGGTTTTATAATCTTGATATTTTACTAATATTTATTTATTATATTTTCTAAAGTTCTGAGAGTCTAATCTTGCTGACTATTGCGTCTGTTGACTTTTCATCAGGATGAATTATTTCATCATGTTATTGTAATTTAGGTTCATGAGCTCCCATTTGGTGGACGTTCCATGTGACCTGGGTACAGGTGTATTTCTCTAAAGCGGTTTTATGTTGCTTCTGCCAGGTGCCCAGCAGTAGTATCATCCTAGAGTGATTAATTCTTATGTTAATGTTTCTACCTAGAGATTACTGGCTCACATGGGTAATGTAATTTAGAATATCAGACCAACATGAGGTCCAACCCTGGATTATCAAGATTATCAATCTTCTCTGGGCACATTTTTCCCTGCATTTTATTCTTTTCTTTTTTCTTTCTTTCTTTCTTTTTTTTTTTTTTTTTTGAGATGGAGTCCCACTCTGTCACCTAGGCTGGAATGCAATGGTGCAATGTTGGCTTACCGCAACCTCCACCTCCAGGGTTCAAGTGATTCTCTTGCCTCAGCATCCTGGACAGCTGGGATTACAGGCACACACCACCATGCCTGGCTAATTTTTTTGTACTTTTATTAGAGATGAGTTTTTGTCGTGTTTGCCAGGCTGGTCTCGAACTCCTGACCTCAGGTGATCTGCCCACCTCAGCCTCCCAAAGTGCTGGGATTACACCCCTGATTTTATTCTAACTGGAGTGCAAACCAAAACACAAAAGCTTTATTTTGTCTCCCTGTGTCCGTAATTTTTTTTCTAGTCTATCATGTCCCTGTGGTATAGCTTTATCCAGGGTCTCACTTCAACCTTCCCATCTCCCTTAGGCCCAAAGCCTGTCCTGGACAGCAGGTGACCATTAAAATCCAAGCTGCCTGGCTACTGAGACCAGTACATCACTACTGCACCTAAGGCAACTACAGCATCAGCTCCCCATATCTCTGCTTGTTGATTATCTCTTTGTTTTCCACCCTTGGAATTCACCATACTTTCTTGCCAGCTGAACAATGCATTTTTAAAATGTTTGTCATATTTCATTGTTCCAAGGTCTAATCTAGCCGGATTGCAGTCCAAAGATACTTGTTTAAAAAATGAATCGCAGGCCAGGCACAGTGGCTCATGCCTGTAATCTCAGCACTTTAGGAGGCTGAGGCAGGTGGATCCCTTGAGCCCAGGAGTTTGAGACCAGCCTGGGCAACATGACAAAACCCCATCTCTACAAAAAATACAAAAATTAGCCAGGTGTGGTGGTACACCCCTGTTGTCCCAGCTACTCGGGAGGCTGAGGTGGGAGCATCACTTGAGCCCAGGAGGTCAAAGATGCAGTGAACCATGATCGTGCCACTGTATCCCACCCTGGGTGACAGAGCAAGACCTTGTCTCAAAAAAGAAAAGAAGGAAGGAAGGAAGGAGAGAGAGAGAGAAAGAGAGAGAAAGAAAGAAAGAAAATGTAATCATGCTATCTCCATCTTAAGTGATTCCACGTTTTCTGTTTTGTTCTTTCTCCCCGTAAGTTTCATAAAGGCAGGAACTGTGTCTTTCTTTGTGTTGTGGTTATTAGTTTACATAATTGCAAAGACTTTAATAGAATGCACAGAACATATATGCATAAGTCAAAGAGGAATTGTAATTCAAATACCTATGTAACCACATCCGCATGACAAAGAGGGCACCCCAAAAGCAACCTTATAAAGGTAGCCACTATTCTAACTTTTAAAATATTCATTTCCTTGCTTTTCTTTATGGTTTTAATATATATATATATCTCCAAACAATGTAGTTTAGTTTTAAATAAAGTTGAACTTTAAATGGGATCAATGGGATTATATAGTAAACACCAACCTGTAACCTGCTTCTTTCACACTGAACATTGTCTGTGACATTCATCCATTTTGTTCTGTCTAGCTGTAGTTCACTGATTTTCATTTCCTTGTAGGACTGTAACAATTTAATTATCTGTTCTCTCTTCATGAACATTTGAGTTATTTTCAGAATTTGGCTTTTATGCAAATTGCTGCTATAAACGTTTTGGTTCCTGTGAATTAATGCACGTGTGCAAAAATCTCCTCTAGAAAAGATAATTAGAAGTGGAATTGCTGTGGAATTGTATGGCACATTCTCAATACTTAGCAGGGTGGATCCAATCAGAAGATAGAAACCACGCAATTATTTTAAACACAAAGGGTTTAGTTTAATATAAACTCCTACCGCAAAGGGAGAGTTTAATATAAAGAATTATTAAGTTGGGATAAAGGAGTAGCTATAGAAAATAAGAAAACTTTCATGGTGCCTTGGGGCCAAGAGAGAGTTACCCAAGGAAGAATAAACTTGCAAGGGGCTCCCTCTCCAAAACTGTGGTTCTGACTTCGTTGGAGAAGGTGTAGTTGAACCCACTGGATGGCAGAGAAATTTGATGGTTTGCAGTGGTGGAAAAAAAAAACAGGAAACAACCCTCCAAAGTGCAGGCTGGGCAGGGGAGCCGCAGCTGGTGGCCTGCGTGTGACTGTGCAACAGGCCTGAGGGCGCCTGAAACACATAGTGACCGTGTTGAGCAGACAAGGGGGCTGTGAAGTCGCTGAGGGACTTGGAACTCTGGGCATATGGAAGGGCAGAATCCACCCGACCCCTTCCCACCCGCACGGTTGACCACTGAGCCTCCGCCAGAAACTGCAGAAGCGCCCCTCCCTCCCGCAACACCTGCCTAGCGCCCTCTACTGAGAAAGCTCAACATCGTGCTCACTTTAGAGGAGAAATGCTTAAAGAAATTCCCTCATCTCAAAGCTTGTATTGAAAAGTGAATTTGAGCTGAGAAGCAATACGTTGACAACTATGCCATAATGTCATGCTGTTTTCCAAAGTTGTTTTGCCAATTTGTGCTCACACTAGCAATGCTTTTGAGTTCCCAAACTTATTTTAGATTTCGTAATTTTAGCCAGCCTGTTGGGATTGTAGGGTATCTCGCTGTTGTTTCAAGGTGCATTTCCGTGAATGCAAATGAAGATGACACCTTTCATATGTTTATCAGACATCTGGAATGCCTCTTTGTTGAGTTGTCTATTCAACTCCTATGTGCATGTTTCTTTTTTTCTTTCTTTCGTTCTTTTTTTTTTTTTTTTTTTTTGAGACAGAGTCTCGCTCTGTCACCAGGCTGAAATGCAGTGGCGCATCTCGGCTTACTGCAACCTTCGCCTCCTGGTCCAAGCGATTCTCCTGCCTCAGCCTCCGGAGTAGCTGGGACTACAGGGGCGTGACACCACGCCCGGCTAATTTTTTTGTATTTTTAGTACAGACGGGGTTTCACCGTGTTAGCCGGGCTGGTCTTGAACTCCTGAACTCGTGATCCGCTCTCCTCAGCTTCCCAAAGTGCTGGGGGCGTGAGCCACCGCACCCGGCCCCTGTGTGCATGTTTCTACTGAGTTGTCTGCCTTATTCTCAATGATAAGTAGGCATTTTAAAAACTATATAAATATATATATTCGGAGATTAATCTTTCACCAATTATATATATTGTGAATATATTCTCCCAGTCTTGTGTCTTTTGATGATAGAAGCTCTTAGTTTTAATATTGCCTTATTTATTAATCTTCTACTTTATGGCTAGATGCTTTAATGTAATATTTAAGAAATAGTTCCATATTCCCAAGTCTTAAAGATATCTGCTATATTATCCTCTAAAAGCATTACAGGTTTGCTTTTCACATATAATTTACCTATAAATGATTTTTTAGTGTAATGTAAGGTATAGGACCATTTTGGGTTTTATTCTTTTATAAGAAATCCCAATTGTCTCAGCACCTTTCATGAAAAAGCCATCGTTTCATGACTTATTGGCAATGCCAACTCTGTTGTATATCAAGTATCCATATGTGTCTAGGTGTATTTTGGGGCTCTCTCTCTGTACTACGGGTCTATTTGTCTATCCCTGAGCCAACCTTATACCTTCTTAATCATTCTAGTGATGTATTAAGTCTCAACATCGTACAGGACAAATATTTATTTCCACCTTGCTTTTCTTCCTTAAGAATGTCTCAGCTCCGGGCGCAGTGGCTCACGCCTGTAATCCCAACACTTTGGGAGGCCAAGACGGGCGGATCCCGAGGTCAGGAGATCGAGACCATCCTGGCTAACACGGTGAAACCCCGTCCCTACTAAAAACACAAAAAATTAGCCGGGCGTAGTGGCGGGCGCCTGTAGTCCCAGCTACTTGGGAGGCTGAGGCAGGAGAATGGCATGAACCCGGGAGGCAGAGCATGCAGTGAGCCGAGATCGCGCCACTGCACTCCAGCCTGGATGACAGAGCAAGACTGTGTCTTAAAAAAAAAAAAAAAAAAAGTCTCAGCTGGTCGGGCATGGTGGCTCTCGCCTGAGAACTTTGGGAGGCCGAGGCGGGCGGATCACTTGAGGTCAGGAGTTTGAGACCATCCTGGCCAACATGGTGAAACCCCGTCTCCACTAAAAATACAAAAATTAGCAGGCATGGTGGCGCATGCCTGTAGTCCCAGCTACTCGGGAGGCTGAGGCAGGAGAATTGCTTGAACCCAGGAGGCGGAGGTTGCAATGAGCCAAGATCGCACCACTGCACTCCAGCCTGGGCCACAGGGTGAGACTCTGTCTCAAAAAAAAAAAAAAAAATTATCAGCTATCAGTCCATTTTAACGTCAGAATCAGTTTGCCAAGCTCAATAACTTAAACGATTATGTGTTTGGTGTGTTTGCACTGAATCTATGGGTTGATTTGGAAAATTCTGATATGCTTACAATATTGAATCTTCTAATCCAGAAACTTGTTACAGTAGTCTCCCCTTATCCACTATTTTGCTTCCAAAGTTTCTGTTACTTTTGGTCAGTCACAGTCCCAAAATATTAAATGGAAAATTCACCAGAAATAAACAATTCATAAGTTTTAAATCGTGCACCGTTCTGACTGGGGGGGATGAAATCTCATACTGTCCTGCTCTGCATAGCCCAGAATATGAGTCATCCCTTTGCCCAGAGCACCCACGGCTATACAAGCCCCCCATCCATCAGTCACTTAGCAGCCATCTCAGTTTTCAATACCGACTGTCGCAGTATTGCAGTGCTTGTGTTGAAGGAATCCTTATCTTATTTAATAATGGCCCTAAAGTGAAAGAGTAATAATGCTGGCACATTGTCATAATTGTTTTATTTTATTTTTAGTTGTTTTAGTCTCTGCTGTGCCTAAATTACAAATTAATCCTAGGTTTGTGTGTATAGGAGAAAACAGTGTATATAGGGTTCAGTACTATCTGCAGTTTCAGGCATCCATTGGGGGTCTTGGAACGTATCCACTATGGGCAAGGGGGGACTACTATATATTTGTCCATTATAGTTTCTTTGATATCTCTCAATAAAGGTTTATTGTTTTCTCCATAACATTTTTGTTAGATTTTCTTCCTAGGTACATTATATGTTTTGACACTATTGTAAATGTATATTTTTTTTCCATTTTCCAGTGCTTTGATGCTGATGTAAAGAAAGGCAATTTTGATTTTTCATATCCAGAAAAGTTGTTCATCTCTCATTAATTCTAATAATAATATATGTAGTTTTAATTAAAATTTTCTATTACATAAGCATATTCGTCACTAATAATGGCAGTTTTGTTCCTTCCTTTCTAGTTCTTACACAATCTTTTTCTTACTTTATTGGCTGGGACCACCATCACAATATCAAATAGAGGCAATGATAGTAGGAAGCTTGTGTTGCCCTGATCTCCACCTAATATCACCATTAAGAGTGAGATGTGCTGTATGATTTTTGAAGATAACTATCAAGGAAGTTCCTTTGTATTCTCACTCTGATAAGAGGTTTTAAATCATGAATGTATGCTGAATTTTATGAAATGCTTTTTTCCATATCTATTGAGAAGATGTTATGATTTTTCTTCTCTAATGTGGTAATGTGGTAACATGGTGAATTATTTTAGTTGATTTTTTTTTTTAGAGACAGTTTCTCACTCTGTTGCCCAAGCTGGAGTGCAGTGGCACAATAATAGCTCACTGCAGCCTCGAACTCCTGGGCTCTAGTAGTCCTCTCACCTCAGTCTCCTGAGTAGCTAGGAGTATAGGCACACACACTGCATCCAGCTTTTGTTATTATTCTTATTTTTGTAAAGAGGGAATCTTGTTATGTTGCCCAAGTTGGTCTCAAACTCTTCAAGTGGTCCTCCCATCTCGGCCTCCCAAAGCATTGGAATTACAGGTGTTAGCCACCAGGCCCGGCCTATTTTAGTTTATTTTCTAACATAAAACCAATTTTGAATTCCTGGGATATTGCCAACTTGGTCATAATTTATTATCCCTTTAGATACTGCTAAATTCAGTTTGCAAATATTTGGATTACGAGTTTTGTGTCTGTGTTCGTGCTTGACATTGCCTGTAATCTTCTTTTCATGTACTGTCTTTGCCACATTTTAGTAATAAGGTTACACTAGTCTTAAGAGTCAGGAAAAATTTCCTCTTTTTCTATTTTGTGAAAGAGTTTGGCTAAGATTGAAATTATTTCTTCCATGAATGTTTGGTAGAACTGGTTGGTGAATTGAGGCCTGGAATGGTTTTAGGAGGAACATTTGCGGAACATTTCGGACTACGGATTTAGTTACTCTAATTATTATAAACAGGCAGGATGACCATATGGCTTATCCTCCAAACTGGAGCGCTTTTGAGAATTAAAGGGGTTATGAAAATAATTAATGGACATTAATCCATAATAGATATAAACTGGGACTGTCCTGGGCAAAATGGGGTGTATGGGCACCATAATTGTAAAATTTCCTATCTCTTATTATAGATTTCCTATTTCTTCCTGAATAAACTTTGGTGGGTTATATATTTATTAGAAGATTATCCATTTTGTCTAAATTTTTCCAGTTCATATTAACCTTGTATTATCTTTTAAATATCTGAAATATACCTAAGTGTGTCTCTTTTCTGTTTCTACATATTGACTATTTGTGCCTTCTAATTTTTTTTTAATACTTCTTGACAGATATTTTAATTTTGTTAAAATCAATGAAGCAGCATTTGGCTTTGTCGAATCTATTATATATTTGCTTTCTATTTCAAAGACTTCTCCTTTTATCTTCATTATTTCCTTCTTGCTCATGCATATCTAACTTCTTGAGATGAATGTTTACTTAATTAATTTTTAGATTCTCTGAATATACTTATTTTGAAATTATGTCATAAATTTTATATGCAATATTTTGCTATAATTCTGTTCAAAATATGTTCTAACATTTTTACAATTTTGTTTTGAAGCATGATTGTCTTTTAATCCCTAACATATTAATTTTTCTCATTCGAATTTTTGCTGATTTCTGGCTTGTCTTATAATCTAAGAACACACATTGTATGATTTTAAACCTTTGAAATGTATTGAGACTTGCTTTTATTTGTTCATTTGTATTTAATAATTTTTCTGTATGTTTGATATATATATATTCTGCAGTAGTTAGGTGGAGATCTCACTATGTCAATCATATTATCTTATTCAAACCTTTTGTGTCTTCACTGATTTTTTATTGTAATTTTATTTTCTTTAAAACCATATCTTTCTTAATATAGCTATACTAGTTTCCTTTGGCTTAGGCTTTTTTGGTATATCTTATATAACCTTTTACCTTTTAACTTTTCTATATCTTTATAATTCTAAAACATGTTTCTTGTACATAACATGGAGATAGAATTTGTCTTTATCAAGTCTGAAAATCTTTTAACTGGAGCGTTTAGTTTATTTACATGAAATGTAATTAACACTACATTGTTAAGGCCATGACATTGCACCATTCCTAAAGGCACAACTCACATTTTATATATATTTGAGTTTAAATCTGCAAACATATTTTGTGCTTTTTTTTTTTTTTTTTTTTTTTGATACAGAGTCTTGCTCTGTCGCCCAGGCTGGAGTGCAGTGGCGCAATCTTGGCTCACTGCAGCCTCTGCCTCCTGGGATCAAACAATTCTCCTGCCTCAGCCTCCCGAGTAGCTGGGATTACAGGCACACACCACCACACCTGGCTAATTTTTTGTATTTTTAGTAGAGATGGGGTTTCACCATGTTAGCCAGGATGGTCTTGATCTCCTGACCTCATGATCCACCCATCTCAGCCTCCCAAAGTGCTGGGATTACAGGTGTGAGCCACCGCTTTCTATTTGACACACCCATTCCATGTTTTTTCTTTTCTCCTTTTTTACTTTATTTTTGATATACTGAGTATTTTAATCATTTCAATGTTTTCCCCTTTAAATAGTTCAAAAGCTATGCATTGTTCATTTCTTTTAGTAGTTGCCTTAGAAATTATAATATGCTCACTTAATATAATCAAGTCTAAAGTTAACAGATCCTTTAACTTTCTCCTCATAATAAAAGAAAGAACACTAGACCGGGTGTGGTGGCTCACACCTGTAATCCCAGCTCTTTGGGATGCCGAGGCGGGTGGATCAGCTGAGGTCAGAATTTCAAGACCAGCCTGCTCAACATGGTGAAACCCTATCTCTACTAAAAATACAAAAAAATTAGCTGGGAGGGGTGGTGGGTACCTATAATCCCAGCTACTTGGGAGGCTGAGGCAGGAGAATCACTTGACCCAGGAGGCTGAGGTTGCAATGAGCCGAGATCACGCCATTGCACTCCAGCCTGGGCAACAAGAGTGAAAACCTGTCCCCACCACAAAAAAAAAAAAAAAAACTTTAATTCTTTTTACTTAATTCCCAACTTATGAACTATTATTCTATGTATTTTAATTATTCTTTTTAACCCATTAAGACATTGTTATTATTATTTTTTTATCAGTATTTGCTTAGATTCATCCACATATTTACCACTTTCTTTACTCTTCATTCCTTGTTTCTCAAACCTACCTGGTGGATCAAACATTATTCTGGATGTTTCTGTGAAGACAATTTTTAGATGTGATTAACATTTAATTGGTGGATTTTGAGTAAAGCAGACTACCATCCATAATGTGGGTGGGCCTTATCCAATCAGTTGAAGACCTTAATAGAATAAAACTACTAACGTCTTCTGAGCAAGAAAATTTCTGACACCAACCGACTGCCTTTGGACTCAAACTACAACTTTTCTCTGGGTCTCCAGCCTGCCAGCTACCCTGCATGTTTTGTATTTCGCAAGCCTCCATGATCACATGCACCAATTACTTAAAATAAACAGCTTTCTTATTCTCTCTCTCTCTCTTTCCTCTCTCTCTCTCTTTCTTCTCTCTCTCTCCCCCCTCCCCCTTTCCTCTCTCTCTCTCTTTCTCTCTCTCTCTGAACTGGGCACAAGCCCCGGAGAGCACATCTGTACAGAGAGGATAATCACATGTGCCAATTCCTTAAAATAAACAGCTCTTTCTTACTCTCTCTCTCTCTTTCCTCTCTCTCTCTCTCTCTCTCTTTCCTCTCTCTCTCTCTCTCTCTCTCTCTCTCTCTCTCTCTCTCTCTCTCTCTCTCTCTCTGAACTGGGCAGAAACCCGGAGAGCACATCTGTACAGATAGGAGCAGCAGGATGGAGGGCTTCAGAGGGCTGAGTCCAAGAAAAACTGAAATGGGTAGACTCTCTGTCTGGTTTGAGTGTGTGGAAAACTGTATTGCAGGCATTTGACATTACTCTTGCGGATGTGGGAACACTTAGTCATGAGTTTTAGGAAAACAACAAGTTGAAAACAAGGCAATTATTAACTCCAGGTAAAATAAGAAATTGTATAAGGCAGGAAAATATAATCACGGGACAATACTAGGTTCGGTACTAAACAATGTTTAAACAGTCACAACAATGAAATCTATGGATTTAACAAAAAATTGTAACGGTCTACATGGGAAGACCTCTTGTCTGAGGTTGCTAGCATTCTGCATCTGGGTGGCAGAAAGGAGCTTAGCATCTCATCACTCCATATACAACTTTCCTGTAACCTTTTCTTTTCAGTCTATTGTACCTAATGCCACTCTCTAGTTCTTCTCCTGAGAATATACTTCCATTTCCGCTGAAATGAGAGAGGATACCGGGGTAATAAGTGTTTCCTATTCCACATTTTAGATCAATCTCCTATTTTCAGTGCCTGCCACCTCCTTCCATTCCCATCTATCTTTTGTGGTACCTGGAGCCTCCAATTCATTCCTGAATATTTCCGTGCTTCTGCAATGCAATGAGCTTGTTTCTTCATGGCATTGCCCTGGATAGTCACTGAGGTTGGTCCCCTCCCTTCTGCTAAGTCACTTACCATATCTTCACTGTTTTCTTTTCTTTTTTTTATTTGAGACAGAGTCTCGCTCTGTCGCCCAGACTGGAGGGCAGTGGCGCGATCTCGGCTCACTGCAAGCTCCGCCTCCCGAGTTCACGCCATTCTCTCTCCTCAGCCTCCCGAGTAGCTGGGACTACAGGCGCCCGCCACCGCGTCCAGCTAATTTTGTTTTTGTATTTTAGTAGAGACGGGGTTTCACCGTGTTAGCCAGGATGGTCTCGATCTCCTGACCTCGTGATCCGCCCACCTCGGCCTCCCAAAGTGCTGGGATTACAGGCGTGAGCCACTGCGTCCGGCCAAATCTTCACTGTTTTCTAACTTCTGGAATATCTCCACGTTTCAAGGAAGATATAATTTAATTTTCCCTTTTTTTTTTCTTCTTTTGAGCTGATTTTTAAGAGGGGAAATGTTTTTTAATGTCACAATATTTAGACTGAAAGTCCATATTATTGCCAATATGTAAAATTCGGGAGATAGCACATGACAACCTGTGTTTCCATGAATTGGAAGATGTGGAAATCCTGGTCTAGCATTTCCACATGACAGCTGGCTGCAGCTGAGTGGCGGTCACTCCTTTCTAAAAGAGAACTGTAGCACCAGGCAGGGAGGTCACAGCTTCCACTATTTTCTGCTGACTAACATCTGGCCTTCTTCACTCATTGGTAGTAAGGGCCTTACCCTACTGGCATTTGAGTTTGTGAGCCCAGGCTTAAGGTATGACCACACAAGTGCAAGGCTGAAGTAGAATAGGGAAAAGATCTCTAGAAGAGATGGGACCAAGGAACTGAGAGGCAAGAGCATTGGATGGTCCACCCACATGGATGTTGAAATCATTCAAACTTATGCCAGGGGCCGGGTGCGGTGGCTCACGCCTGTAATCCCAGCACTTTGGGAGGCCGAGGCAGGTGGATCACGATGTCAGGAGATGGAGACCATCCTGGCTAACACGGTGAAACCCCGTCTCTACCAAAAATACAAAAAATTAGCCGGGCGTGGTGGTGGGCGCCTGTAATCCCAGCTACTCGGGAGGCTGAGGCAAGAGAATGGCGTGAACTCGGGAGGCGGAGCTTGCAGTGAACCGAGATCGGGCCACTGCAGTCCGGCCTGGGCGACAGACCGAGACTCCGTATCAAAAAAAAAAAAAAAAAAATTATGCCAGGAATAAAAGTGGAGAGGAAGGCAGTAAACGACAATAAAGAAGAGGGGAAAGGGGTAGGTAATATCCTTTAAGGGCATAAACTTCAGGGCAGCCAGTTTTTAGTTTTTTTTGGTTGTTTGGTTTGGTTTGGGCATGAGAAATAGCAAGGAATGGTTTAGAAGGGGCAGGACCAACAAGGAAGAAACTTACCCCAACCTCTGGCCTTTAGACATGTGGGGTGCAAGAGATAAAACACCTCCTGTCGAGGGCTGCCGAGGGCAGCATTGGGGCACTGAGGGCTGCCGAGGGCAGCTGAATTGGGGGACAGTCCAGCTTCAAGCAAAGATAGGAGCTGATGAGAATGTTCCAACAAAATGCTAAGGATGTAGAGTGGCTTGCTGTAGAAGAGAACAGAAAAGTTCAACCCAGGTAGTAAGGTAAAATATTGTTTTCAGAAGCTTTTGCTTCAGTTGTGTGTGTATGTGTGTGTGTGTGTGTGTGTCTGTATGTGTCTGTGTGTACGCCTGTATGTGTCTGTGTGTACTGTGCCACTATTTAACATGTACTTCTGGCCAGACACGGTGGCTCGCACCTGTAATCCCAGCACTTTGGGAGGCCGAGGCAGGTGCATCACTTGAGGTCAGGAGTTCGAGACCAGCCTGGCCAACATGGTGAAACCCTGTTTCTACTAATAATACAAAAATTAGCCGGGCATGGTGGTGGGCCCCTGTAATCCCAGCTACTTGGGAGGCTGAGGCAGGAGAATTGCTTGAGCCAAGGAAACAGAGGTTGCAGTGAGCCAAGATCACGCCACTGCACTCAAGCCTGGTTGACAGAGCAAGACTCCATCTAAAATAAAATAAAATAAAATATACTTCTAACTGTGCGTGGTAGTCAAAATAGGTGAAAGGATCTTGTTTTTGAGGAAGGTGGAGCAACAGGCTCAGGTGCTATAACCCTTGAGGTTGTATTCACTGGGAGGCAGGTTGGAAAAACACTACCTTGGACCTTGCATAGTGCCAATAGTAGCAGCTCCCACATTTTCCTTTGAAGCATTAACTATCATCTGAGAACTAATAGCGAATTTTTATTTCTTTGACTACATAAAATGATGTCAATTTTCCAGCTGTAATATTTATCTACATTGCATGCAAAACTCTGTTCTTTAGAAAAATGATATGCCTTATGACAAGTCATGAAGTCTTTCACTTTATATTAACATCCTGTCTCAAGTTCAACAAATATTTATTGGTTGCTTATGATACACCAGGCACTGTTCTGGGTGCAGGAGATAAAGGAGTGAACAAAACTGATAAAGCCATTTTTTCTTGGTGGGAAGTTTTCCTTCTTACCAATTTAATCTCTTTGCTTGTTATACTTCTATTTGATTTTCTGTTTCTTCTTGAGTCAATTTCAGTAGGTTGGTCTTTCTAGAAAGTTTTCTAATTCACGTAGGTAGGTCCTTCCCTCCTTCCCTCCCTCCCTCCCTTCTTTCTTTTCTTTCTTTCCCTCCTTCCTTCCTTTCTCTCTTTTTTTTCTTTCTTCCTTTTTTCTTTTCTTTCTTTCTTGCTTTCTTTCTTTCTCTCTCTCTTTCTTTTTTTTTTTGACAGAGTCTTGCTCTATCACCCAGGCTAAAGTATAGTGGTGCAATCTTAACTCACTGCAACCTCCACCTCCTGGGCTTAAGTGATCTTCCCACCTCAGCCTGCCGAGTAGCTGGGACAACATAATTTAGTATACTCCTTATAATCACTTTTGTTTCTGCAAGGTTGGTAGTAATGTCCCCTCTTTCAGTCCAAATTTAGTAATTTGAGTTCTCTCTCTCACTTGGTCAGTCTAGCTGAAGGTTTGTCATCTTTATTGATATTTAATACTTCCTAAGAACCAACTTTTGGTTTTGCTGATTTTCTCTGTTTTTTTATTCATCATTTCATTTATTTCTACTCTTAATCCTTATTTCCTTCCTTTTCCTTGCTTTGAGTTTATTCTGCTCCTCTTTCTAGTTGCTCAAAGTGAAAGATTAGGTTATACATTTATTTAAGATCCATTTTACCAATCTCTGTCTTTTGATGGGAATGCTTAGTACATTTACCTTTAATGTAATTAGTGGTAAGGTAGAATTTATGTCTGCCATTTTGCTATTTGCTTTCTATATGTCTTATATCTTGTTTTGTTCTATTCTTCTGTTACTGTTTTCTTTTGTGCTATATATTCTCTACTGTATCATTTTAATTTCCTTGTTATTTCTTGTATAACATTTTGAAAAAATCATTTTCTTAATAGTCATCCCGGGGATTACAATTAGCTTCTTAACTTAAAATAACCTAAGTAGTATTAATACTAACTTAATTTCTTTTTTTTTTCCTTTTTTCAAGACAGGGTCTCCTGCTGTTGCCCAGCCTGGAGTACAATGGCACAATCATGGTTCACTGCAGCCTCCATCTCCCAGGCTCAAGAGATCCTCCTACCTCAGCCTCCCAAGTAGCTGGGACTACAGGCACGTGCCACCATGCCTGGCTAATTTTTTATTTATTTATTTATTTATTTATTTATTTATTTTTCTAGAGATGAAGTCCCACTGTGTTGCCCAGGCTGGTCTCGAATTCCTGGGCTCAAGCAATTCTCCCACCTAGGCCTCCCAAAGTGCTGGGATTATAGGCATGAGCTACCGTGCCTTGCCTTAATCTCTCTCTTTTTTTTTTTTTTTTTTTTGAGATGGAGTCTTGCTCTGTCGCCCAGGCTGGAGTGCAGTGGTGAGATCTCAGCTCACTGCAAGCTCCACCTCCCGGGTTCACACCATTCTCCTGCCTCAGCCTCCCAAGTAGCTGGGACTACAGGCACCCACCACCAGGCCTGGCTAATTTTTTGTATTTTTAGTAGAGACGCAGTTTCATTGTGTTAGCCAGGATGGTCTTGATCTCCTGACCTCATGACCCACCTGCCTTGGCCTCCCAAAGTCCTGGGATTACAAGCGTGAGCCACCGCACCCAGCCGACTTGCCTTAATTTCAATAGCATGCCAAAACTATGCTCCAGTATACATCCACTCTGTCCCTCTTATCTTTGTAATATGATTGTCAAACAAATTGTATGTTTATACATTAAAAGCCTATCGACACAGCTCATAGCCATTGTTTTATGCAGTTGTGTTTTAAATCAGAGTGTTCAGATTTTTTAATTTAAAATTTTTTAATTTTAAAAATTAAAATAATTTTTTATATTCAATTGTGTAGTTATCAGAATCACTGCTCTTATTTTCTTTATGTGGATTTAAATTTCTAATATTCTTTCATTTCAGCCTGCAAGGTTCCCTTTGGTAATAGTGCATGTCTGCTAGTGATGATTTCATTCACTTTCTGTTTACCTGGAATGCCATAATTTCTCTTTCATTTTTGAAGGATATTTTTCCTTCCACCCTTTAAATATGATGTCTTCCCACCACCTTCTGACCTTCATGATTTATGATGAGAAGTCAGCTATTAAGCTTATTGAGGATCCTTTGTGTGTGATGAGTTGTTTTTCTTTTGCTGCTTTCAAAATTTTCTCATCATCTTTGGCTTTCAACAGTTTGACTATTATGTGTCTAGGTCACTACTTCAAGTTTTTTGAGCTCCTTGGATGGCAGATTACTGTTTTTCATAAAGTCTGGGAAGGCTATTTCTTCAAATATTCTTTGTATTCCTTTCTCTCTATCCTTTCCTTCTGGGACTTTATGTGCATGTTAATATACACATAAACTCATGGTTTCCCATAAGTCTCTGAGAATTTGTTCATTTTCTTCATTCTTTTTTCTTTCTGTTTCTCAGCCTGGATAATTTCAATTGAGCTATCTCCAAGTTCACTGCCTTTTGCTTCTACCAGTTCATATATGTTGTTATTGAGCTCCTCTAGAGAATTTTTTCATCTCACTCTTTGTACTTTTCAACTCCAGAGTTTCTATTTTTTAAAACTTCTGTTTATTGATATTATCTATTTAGTAAGACATCATTCTCACATTTTCCTTTAGTTCATTAGACATGGTTTCCTTTAGTTCTGTGAACATATTCATAATGGCTGATTTAAAGTCTTTGTTCAGTAAGTCCAATGCCTGGGATTCCTCAGGAATGGTTTCTATTAACTGCTTTTTCCTGCATATAGGCCATAATTTTGTTTCTTTGGATGTTGTGAACTTTTTTGTTGAGATCTGGATGTTTTGAACAATGTAATGTGACAACTCTAGAAATCATATCCCCTCCTCTCCACTGAGGTTTGTTGCTGGTTTAGTGACTTTGCTGGACTAATCTATAAAGTCTGTATTGTTTGTTGTGTGCAGCCATTAGAGTCTCTGCTTGGATAGTTTAGTGCTTAGCTAATGATTGAATGGATATTTTCTTAAATGCTTTGAGCCAATAAATCCCCTAGCTTTTGCTGAGAGGCTGTGTGTGCTGGGGCATGCCTTGCACATTGTGGTAGGTAGTTTACGATTCTTCCTTAGCCTTTATTTTCTGCATTGTACTGAAACTCAAGGTCAGACAGAGGTGAGAGATTAGAGTCTTCTTAGGTGTTTTTTGGGTGTGTTCACAGTCCTGCATGTACATGCATGTCCTGCATGAAATTCTGGATTCCTAGGTATATGTCAGAGCTTTTCAAGGAACTATATGGACTCTTATTGCCCATTTTTTTTTAACTTTTTTGGTTAGCTTCTTGTTAGTACCAAACAGTTTCACCACCACAGGTATCTGTGATGTTAAACAGTTGCAACTGATTGTTTTCAACAAATGCACCAGGGATAGGGCTGTTTGCACAGAGCAAGTTCTGAACCAGGTCAAATAAAGACAAACCCTGAGAATGGAACTTTTCAAGGTGCTTCCAGACAGGTCAAATAATGACAGTTTACTTAGTATGGGGCTTTTGAGAAGATCTAAACCTATTCTGCCCCATCCAGTGGCTGCTGGATGGTTTTCAAAGCTACTGTAGTTGTGAGGCTGTTGGCTTACTAGGCTACTGTAGAGCTGGAGAGAAGTAGTTGAGAATTGGGCAGATCAAAATGCCCTAAAGCTCACTGTACTCACCAAGATTCAGTAATTTTTCTTTAATAAATACTCCTTGGATTGTTGTGTTTGGTTAATTTCTGGAGTTGGTTTTAACTATTTTTGCCAGTGTACTCCCTTTTATGGAGAAGCAGATTTTCTACCACTCTAGAAGTGCTTCTCCCAGATTTATTTTTATTGCTTATTATCCTGAATAGGTCCCTCAGCTTCCAGGTGCCTAAATCTTTGAGCACAGTGTAGTATTTTCATCAAATATCTTACAATTATTATGACAAAGTAATGCAAAAGGCCAAACATATATTTGACATGGTGAGTATATAAAAACAGGCCTTGATGTTTCTTAAAAGTTCTGCTCCAAGGATGTCCTCTCCCCAGGGGAGTATACAACCGAAGTGTCAAAAACCTGCCAATTCCTCATTTTATGTGAGAGCTAAAATTTCTGGGTAAATGAAAGTGAAATATTTAGACCTGCTTTCCTACCTAAGTGACTGTGAAATCATGTTGGGAACCCAAACCCCAGGAAGATTGTGTTGTTTTAATCTTATGTGCTAATTAATTTGAAGATGAAGTATTTAAATAGAGGTGCAGGAGGGATAAACTGTGGAGGGAGGGGGTTAACACTTCTGCCTGGTGGATGCATAGGTGCTTATTATTGGTACTCTTCATATATACTATATATACACACATATATATAGTATGCATATATCCAAATAGGCATCCTTTGCTTTGCAGGTTCAGATATGACTGATGTCAGCTATTTAGTTAAATAACACCAGTATCTCAACAATATGGTTGAAATTTTAGTTACTGGATGGGGCATGGTGGCTCATGCCTATAATTGCAGCACTTTGAGAGGCTGAGGTGGGAGGATCGCTTGAGCCCAGGAGTTTGAGACTAGCCTGGGCAACATAGTGAGATCCCGTCTCTTCAAAAAATAAAAATACAAAAATTAGCCAGGCTTAGTGGTGTATGCCTGTAGTTCCAGCTACTTGGGAGGCCCAGGTGGGAAGATCGCTTGAGCCTGGGAGGTAGAGGCTCTAGTGAGCCATGATTGTGCCACTGCACTGCAGCCTGGGCAACAGCATGAGATCCTGTCTCAAAAACAAAACAAAGCAAAAACAAAAAAAACAAATTTTAGTTATCATGCTATTTTAGCTGTGAACAAACATAGTACAATCTTTGCTTCTAGCTCTTTAGTCCACAAAACCCTATGTAAACAATAGATGTCCATAACAACCAGTGACCAATCACAGCAGTTCTTTCAAAATCTGTCAGTGACGGGTCATTGCACTGTTAGTTTAGGCACTGGCAGCAAAGTGTGCAATTGTGTTGCTTCCTTTTCTCCAAGTGTTAAACTCACACAGCATTGTATAAAAATGAATAATTGAAAGGGAATTGGTCAACAAAGATGAAAGTGCAGCAAAGAAATAAAAAAATGGTAAAGATGGAATTGAAGTGAAATTCAAATTGAATGCAAATGAAGTACTATAGAAGAAATAGACAACTGTGGGAGTGCTGACTTTCCAGAGACTAGATATGCAGTCAGTGAAACTTACTCAAAGCACACTGAATGAGGAAAATGGCTGTGACTAAAAGGATGAGGATGTCCCGGAGGAAATGAGGTCCACAAAAACATTTTACATTAAAGGAACTCTCTGAGACATTGCATGGCATTGGAAGTGCAAAGGATAAAATACTTGCGTGTAATCCAAATGTGATGTTTTGCTAAAGTACAGAAAAGGTGGTATATAAGAGTTACACTAGAAGAAGACAAGCACTGTTCAAGTTATTCTTAATAAGCTTTATTTTTACAAACACAAAAAATACTTTAATTCTCAATGTTTGAATGTTTTAAACTGATTTTTTTTCATTTCCATATACAGGGTATTTGTAACCATCAGTTAAGCGAGTTTTGAATGGTTCTTTTGTTGTTGTTTGTTCTTTCCAAGACAAGGACTTGCTCTGTCACCCAGGCTGGAGTGCTGTGGTGCGACCTTGGCTCACTGCAACCTCGGCTTCCGGGGCTCAAGTGATTCTCCCCCCTCATTCTCCTGAGAAGCTGGGACTACAGGTGCACACCACCACGCCTGGCTAATTTTTTTTTTTTATTTTGTAGAGACCGGGTCTCACTGTGTTGCCCAGGGCTGGTCTCGAACTCCTGGGCTCATGCCATCTTCCCGTCTGGGCCTCCCAAAGTGCTGGGATTACAGGCGTGAGCCACCGTGCCCGGACTGCTTTGAATGTTTTGAGAAAAACTGTTTAAAGTCGTGAAACAATCTTAATTTTTCCCAGTGATTATTAAGGTAGTTTTGCATGGTTCAGTCATTTCCAGCGTCCAGAATTACCGTGCAAGCGAGGACTGCATGCGCGTGTAGTACGTATTCGCCATATGCATTATATGTCAATGTGAAGTCAACCACTTTGGGATAGAACACATCAATTGATAGTTACAAACCAACAGGCAGCGTCTCGTTTTTGTTGTTGTTGTTGTTTGTTTGTTTGTTTTAATCCGCGCTGGAAGTGTGCTGTTGGGATTCTCTTTGGGTGCTAACGGTTGAGAAGGAGCTCCTGCCAGCCGCTGAAAACACCGCGGCACGCGGGCGCAGGGCCTGGGCAGGGCGGCCGGCGCGCAGGTGGCCCGGCCTCGCCCAGCGGCTCCGGAGCGGGGGCCAAGCCAGCCCGGCCTCCCGCGAGACCCGCACCCGCCCACCGGAGCGCGCCGCCGGGCCACGGCCTGCAGGGGTGGAAGGGGCGGCGGCGGCGGGAGCTGCGGGCCACGCACGGCGGCGGCGGCGGGAGCGGCCGGGCACGCACGGCGACGGCGGCGGCGGGAGCGGGAGCCCAGGCCACGCACGGCCGCAGCTGCGGGTGCGGCGGGCGCGGGAGCGGTGGGAGCTGTGGTGGCGGCGGATGGCCCAGAGCTGATCTATGCGGCGCCTGGAGGGGCTGTGTCTGCGGCGGCGGCGGAGGCGGCGGGGCCCTGCCCGCGAGCGGAGCGGGGACAAGATGAAGTACCAGAAATACCTGACGGTGCTGCAGATGGCCATCGGCGTCACCCCCTCCAACCGCGGCAGCCTCCTGCCGCTCAAGAGGAAGCTGTGGTGAGGCGGCCGCGCGGGCGCGGAGCCCCAGCCGGGCTAGGCGCGGAGCGGGGCGGGGGCCGGAGTGGGAGAGCGAGCGGCGGCCGGGGCGGTCGGGCGGGGGGCGAGGCCGCGACTGTCGGGCCCGACGGGACGCGGGGCGCGCCGCGCGGGGCGCAGCAGCCAAGGCCGAGCCCAGGGCCGAGCGCCGCCTTGTACCGCGTGCCCGCTGACTGGTTTCGCCGAGACCCTCGCTGTGCCCGCGGCGCGTAGGGCGACGGGGAGCGGCCGGGACGCCTGGCACCCGCACCCGGGCGTCGGCCTCCCGCCTCTGTCTGTCCTTTCTGCTCCATTACGGCGGGTTCTGGCTCAGAATTTCCAGCCAGGCTCCCGCGGAGACAGCAGAAGAATTCATTGGTATCACGGTGTGCGTTTTCAGTTATTTTCCAAAAATTCGTCTGCTGCTGAGTGCATAGTAGAGGACGAGCAAGGCAAGGGGAATAAGTTGGGAAATTATTATTGCATTGTCAGGGACTGTATTCCACCTGCATGCGTTCCAGTTCCTCCGACCTGGAAACTGTTACTGAGGTAATGAGGAAAAAACACCCTTAAAGAAAAATGTCTGGACCTTACTGGTTTACGTTGCTGATTATCTACAGGATTGTATATTGCATTTTATTAATAATAATCCGTAATCCATGCGGAATCCCAGGAGCCACCTAGGTATGCCACTGGCTTGAGATTTAGGATTAAGATTCTTTTGCAAAAGAAATAACCTAGTAAAGGGAAGATGACTACAGAAAAAAGATGCCAGTTATGGCATTGGTCATTTTAATTTTAAAATTAGTGGTCAGTGTAGTTCATAAAGGTTTTATTCAATTCAATTGAGCACAGTCTAATTTAATCCTAAGGTTGTAGAGAAAGGAGATGAGGCTGCTTTTAGGTAATGAGGAAAGTAATTCCTGCTGTATAAGACAGTGTGAAAGAGTGATCCTTACCAAAAAAGTATATAGCGTGATCAGCCAAGAAAAAGATGGGTTAAGAAAAAGAATCCTAAAAGTGGAGAATTTTGAAGGTAAGACAAATATGGACAGCAAAGTTCAGAATTCAGTTGTGCCACTTACTGTGTGACCTTAAGTTCCTGGAGTGTCTGTTTCTTCCTCTGTAAAGTGAGAATCTTGTTATCTCCCTCATGGGGATATACACAGATCAACTCTGATAATGAATACAAAGGTGTCTACCACTGTGCTTGGCTTAATAATAGGTGCTTAGTAAATGTTAGTGTCTTTCTGCCCCCACCAATTTGTTTTTTTTTTTTTAAATAAATTTATTCTGCAAAAGATACTTTAATGTGCCGGGTATAGTGGCTCACACCTGTAATCCCAGCACTATGGGAGGTCGAGGCAGGCGTATCGCCTGAGGTCTGGAGTTCAAGACCAGCCTGACCAACATGGTGAAACCCCATCTCTACTAAATAAACAAACAAATAAACCAAAAAAATACAAAATTACCCGGGCATGGTGGTGTGTGGCTGTAATCTCAGCTACTTGGGAGGCTGAGGCAGGAGAATCGCTTGAACCCGGGAGGCAGAGGTTGCAGTGAGCCAAGGTCATGCCACTGCACTCCAGCCTGGGCGAGAGTGAGACTCCTATTTCAAAAAAAAAAAAAAAGATATTTTAATGTGATGAACAGCAAGTGACAACACTTAGAAGACAAGGTTAGCCACAGTTCAATTAAAACATGTCCGTGGGAGATGTTAGCAAATAAATGAAGACTGTCACTACAGTGAAGGAAGAAGGGGTAACATTTGAAGATCGCTTCTCAGATTGATGGTATATGGGGGTATGGGAAATATCAGCACCAGCAGTCATATCTCCCATTTTGCTTTTCTCCTGAGCCCTTATCAATAACTAACACATTGTTTATTTTACTTATTTTTCATATATATTCCCCTTCTCCTCACTAAAATGTAAGTTGCATGAGGGAGGGCTTTTGTTTGTTTCATCCATTACTGTAAAACCCCTGCAACGGATGTCTGGTACAAATGTACCAGAAAGCTTCTCAATAAATATTTGTTGAATAAATGGATTCTTAATAATTTGTGATTGGGAAATAATATGTTAGGAAATCTGTTTTCTTAATGTTCAGTTTAAAATTTTTTATTATTTATTTATTTATTTATTTATTTTGAAACAGTTTTGCTCTTCTTGCCCAGGCTGGAGTGCAATGGCAGATCTCGGCTCATTGCAACCTCCACTCCAGGATTCAAGTGATTCTCCTGCCTCAGCCTCCTGAGTAGCTGGGATTACAGGCGCCTACCACCACACCCGGCTAATATTTTGTATTTTTAGTACAGATGGGGCTTTACCATGTTGGTCAGGCTCGTCTCAAACTCCTGACGTTAGGTGATCCACCCACCTTGGCCTTCCAAAGTGCTGGGATTACAGGTGTGAGCCACTGCGCGCGGGCCAGTTTAAAAATCAAGATGTGGGAATAATATTTGAGGAATTATTAGACATCAATATTAGCAGCATTTGGTCACAAAGTTAGGAAACTATATTTATTCTTTTCCATCATTGGGGTTCTGCTTCTGAAAACACATTCTCTAAACACAGAATTTCTGAAGAGAGGACACAAGGAAATAAAATCCAGGTAACTTTTATATCCAAGCAATTCATGTTTGAGGTAGGCAGTGAGTTAGGGCCAGGGATAAAAACCATCTTACTAAGAGGCGGCCTGGAAAAGGCAAGAGGCTTTTGTTGAGCTTTTCCATGATCTTAGATAATCATTTCTTAATTTCCACTCATTGTTAACTTGCAAACATTCATCTGATTCTACAGCGGCAAAGGGAAGGGTATGCTCTATGAAGACTCTGGAGTGAGTGGCTCTTTTAAACAGAGGTGTAGAATACTTCATATTTTTAAGTTGGAGAACATTGTGCCGCCAGATTTATTTTTCTCTTATACGCTTTGGATTTATTTTTTAGATAATGTTTCATTTTGCTAGTTTCATAGCAACCGCACATGGAGCATTGGAGACATAAGGTACCATCATATGTCTAGAAGATAGTAGGATGTAGGTCCTGACTCTAGAGTGGTGGGTGGAAACCAATAGCAGACATCAACAATGCTTGTAAGACTTTGGAATGCACCAGCTTGTGCCTGTTTACAAATGTGAGGGCCTGACGTGGTGGCTCATACCTGTAATCTCAGCACTGTGAGAGACCAAGATGGGTGGACCACTTGAGGTCAGGAGGTCAATACCAGCCTGGTCAATATGGTGAAACCCTGTCTCTACTAAAAATATATAAAAATTAGCCAGGCATGGTGGTGTGTGCCTGTAATTCCAGCTACTCAAGAGGCTGAGGCAGGAGAATCGCTTGAACCTAGGAGGCGGAGGTTGCAGTGAGCCGAGATTGTACCATTGCACTCCAGCCTGGATGACAGAGCAAGACTCCATCTCAAAATAAATAAATAAATAAATAAATAAATGTGAGGATGTATTATGAAAACTGGTCAAGGCATATGTGAAGATTTATATGAAGATATTTATATATCTGTGTTTCTCTGTCTTTACTGCAGTCTATATGGAAAGGCTTCTGCCAGTGTAAAGGGCAGGGTTGCATGCCTTATTCCCACACTTCCATCTCGCTTGGGCATTTGTGCCTGTCAGTTTTTCTTTGTGCAATATCTCCTGTCTTTCTGATTGGCTCTACAAATCTCGTAAGGAGAATTATATTTGCAGACCAACTTAGGTGGAAACTAAAGCAGACAGTCAGACCCACATCAGTGGAGCCTGTAGGAACTCTCTTTTCCTCATCCCCTTCTTCAAGAAATTTAGAAAGTAGGGGCGTTTGCAGTGTTTGGTTCTGAATCATTACTTAGGAACACAGAACAAAGCCTGGTTACCTCTACCTGAGGTAGGTATAAGTTTGCAGAGCCTGCTGGCTTCCTTTGGGGGACATCCTGGAATTGCCAGCGATGAAAAGAAGCAGTGGGGCTTTGTGTTTTCAGGGGCTGCTGTAACAGATCACATAAACTTGGTGGCTGAAAACAACAGAAATTTATTTTCTGAGTTATGGAGGCTAGAAGTCCAAAATCAAGGTGTTGGCAGGGTCACACTCCCTCAAATGCTGTAGGGGAGGATCCTTCCTTGCCTCTTTCGAACATTCTTTGTGGCTGCATCAATCCATTCTCTGCTTCTGTCTTCACATGACCTTCTCTGTGTCTCTGTGTCTCTGTGTCTTCTCCTGTCTCTCTTTTTTTTAAAAGACTAAAACTTTTAATTTTTAATTTATTTCAAATTATAAACTAGGAACTCATAAAATAAATGCTCCATTTTATAATATGATGTATACATATGCAGACAGATTCTTCTGCAGGCCATATTAGAATCTCCACTGCAACTAAAACAGCTCTCCTCTGACATCCTTGAGTCTTGCTTCCTTATTCCTCTGTCTCTTATAAGGACACTTGTCATTGGATTTAGGGCCCACCTGGATGATCCAGGATGATCTCATCTGGAGATCTTTAATTACATCAGCAAAGACTTTGTTTCTAAACATGGTAACATTCTAAGTAAGGTGACATTTATGCTGCTGTTCTGCAGGTATGAGGCACAAATAATAGTTACTCCTTTTTAATGTAAAATGTGAAAAATATTTTCATAATTTATTGCTATCAGCAGTCTTGAGTTTTGCACTAAGTGCTTTAAGAGTATTTACAGTGGGCTGGGCACAGTGGCTCACACCTGTAATCCCAACACTTTGGAAGGCTGAGGCGGGCAGATTACAAGGTCAAGAGATCGAGACCATCCTGGCCAACATGGTGAAACCCTGTCTCTACTAAAAATACAAAAATTAGCTGGGCGTGATGGCGCGTACCTGTAGTCCCAGCTGCTCGGGAGGCTGAGACAGAAGAATCGCTTGAACCCAGGAGGTGGAGGTTGCAGTGAGCCGAGATCATGCCACTGCACCCCAGCCTGGCAACAGAGCGAGACTCAGTCTCAAAAAGAAAAAAGTATTTACAGTGATCTTAGGGAGAAAAGGGGGTGTGATTTCATTTTCTTTATACTCTAAAAACATTTCCCCAGTTATTTGATTCAGTGATTATTTAAGGCCATGCACTATCAGTATATTCATTCAAGTAGTCATCTAATAATCAGATTCCAAAAACAATAAGAGTTGCTATTCATTGAGCTATTACTTGCTGCACTCTATATTAGTGCTTTCCAAGTATCTTGTCATTATTTAACTTATAGCACCCCATGAGGCTGTATTTTCTCAGTTTTACAAATTAGGTCATTGACTTGCTCAGACTCATACAATTGATCAAGGTTTAAAAGACAATTGATCAGTGAGATGACAGTCTAGAAGGAGAGAATAACTGAAAACAGATACTAAAATGACTGGTAATTGCCCGATAGAAGGTTGTTTCTCCAAGGGTGGTCCCCCGGCCCACTCATGGATCACTGAGGTCCTCCGTTGGGACGTGAAGGGCTCCAATACCCAAGTCCTTTCATAATTTTTTCTTTTTTTGAGACGAAGTTTCACTCTTGTCACCCAGGCTGGAGTGCAATGGCGCGATCTCAGCTCACTGCAACCTCCGCCTCCCGGGTGCAAGTGATTCTTCTGCCTCAGCCTCCTAAGTAGCTGGGATTACAGGTGCCCACCACCACACCTGGCTAATTTTTTATATTTTTAGTAGAGACGGGGTTTCACCATGTTGGCCAGGCTGGTCTCAAACTCCTGACCTTCAGGTGATCCACCCACCTTGGCCTCCCAAAGTGCTGGGATAACAGGCGTGAGCCACTGTGCCCAGCCCACAATTTTTTAAATGACCTAATTATTGGCAGTTGTGCACATTATTTTTTCTAAGTTCATCAGATGACTATTTACTGTTAACCTATTACATGAGTTATTAAGCTTTCTGAAGTCCAATGCTTATAAACAAAAATTAGCATTTTACTAGCTTTTCCTGAAGTGTCCTTCAGAAGGATTTAGCATCCTTTTAAAGCCAGCTGCCCTTCTGTACTTAGCAGTGTCTCACAGCTCCTTGGCTCACACTGTTGTTTGGAATTCCCCTCAAGTGGAGGAAGGGGACAGCTTTGCTGTCACTCATTAGCATTCTCTTCAGTTGGCTGTGGCTGTCAGTTGCTGGTATCTTAAAACGAATATCTTGTAGAAGGATTATTAGATGTTACTTTGTTGATAGATTTGTCCTTGTGTGACTGCTTTGTTTTTGCCATCTTGATTATTTTTGCCCGATTCTGTGTTATTATTGAGTTCTTTTCCACTGGAAATTAGAAATGGGTGGTGTAGATGAGCTTGGGAGTTGTTTGTCTTAGAATGGTCAGAAATATTTGTAGCCAAAGCTCCTGAGTTGGAAACAAAAGGAATGAATATCTGAGGCTTCCTGGGAACATTGGGCTTTCAAGGATGGGGAGTAGAAAAGCATTCCAGCAGAGGGAAGGGTGTGGGAGGGATGGTTGCAGAATGTCAAGAAGTTGTGCTGCACTGTGGTGCAAGTATTTTGGACTAGTGAAAATTTGTATCTCTGTCAGATTTAAATGACTTTGCTAAGGACCGAGTCCCATGTCAAAGATGTAGCAGTCCACATTTGGCCTGTAGCCAGCAGAGCGCCCAACAGAGCTTTGTAGGTGTGACATAATGGGTGGAGTTGGATTGGTGTATATCTTTCTCCTGCATGTCCTTGACCAGGGAAGATACATTCAAGGAACAAGAACTAAATGTTAACAGTTTTCTGGGTTGTTAATAATATTGGGGCAGGTGCTGGCTATCACCCAAATGAGGGTCTGTCTAGGAAGCTGTGCTGGAGCAGGCCACACTGGTCTGCAAGCCTCTGAGGGGATGCTTCCTCTCTTACCTCGGGAGCTATGATGGTGGAGGCTGCAGTGCAGACCAGACCTGTTCTAGCAGTGTCAGGTGAAGAGAAGGGAAATGGGCAGATCAAGTGGGGGACTGCCTCCAGGGGCCAGGCCTGTGGTCGGTGTTCATCCGGTAGGGGTAGGAAGTGGAACGAGAGGGTGGGCCCTGGACTTCAGCGTTTGATGCATATCAGCCATGCCCACAAGTAAAGTACACTCTCACGAGGGAAGTTACAAAGCAGGTGGAGAGAGGCAGAAGTTTTCTCCCCACCTTCCCTCTAGGGAGGATAAAATGGAATTAAGAATTAGGAAACTACTCGGGAGGCTGAGGCAGGAGAATGGCGTGAACCCGGGAAGCGGAGCTTGCAGTGAGCCGAGATTGCGCCACTGCAGTCCGCAGTCCGGCCTGGGCGACAGAGCGAGACTCCGTCTCAAAAAAAAAAAAAAAAAAAAAAAAAAGAATTAGGAAAAGTAAAACCTCATTGTAAGCTAAATATTGATTTCCCTACATCAGTTCCCAACTTTATTTCCCTGTCATAAAGGGCCATTCCCCTAAATATGCGGGGAATAATCCCTGAAGTCTGAGTTACTCAGCTCAGATCTGCACCATCAGGGCTGGGGAAGAGTAGTTCCAGGGGATTAAAAGAATTTATATTCCATGTCAAATGGAACTGTCCTTGGTGGGCTCTTTGTATAGCTCTTCTCACCTGAGTTACAGGTACACAGCTGTGTTCTTGTGAGTGTCCAGAAAACAATGAAACACACACGCCCCTCCCCAAGACAAATATTTTTAAAGACAGTAATAAACAAAAGAGAAGCAACATCTAAAATTCACCTATTCCTACAAGAGCACTTCTACTTACACCAGAGTTAATATTCTGCATTATTATCTAGATCAGTGTTTTTTCTTTTCTTTATTCCACACCAAACAAAGGGGGGTCATTATTGAGCCATATGCCTTTTAACAGTTTACCTCAGCTTCCCAAAGATCTGGTCAAAGCTTTAAAGTTCCTGAAGTTACTCTGTAGAAGCCTGGTTAAATTCTTAGACAAGGTACCATCTTCCTGTGGAGTCTGTGGGCAGGGTAGGTCCAGAGCTGATTTTCACCTGGTATACACCACTTTAGCGCTACTGATTATTACTTTTTTTTTTTTTTTTTTGAGACATGGTCTCACTCCATTTCCCAGACTGGAGTGCAGTGGTATGATCACCATTCGCTGCAACCTCGACGTCTTGGCCTTAGGTGATCTTCCCACCTCAGAGTCCCAAGTAGTTGGGACCCATAGGCATGTGCAATCCCGCCTGGCGAGTTTTTTTGTATTTTTTGTAGAGACGGGATCTCTCTATGTCGCCCAAGCTGGTCTCAAACTTCTGGGCTCAAGAGATCCTCATGTCTCGGCCTCCCAAAGTGCTGATATTACAGGCATGTTTTTATTATGATCCTGGTAGGGAGGGCAGTGGATCTATTCTTCTAGTTTTGTTTATGATCATTTTATTTTTCTGTTTTACTTTGTCACTGGATTTAGTATTACATTGAGTTAACCCTGGTAAATTTCTTGACTATCTGCCATTTATAAAATTTGGTAGATATAAATTTTTATTACAGGCTCTTTTAGGCTTCTAGATTTGGCATAAAGGGAGAATAGTGATGCCTTTCTAAGTCAGATGAGAGAAAAACTTACGAAGAACACTAGACAGATTTATTTATTTATATTAAATGTTTGCATTAATTTTCTAAAATATGATCACACCTACCAGCGCTATCAAAATAAAGTGAGAGAGAAATGAGAAGTTGATTTGTATTTAGTTTTATAACTCTATTTTTCTTTCCCATATGTCCTCTTTTGAATAAAGTTCATTGTTTTCATGGAAGCTTTTACCCTGTGGAGAAGAGAACAAAGCTGTACAATGTTTCTTTTTATCCTAAGAATCATGAAAGTGGCATCAGTAAAATTTTACTTTGGGAGGCCAATTGAAAGGAAGACGCCCTAGAAATTCAATGAAAGAAGAAAATTAATTTTTAAAGCTACGACAAAATTAATAATAATCTGAGTAAACAATAAAGAATGTCATCAGTGGACCCGTAATTTTGAGGACTCTTTGAAATGTAACTAGTAGGTAGGGATAGATCTGTTGAGAGAAAACGTTACAGTTGTCTGGAGCACTGGGGTCAGAGAGGCAGGGCTGTCCTAGAGGTAGCTACTGACTTGCAAGAGAAGCTGCCTCACAGACCTGGCAGCGTATCCCATCTCTCTGCCAGAGTTCCTGAAGGCAGGCCACAGTAGTCGCAGTGGGGAAATGGATGTTTTCCAATACAAATGTAAGTAGACATTAAAAATCACCAAACAATTCAAGAAAGCCAGTACCCAGAGAATTACCAAATTAAAACACAGAACTAACTCCTGAGAAAATAGAAAAACATTAGATGGTGATTTTCAGAAGAAAAAAAGGTTATTTTTGGAAAGATGCATGAGAATATTGCATTAATTAAAAAAATACTAGATACAGGCCAGGCGTGGTAGCTCACACCTGTAATCCCAGCACTTTGGAAGGCTGATGGTGGGCACATCACGAGGTCAGGAGATGGAGACCATCCTGGCTAACATGGTGAAACCCCGTCTCTACTAAAAATACAGAAAATTAGTCAGGTGTGGTGATGAGCGCCTGTAGTCCCAGCTGCCCGGGAGGCTGAGGCAGGAGAATGGCGTGAACCCAGGAGACGGAGCTTGCAGTGAGGTGAGATCGCGCCGCTGCACTCCAGCCTGGGAGGCACAGCGAGACTCCGACTCAAAAAAAAACAAAAAAAAAAAACTAGCTACTTTAGAAATTTAGAATTTACTGATTCATAGAAAAGACAATGGCTGAATTCACAAAACTAAAAAGCAAGTTTGCAATCTGGAGAAGTAAGTTAAAGAATCACAAAAGAGCAAAGAGATCAAAAGTATGAACAAGAAGCCAGGAAACCTGAACACTATTTCTAAGGGAAGTTGGGGCTTTTTGTAGGGATGTGGAGTTGCTGGGAAAGAAGGGGGAATGAAGACGTGCTAATGCCACTTCTTGTTTAGGAGGAGGTGAGCATACTCATGAGCCCTAGGTGTTGATAGGAAAATATGAGTTTATGTGTGTGTGTGTGTACATATACGTGTGTGATGGATACATATATAAAGATGTTAATGTACATGTGTGTATATAGCTAACTAGAGTTAGAGTTTCCCTAATAAGATGTATAACTTTCAAACTACTGAATGGAAAGGGAAAAAGGTCTTAGGGTGGTTGAGGACAAAGTAAACTCAATCATATTAATAAGGCAGAAACTTAAGAAGAAAGCATTAAACACAAAACAAGATGGCAGGAATAGATCTAAACATATGAGTAAAAACAATAAATTTGAATGGATTAAGTTTCTCTTAAAAGACATTAACCCTCAGATTGGGTAAAGAAAGAAAAAAATCCAGCTACATGCTACTTATCCAGAGTTAAAGGTACAACTTAAAAAAAAAAAAAACTAAAAAGAGAGAGAGACTTCGAACACTTGAAAATACAAACACAAGATAAATCAGGAAATGGTTAATATAAAAATGTAGATGGGAAAATTATCATCAGACAAAATGGCATTTAAGGTAAAATATTTAATTGGCATAGTCTTTTTATATGATAAAAGATTAAATCCCTAAGAAGATATGTGTCATAAACATCAAGACATCTAATAAAAAACAATTGAAATATAAAAAGCAAAAACTAAAAGACATAGATTAATTGACAAGTCCATGTTCAAGGTGGGAAATCCTACAATAGTCCTTTATACAGAATCAGCAGTTCAACAGACAAAAATATAATGAAGGACATGGAGAAGTTGAGTGATAAAAATAATAAAGTGATAAAGTTGCCCTTGTATTTAAGGACTCCCCCAAATGGGTATTCTCATATACTGTTGATGGAAGTGTAAATTTGTAAAGCTTTTTGGAAAGGTATTACCTATCAGCATGTAGGAAACTCCCATCTCTGACTCTGCCTTTCTACTTTGAGCAATCTTTCCTAACTAAATAATGCATTTGTACCCAAAGATGTTGCCAAGGATGTTCATTGCTGTATGGTTTGGTAACAAACATAGGAAAACAAACTAAATGCCCATTAGTAGGTGAATAGTTGAACAAATTATATTACATCTATGTTATGGGATACCATTTAGCCATTAAAAAGAGTGAAATAGTTCTGTATGGATTATTATGGGAAGAACGTTAAGATATATTAAGTGAAAAATGTAAGGTGCAGGACAATACACACAATTTGGTAAAAAAATTGAAAAGGAAATAAACACATCTGTATATAAGCATGAGCATTTGTCTGGGAGATTATACAATACAAACAACTGTTAATAGTGGTTGATTTTGGAAAAGGGGAGTTTGGGATGAGGGAGAAAAGGGCAGCTTTTACTTTCCATTTTTATATCTTTTTATACCCTTCAAATGTTTTAACTCTATGGATGTATTACTTTTATTCTAAACTGTAGCCATATCTAGTCTATTTTATGATATTTACTGTGTCTGTATGTATATGTATGAACATGTATTCCAGTGTGCACTTTATAGATGGCTTATACTATTTGCTACTTCTTCTTGTCTGTGTTTTCATGTTTCCATAATTATGCTGAATTAAGTGTGTGCTATCATGTTTAGATTTATGTTATTTTCATGCTTAACAAAACCATGCTGAACAGTATCTGTGATGGACACAATGATAGCTCACTTGTACTGGGTGTGCTAGGCACCGGACTGAGTGTTGAATAAATAACTGCCCAGAAGGAAGCAGATGCCCCTAAGTTACCTAGAAAACTTCAGTCTAATATTAATGGCTTCTTCAATAGTTGTAGAATTGATATTTAATGAATCTTTTTTTAAAAAAAACCTTATAAATGAGACAGGGTCTTACTCTTATCTCTCAGGCTGGAGTGCAGTGGTGGCTCACTGTAGCCTTGACCTCCCAGGCTCAAGCAATCCTCCCACCTCAGCCTTCCAAGCAGCTGGGACCACAGACATGCACCACCAGGACAGGCTAATTTTTTTATTCGTGTGTGTATATGTAGAGGCAGGGTCTCCCTGTATTGCCCAGGCTGGGCTCGAACCCCTGGGCTCAAGCGATCCTCCTGCCTTGGCCACTGAAAGTACTGAGATTACAAGGTGTGAGCCACCACCCACAGTCTAATAAATCTTAATGTTGTACTATTTGAATCCTGTCAAGATGTCTTAACTAGCTAAGAAATAGTTAGAAAGGGTATCTGATAGAATGTAGCTCTGCTGTGGTTCTTAGCTTTTTGGCTGGAAAAAGGAGTGTGACATTTCCAAAGCTGCCTTTGAGTAAATGCTTACCTCAAACTTGAGAAATGTGTTCACCTGTAAACCTGCCTTTTTAAGAATTTTTTTCTTTCTTGCAGGGTAACGCCATCCTCTGAAAATCCTAATGGTGCTACTTCTAGTGTCAGCCAAGGAAAACCCTCTTTAAGACGAATTAAAGGGAGATTACACAGAAGCAAAAGCCTTGATAGCATGGATTTCTGTGAGCTCACTGTAAGTGGACTGATCAATGCTTTTCTCATTTTTCCAAAGAGTATGAAAGTTTTTATTTTATTATTTTCATAAAAATGCAGCAGACTTATTTTGTGGCAGGCATTTTTTAATTTTAGAAATGGTTCACCCAACAGTTTACCAACCAGAATGTTTTCTTAACTAGCATGGATATGATAACATTGGTAAAATGGTTCATAATGATGATTCTGATCCAAATATGAAGATAGAGAAATGCTTCCTGACCTCTACAAGAAAAATTGATTTAAGTTCGATAGAGTATTAATGTGAATATCTTATAAAATCACAAATCCACATGTTAATATAAGTAGAGACTTAAGTGTCTGATTAACCCCAAACACCCAGCTTCCTGGTAGTGCCAGACAATAATTACTCTGATATTATTAGTACGGATCCCAATTCAGTTAATGATGGTGCTTTCTTTCTATTCTTTTTTTTTTTTTTTTTTTTTTTTTTTTTTAAAGAGCCAGGGTCTCCTTCTGTTGCCCTGACTGGAGTGCAGTGGTGCAATCATGGCTCACTGCAGCCTTGAACACCTGGGCTCATGTGATCCTCCCACATCAGCCTCCCAAGTAGTTGGGACTATAGGCGTGTGCCACTATGCCTGGCTAGTTTTTTAATATTTTGTAGAGATGGGGTCTCACTATGTTGCCCTGGCTGGTCTTGAACTCCTGGCACTTTCTTTTTATTCTAAGTGATTACATTAATGGTCATATTTTTTTCAAGGCCAAGTGACAGGTTCTTATTTCTCATATGGAAATGTGGTAAATTCATGCATGTTTTTGGAGGAACACTGGCACTTTCAGGCCCCACTTGAATAAAAAAGATACTGTAATGCCATAAAGCAAATACTAGAATTTTCTTTGCTGTAAAAAGGTTTTATTTCAATTGGTGTATCATAAGGTTCAATGGCAAATTAATGAATGTTTAGGTTATTTGGTAGACCTGATATGTTCATTTCTGTCCTTTGAGTTTTGAAAAATTTTGAATGATAAAGGTACCATCGGCCATTGTTTCAAAAAATGACATCAAAATATGAAACTAAATTCTGTCTTTTTCATCTCTTATCTATAACTACTGAAAATAAAAGCTCAGTAAATGTGAATACTCTATTATTATTATTTTTTTTTTTCTGAGATGGAGTCTTGCTCTGTTGCCCAGGCTAGAGTGCAGTGGCACGATCTCGGCTCACTGCAACCTCTGCTTCCCGGGTTCAAGCAATTCTCCTGCCTCAGCCTCCTGAGTAGCTGGGATTACAGGCGCCCGCCACCACGCCTGGGTAATTTTTTGTATTTTTAGTAGAGACAGGGTTTCACCATCTTGGCCAGGCTGGTCTCAAACTACTGACCTTGTGATCCACCCGCCTCGGCCTCCTAAATTGCTGGGATTACAGGCGTGAGCCACCGTGCCCGGCCAATACTCTATTTTTTTTACATTTATTTTAATTTGTTTACATTTATTTTACATGTATTTTTACATTTTTACTAAAATAATTTTATTCAAGCATTTTACCTTAAAATGTTCTTGAATGCTTTTATGACACAAGACATAAATAGGTAAAATGTGACCTACCAGAAGACATTTAACCAAGAACAGAAAAAGAATAAAAAGACAGTAAATTCTTGCTGAGTAGAACTAACAGTTAAGGTGACTAAAGAAAATATAAATGTACTTCAAAATGAAGTGAATTGCTTTTCAAAAGTGAAACATTGAATTAATCAAGAAACAAATTTAAATTATTTGTTGGAATATAAAAATGGAAATTTAAATTTTATCAGCTTTTTTTCTATTGTGCAAAACATTGTCATTACTGAAGCATAATCATATAACTAATTAATTTTACATGTCATAAAATATATTTATTTGCATAAACAGAATCATTCTGGTTGGTGGAGAGGTTATAATGTTTCTAGAATGTAGCAGACAAAAAGCTTTACAGAGAAAAAGATGGCCTTCAGTTTTCCACAAATAGAAATGACAAATAGAGCCATGTTTTTATCATAATAAATATGTTTTAAAATTATGGAGAGTTTATTTTCTCCCTCATTTCATGAAAGAATTGATCTGGTTGAAGTTAGTACACACTCCAAGCAGGGAAAAAATAATGCTACCCAGGTGCAGAATTAATTTCTTTCTTTTTGATGGTTTTTCTATTTGACTCTGTCTCAAAAGTGAAATGTCTTAGTATCCCTGAAGGGAGGCATTTTAACATTGATGTTAAAAGAGAGGAAAAGTTGAGGTTCACAGAAGGCTTATTCCAGGGAGGAGCTGTATGTTCTGGTGTAATGGTTCCCTTGGCTTCATGGACGATGTTGTTTTAAATTTTGGTTTTCTACTTCTGAAGAGTGCATTGAAAAGCCATGGACTTTGGTATGCTGACATTTCATTCCTCAGCAATGGGAATGTATTAATGAAGTCTAATTTCTGCAATTCATTTGAGTTTTTTGCAACTTGTGTTCATTTTCTTACTCAGGTTTTTGAGGTCATGCGTGGTGGAGCAACAATTTACATTTCCTGTATCTTACTCTGCATGTTTTTAGATTGTTAGAAATTTTCACAATGAGCATGTTTCATTTTTAGAAAAGCAATAACTGATTTTCCAAGCAATAAAAAAAATAAATAAGAAGAGCTTAACAGCTTGGCTCCTCCCACTTTCTACCATAAGATATGGCAATTAATACTGTAATACCCAAAATATGTAGGGGCATATAGCATTTCTGGCATGGGGCTAAAAACATTTTTTTCCCTACACTTTAAAAATTCTGTCTTTTTGGCCAGGCATGGTGGCTCACGTCTGTAATCCCAGCACTTTGGGAGGCCAAGGTGGGTGGATCACCTGAGGTCAGGAGTTTGAGACCAGCCTGGCCAACATGGCACAACCCCGTCTCTATTAAAAAGACAAAAATTAGCTGGGCATGGTGGCAGGTGCCTGTAATCACAGCTACTCGGGAGCCTGAGGCAGGAGAATGGCTTGAACTCGGGAGGTGGAGGTTGCAGTGAGCCAAGATGGTGCCACCGCACTCCAGTCTGGACGACAGAGCGAGACTCCGTTGCAAAAAAAAAAAAAAAAAAAAAAAAAAAAAAAATCTGTCTTCTTTTATGAAAGAAGGAAGAGGGGGGCTACACATTTGAAAAAAACATGGATTCGAAAAGGGTTTCTTAGAAGATGAAAGGTATTCAGAATTGTTTTTCTAAGGAAGTTGACTTTGTAATATAATCATGTAGAACCAATTTAAAACCTTAGCCACAGAAGTCTGAAGGGAAGGTATTTGGTAAAGGATCTGTAATGACTTCTAATTACATAGGAATAGAAATCTTTATTTCCTTTAGGAAGTACCTTAGCCACCATAGATACCACTTTGTAAATGTTCTTACAGTTCAAACAACTCTGAAAACTTTACACACTATTTTACAAATTTATTTAAAAATTCTGATTAAATGTATGACTCCCTATGACTGCCAAAGTAAATACAGAACCTTGAAATAGGAAAGCTTAGACTTAGTTAATAATCTCCTGGCATATATACATATCAAATTTGTATAACTAACAGAATAATATTTCTATTTTTATTTTTATATTTTACTTTTAATTTTTCCAAATTTGTCTAAGGAAAAATACAACTTTTATTGCTTTTAGAAAAACATAGCAAGTGGAGCAAGAGATCCACTTGCTGTAGTTTCCTGGTCCCAGTTTCTGGCTGAGAGGCCTCAGGTTCCAGCTGAGCCTGTTGGCTTTGGTCCCGGGCATCATCAGAATGATGCCATTTCACTCCTGGGGAGAAGTGATTGTTTCAGCTTTCTCTGTGGGGATTAAATGGGATGGGCATTCTAGTTCATTTTGTAACCCTGCAGGATAATTGATTGGCATCCTAGTTTACTGACAGGGATTGGAATCCATCCAGTCTCCCTGGTTCCTTGAGGCAGTGTCCCAGAGATGCTTGGTAAAATTCTCTTAGGCATAGCCTGGACTCAACAATTCTGTTCTGTGTATGTGTTTTGCCTAGAAAACCTGAGCCCTTCTTCAATGTTGTAATGAGTAAAATGGTACATAAACCAGATGGCAGGTTCTTTTTTTTCCCCCTGGGGGTGATAGACATATAACAATCAATATGAAAAAGAAAAGTGACCTTTTGTCTTTAGATTTAGTGAATGATGTTTACATTCCTAGCTGTTCCATTTCACTCTGGTGTTGGATTCTAAGTGTATAGTCAAAGAAGTTTAAGTGATAATTTAAAAATTTAACAAATTGCTTGAAATTTTGCAGCTTCTTTTATTAAACCTCCTTCCTAAAATAGGGGAATGGAGCCAGTTGGGTGAAGTTCATTCTGTTTGGGAGGAAGGTATTCTAGAACATAAACTTAGGCAGTTTATTTCCTGCTTTGTGGGTGTAAATCTAGATTGCTGCTTATCTCTCTGCCAACAGAAAAATACTACAAAAAGTTTTGTGCAGTGAATAGAAACAATGATCCAATTAACAGTTTATGGTGATGTTCCCTTAACCTTGAGTGACAGGGGATTCAGTCATCACTGATAATCATTAGGCAAAAGGGATACATGTTTCAAAAACTTTAGAGGAGTTTTTGTCATTAGAGGGGGAAATATGTGAGAAGATATTATTTGGAATGTTACATTTGAGTACATTTTTGGGTTAATAAATCACATGTCACTGCTCCTTGAATAATTGTTTTGTTTTTTTAATAGCAGTGATTTTTTTTCGATTTGAAAAGACACTTCTTTCTCCTGATATAAAAAAGTATCTGGCCAGGCACGGAGGTTCATGCCTGTAATCCCAGCACTTTGGGAGGCCGAGGCGGGTGGATCTTCTGAGGTCAGGAGTTCGAGACCAGCCTGGTCAACCTGGTAAAACCCTGTCTCTACTAAAAATCCAAAAATTAGCTGGGCATGGTAGCGGGCACCTATAATCCCAGCTACTTGGGAGGCTGAGGCAGAAGAATCACTCGAACCCAGGAGGCAGAGGTTGCAGTGAGCCGAAATCATGCCATTGCACTCCAGCCTGGGTGACAGAGCAAGACTCCATCTCAAAAAAAAAGGAAAAGAAAAAAAGAGTATCCATGCAGACTAACAGGAAATATCTGTAACCCTGTGAAGATATCGAAGATGAAAAATTTCTCCTCCTCCCTCAACCCCTCATGTAATTGATGTAATTGATGCATGTAATTGATCAATTTAACTTATTTAACAAATGATTCTATGTGTGGCACTCACTAAATGCCACGCACTGTTCTAGGCACTTTAATTACATTAGCTATTTCCTCCTCATAACAACTTTGTCAATTAGATACAGCTATTACCATCAGCCTCATTTTACAGATAAGGATATGGGGTTACAGAATGTAACCTCGAGACTTCCTACTATGAGACTGGTGGGACCCTGAGAGGCCTCAGGGACCTGTTTTGACACAAAACTGCCTTTTGACTTTAAACACATCCTAAGTTTTTCTCCACCATGGGCGCCTGGCTGGTGAGAAGGGAGCTGGGCATGAAATGGTGAGAACACGGTAGAAAGAAAGTCCATGGAGGGACATGGACACCACTTCTGGGCTTCCCAGTTCTGTGGAAGGGACTGGCCCCTTCCCCCGTTCTCACTCCCACTCTTATCACCAGTTCTCCCATCACCAGTACGAGAGCCTGGAAGAAACTGCAGGGAGCATCATGGGCTCCTCTGCTCTGGGCACACGGTGATGATTGAGTGGTTATGGTGGTAGAAGTAGTGGTAGTGGTGGAGGTGGAGGTCATGGTGGAGGTGGAGTTGGTGGTGGAAGAGGAGGTGGTGGTGATGATGGTGTACTTATGGTGGTAGAAGTGGTGGTGGTTATGGTGGTGGAGGTAGAGGTGGTGGTAGTAGTGGTAATGGAGGTGGTGGTGGTGGCACAGGAAGTGGTGGTGAAGGAGGTGGTGGTGGTGGAGGTAGCGGTGGTGAAGGTGGAAGTGGAGGTGGTGGTCATAGAGGTGGTAGTGAAGGAGGTGGTGGTGGTGGAGGTAGCGGTGGTAAAGGTGGAGATGGAAGTGGTGGTGGTGGTGGTGGTGGAGGTGGTGGTTGTGGTGGTGGTGGAGGTGGTGGTGGAGGTGGTGGTTGTGGAGGTGGTGCTGGTGGTGGGAGGTGGTGGTGAAGGTGGAGGTGGAAGTGGTGGTTGTGGAGGTGGAGGTGGTGGAGGTAGAGGTGGAGGTGGTGGAGGTGGAGGTGGAGGTGGTGGTTGTGGAGGTGGAGGTGGTGGAGGTGGAGGTGGAGGTGGTGGTTGTGGAGGTGGTGGAGGTGGTGGTGGTGGTGGAGGTGGAGGTGGTGGTGGTGGAGGTGGTGGTTGTGGAGGTGGTGGAGGTGGTGGTGGTGGTGGAGGTGGAGGTGGTGGAGGTGGAGGTGGTGGTTGTGGAGGTGGTGGAGGTGGTGGTGGTGGTGGAGGTGGAGGTGGTGGTTGTGGAGGTGGTGGAGGTGGTGGTGGTGGTGGAGGTGGTGGTGGTGGTAGAGGTGGTTGCCGTTGTGGATGTGGAGGTGTTCGAGTGCGTGGGTGAGTGGTGGGGGTGAGTGAGTGCTTTGGTTGTGAGGGTGTGTGTGCGTGGGTGTGTGTGGGTGTGGAGGTGCGGGGGTGTTGGGGAGTGCGTGACTGCTGCCAGCCCTCTGAGCAAGTGTGCGTAGAGCGTGTAGTGTGTGATGATTGAGTGGTTATGGTGGTAGAAGTAGTGGTAGTGGTGGAGGTGGAGGTCATGGTGGAGGTGGAGTTGGTGGTGGAAGAGGAGGTGGTGGTGATGATGGTGTACTTATGGTGGTAGAAGTGGTGGTGGTTATGGTGGTGGAGGTAGAGGTGGTGGTAGTAGTGGTAATGGAGGTGGTGGTGGTGGCACAGGAAGTGGTGGTGAAGGAGGTGGTGGTGGTGGAGGTAGCGGTGGTGAAGGTGGAAGTGGAGGTGGTGGTCATAGAGGTGGTAGTGAAGGAGGTGGTGGTGGTGGAGGTAGCGGTGGTAAAGGTGGAGATGGAAGTGGTGGTGGTGGTGGTGGTGGAGGTGGTGGTTGTGGTGGTGGTGGAGGTGGTGGTGGAGGTGGTGGTTGTGGAGGTGGTGCTGGTGGTGGGAGGTGGTGGTGAAGGTGGAGGTGGAAGTGGTGGTTGTGGAGGTGGAGGTGGTGGAGGTAGAGGTGGAGGTGGTGGAGGTGGAGGTGGAGGTGGTGGTTGTGGAGGTGGAGGTGGTGGAGGTGGAGGTGGAGGTGGTGGTTGTGGAGGTGGTGGAGGTGGTGGTGGTGGTGGAGGTGGAGGTGGTGGTGGTGGAGGTGGTGGTTGTGGAGGTGGTGGAGGTGGTGGTGGTGGTGGAGGTGGAGGTGGTGGAGGTGGAGGTGGTGGTTGTGGAGGTGGTGGAGGTGGTGGTGGTGGTGGAGGTGGAGGTGGTGGTTGTGGAGGTGGTGGAGGTGGTGGTGGTGGTGGAGGTGGTGGTGGTGGTGGAGGTGGTGGTGGTGGTGGAGGTGGAGGTGGTGGTGGTGGAGGTGGAGGTGGTGGTGGTGGAGGTGGTGCTGGTTGTGGGAGGTGGTGGTGAAGGTGGAGGTGGAGGTGGTGGTTGTGGAGGTGGAGGTGGTGGTTGTGGAGGTGGAGGTGGTGGAGGTGCAGGCGGTGCTTCTGGAGGTGGAGGTGGTGGAGGTGGAGGTGGTGGTGGTGGTGGTGGAGGTGGTGGTGGTGGTGGAGGTGGTGGTGGTGGAGGTGGAGGTGGTGGTTGTGGAGGTGGAGGTGGTGGTTGTGGAGGTGGAGGTGGTGGTGGTGGAGGTGGAGGTGGTGGTGGTGGAGGTGGTGCTGGTTGTGGGAGGTGGTGGTGAAGGTGGAGGTGGAGGTGGTGGTTGTGGAGGTGGAGGTGGGGGTGGTGTTGTGTGTGTGTGGAGTGTGGTGGTGATGTAGCAGTGTGAAGATGTGTGGTGGAGGTGGTGGTTGTGGAGGTGGTGGAGGTAGTGGTGGTGAAAGTGGTGGTGGTGGTGGTGGAGGTGATGGCGGTGGAGGTGATGGAGGTGATGGAGGTGGTGGTGGTGGAGGTGGTGGAGGTAGTGGTGGTGAAAGTGGAGGTGGTGGTGGTGGAGGTGCTGGTGGTGGAGGTGATGGAGGTGGTGGTGGTGGAGGTAGTAGTGGAGGTGGTGAAGGTGGAGGTGGAGGTGGTGGTTGTAGAGGTGGAAGTGGTGGAGGTGGTGGTGAAGGAGTAGGTTGTGGTGGTAGAGGTGGTGGTGGAGGTGGCGGAGGTGATGGTGGTGGGTGTTTGTGAGGGTAGAAGTGGTGGAGGTGGTGGTGAAGGAGTAGGTTGTGATGGTAGAGGTGGTGGAGGGGGTGGTGGTGGTGGAGTTGGAAGAGGAGGAGGTGGTGGTGGAGGTGTTATTAGTAGTAGATGTGGAGGTAGAGAGTGATTGAGCCTTCTTCTCTTCTTACAGTGGGCTGAGTCTTTCACGTTCTGAGGTCGTTGAAATGTTCCTGTTTGCAAATAACAGAACACTAACTCAAACTGGTCTAAATAATAAAGATATTAAGTTATATACTAGAAGTTCTGCAGTAGGATGTTCTTCAGGGCTAATTGAATCCTGTGGGTCTGGTTCCATTTTCCTGGGATACTTTGCATCTCCCCTCCTCTGCGTAGGCTTCCTCGGTAGGCTTGTGCCATGCCATGGGCAGCAGTTCAGGCCTCACGTCCACAAGGATAAAGGCCAGGGGCAGTGTCTCTTTCTGTGGCTCTCTTTCAAGCATAGAAAACTTCCCCTAAAGTTCTCTTTCCTACTTCTCATTTCTGTCTCACTGGACCTTATGCTGGACCAGGCTCTGGCCTGGTGAATGTCATGTATTGATTTTCTTAGCTGGGTTCTTTGACCAAAGGAAAAGTCTGAGACTCCATAAATAATGGCCATAAGAATATAAAAGATAAAAGACATGGTATTAATAAGGTAAGACTGTTTAGGACAGGAGCAAATAAATAATCCTCAAATATCACTCAGTGCCTTTGGTTGATTGAATGATTGTCTTTTTTTTTTTTTTTTTGTGATGGAGTGTTGCTCTGTTGCCAGGCTGGAGTGTGATGGCACGATCTCGCCTCACTGCAACCTCCGCCTGCTGGGTTCAAGCGATTCTCCTGCCTCAGCAGGAGTGACTGGGACTACAGGCGGGCACCACCATGCCCAGCTAATTCTTGTCTTTTTAGTAGAGATGGGGTTTTACCATGTTGTCCAGGATGGTCTTGATCTCTTGACCTCGTGATCCGCCCACCTTGGCCTCCCAAAGTGCTGGGATTACAGGTGTGAGCCACCGTGCCCACCCAAATGATTGTCATTTAAAGTAAAGTAACAGGAGCATTTTTCTCTTGTAGCAAGGAGTGTGGGGGAAGGCAGCCCAGGGTTGGCACAGCTGTGCTGTGATGTTCCCAGAGACCAGCCTTCCGCACTGTTCCAGGCTGCCCTCGTTTTATAGGCCTCAGCCCTCATTCGTCCAGTCTCTAGGTGGCTGCTGTGACTCTGCCCTCACATGCTGTATTTCTAACAAAAATAATGGGGCAGAGTAAAGGGTCAGAAAACTTTCTCCTAGTGAAGCTTTGCCCTTTAGTTTCAGGGGAGATGCCCTCCCCAGGGACATCTCTCTACATCTCCTTGGCAAGAATTGCATCACATTGCCATTTTCTGTTCTAAGGGAGGGTGGAAAATGGGGAGTTTTGGTGGCACAGGCTCCTAGGGATGAAAATGGGTTCTGCTAGTAAGGAAGAAGGAGGAAACGGGTACTTTGTAGGTAACTAGCAGGGTCTGCTCCGCCAGACCTCCCAGCAAGTCTTTAACTCACAGACCAGAAAATTAATGCCACAGTAGAAGCCAACTCATAAATAGGTTAAATTATAGTTGCTGTCATGGCATTTTCAGAGATACGTATCTGAGGTGTCTGCATAATTCAAAATTCCTATGATTCTGAGACTATTTTTCCCATAGGACTCTCAATAAGCTACAAGTATGGTGGCTTATTTCTGTTTTCAGATAAATCGGTTTGCCATGGACCAGTAATAGACACACAGGTTAATTCACTCAGCCTGCCAGTTTAAAATTATGTAATTCTAGGTGCTTAGTTTTAATTTGGGACATTTGCATAATTTCAGGTGTGTTCATGAAGTGAGACTTTATTAATATTTTATGTTGCATGATTTAGATTTATACAACTAAAATTTGCATAAAATAATGACCACATTGTGTTCAGTTTACGAAGGCAGGAAAGTGAGTAATATATTTTAGAACAACAAAAAAATGCAGCCAAATGGTTAAAATACAAAAAGATTTAGTGCCTGCAGTAGCATTTTTAGTTAGACTTATGAAAACTTGTCTATCTAGGACAAATTGCTCCCCGAATTATCCCTCATTCAGGAAGTCTTGTTTTACTGTGCAACCTTACAGGATCCCTTATGTTAGAATTTGTGTGTTCATATTGCTTCCCCAATTTCTGACAGCTTATGTGCCATAAAATTAGATTGCTTCATAATACCTGGCATAATGTTAAGGGTTTGGTGCAGCTCAGTATAAATATTTGTCAAATGAATGAATAGATATGATTAAGTGAATAAATGGCCTTGCTGGCAGTTAGGCCATGAAAGGGGCACTGAAAATGGAAACAGAAATCGGCCTTTCCCTGTCCTTCATGGCCTTGACAAATTTAAAGAATTTTCAGCCTAGGTCCATCGAGTGTTTCTTCATGAGCAGATTCAGGCCATGCATCCTGGGAAGAAATACCACGGAAATGATGCTGTGCTTCTCAGAGCCTCGCATCAGGGCGCATGCCCTGAGGTTAACCTTGCTGGCCTGGGCATGTTGCGTCTGCCAGATTCTCTCACACTTAATTCACCATGTGGTCCTCTTGGTAATTCATTAGTATTTTGTGGTGAGATGTTTCAAGATTACACCAGTGTCTCTCATCAGACTTTCATCCACTAGCCCTGGCCTCCACGGATGACTCCTGCCCAAATCAGCCACGTCTATGCTGATTGCCAAATAGTGATTTCATATTCCTTTCATTCATTCTGCATTTATTAGTTGGCATTCCACTGTAGTAAAAAGCTTTCTCTTGTCTATTAATTTGCATTGTCATTCATTTCTTTGTAACAGTGTCAACTCGTGGAGACCTGTGATTTAGACAGTGGGAGCTCCTTCAGCCTGGCTCTCCTGATGTTGTGACATGTCCCTTTCAATCTTTGAACACTTCCTTGTTTTCTGCATATTGTGTTCCAGGTTTAGTTTATACTTTTGTTGCCCCAGTCCTGGAATAAGCCTTTTCTTCAAGGAGGCTCTGGTTCCCTTTGATGGAGTATTTAGAAACCGTGATGTAGGGGGTTCAGTGTGCTTATTTCTTTGATGTACTGTACATTTCTTCCAGGCCCTCTCAGCAGACAGCAGAAAAGATACAGTGAATATAAATGAACATGCAAGCACATATACATTATCATCTGTAACCTGTGTCCTTCTGTGTGTGTGCGTGTGTGTGTGTGTGTGTGTGTGTGTTTAATAGCCTTAAGTTCTCACTGGTACTCCTATTTCCGTTCCTTGCCTCATAGTTCTTTCTAGCTTTCCTCCCTTTCTGTGTTCCAGTAGTGAGAAACCTAGCTTTCCCTGTCCTCATCCCTTCATTTGTTGCTGTCAAACTTACTCTTGGCTCAGTGTAAGTAGTCTCCCAAGCACACTGATCCTCCTCTGCCCACCAGTGCCCAGTATCCTGGGCATTGGGTTTCGTGCTGCCATGGGCCTCCATGTGGCTTTGGGGGAATTCTTGGCAAGTGAGGTTTTAGTGAGAGAGAGTAGAGGAGCTCTTATCTCAAATGGAATGGTTTGAAGTAATGAAGTTTGTAGGGCAGTTTCAGCTTCTCGATAAGTACTTGTTGAAATCTCACCAACTGACTTGGCTATGTCTTTCTCTTTGGAAATTAGTGAAAAGAATATCAGCTGGTGATTCTTAGAATAAAAGTTCTTACTTTTTCCAGATTCTCCTAGCTAACATAATTCCTACTTAGGCACATACTTGTGCTACACGTTGTCTACACATGCACTGAACATTTGGCTCCAGTGTTAGGGCCTAGACCTTTTGGTCTTGGGGACATTTTGACCTGGCCCTTGTCTCCGTGACCATATACTTGAAACACCAGAGGGGAGTTACTCACCAGTGAGGAAGGTTAGTATGAGATCCCAAGTGATCACAAGTGTACAAGTATGTGGGAGGGTTGGATTTTTATTAAAGTAGACCAGTCCTGTAGAATATTTCATAATGACAATTCCTGGTAGAAATAGTCAACATAAAACAAGACAGACACTGGGTTAAGTGGCATAGTCAAACCTCATACAGTTGAAAAGCTGACAGAAGAAGTAAAATTAAAATTGACATTTGCTGATATTTAATACAGTAAAATTTGTTTTTGAATTCAGATCAACAAAAGAATGAAATATTCATGACAGATTTAAAATCTTCAGACTTTGATCCAGGTTATTGGACTTTATAAAATAAACAAAAAGCAGTTGCCAGTAGAGAGAATTCATAATGACAGAAGCTATAATTGGTAAATATTTGAAGTAGGTAAAATCCGATTGATTTAAAATTTACTTAGAAAAGCCTTATCTCAGTGAAAATAATTGCAGGAAAAGATCAGTTGAAGAAGGAAAAAATTAGCTGTTTCGTGTACTTTAGAGAAAATTGAACAAGGGATTATATTGGCTTTATGAAATTAAAATATTTTGTCAGTAAGATGTTGCCAGTGTTGGTGTAATTCCAATTCAGATATCTGTATTTATAAACATAGGGTCATAAATTCCTTGGTGCCCCCGTCCCCGTCCCCCCACCAACAAAAGCTGGTCACAGTATTCACTAGGTCAAAATTGTGATACTAAAAAGTCAAGGCCGGGCGCGGTGGCTCACGCCTGTAATCCCAGCACTTTGGGAGGCCAAGGCGGGTGGATCACGAGGTCAGGAGGTCGAGACCATCCTGGGTAACATGGTGAAACCCCGTCTCTACTAAAAATACAAAAAAAAATTAGCCGGGTGTGGTGGCGGGCGCCTGTAATCCCAGCTAGTCGGGAGGCAGAGGCAGGAGAGTGGCATGAACCCGGGAGGCGGAGCTTGCAGTGAGCCAAGATTGCACCACTGCACTCCAGCCTAGGCAACTGAGCAAGACTCTGTCTCAAAAATAAATAAAATAAATAAATAAATAAATAAATAAATTTAAAGTCAAGTACCTGTTTTCTAACGATTTTTAATTTTTACATACAAAATATTTCCTTTAAGTACCTTAACAGGTAGAAAATTTTTGTTTAGTCTTATTTAGTTTTGTGTGTGTGTTTTGTTTTAGATGGAGTCTCGCTCCGTCACCTAGGCTGGAGTGCAGTGGCACAATCTTGGCTCACTGCAACCTCTGCCTGCTGGGTTCAAGCAATTCTCCTCCCTCAGCCTCCTGAGTAGCTAGGACTACAGGCGCGCGCCACCATACCCAGCTAATTTTTGTATTTTTAGTAGAGACGGGGTTTCACCATTTTGGCCAGGCTGGTCTCAAACTCCTGACCTCAGATGATCTGCCCACCTTGGCCTCCCAAAGTGCTAGGATTACAGGCATAAGCCACCATGCTTGGCCTGAAAATATTGCCTTTTTTTTTTTTTTTTTTTTTGAGATGGAGTCTCACTGTTGTCAGCCTGGGCTGGAATGCAGTGGCACAATCTCGGCTCACTGCAACATCCACCTCCCAGTTCCAGCAATTCTCCTGCCTCAGCCTCCTGAGTAGCTGAGATTACAGGCGCACGCCACCATGCCCAGCTAATTTTTGTGTTTTCAGTAGAGACGAGGTTTCACCATGTTGGCCAGGCTAGTCTCAAACTCCTGACCTCATGATCCACCCGCCTCGGCCTCCCAAAGTGCTGGGATTACAGGCGTGAGCCACTGTGCCTGGCTGTGTTTTTAATAAATAGCAAAAGAAGCCAAAACTATAACTTGTAAAGTAGTCATTAGGTTTTCCCTAATTGCACACTTAGGGAAAGAAGGATTAGCTAAATTCATGGATTTGACTGAATGCATGTTTTAAAAAAGACCTTCTCCATCATCTTTTATGTCAAAAGAGGATGCCCACCCGCTCTCTCTCTTACACATATAAAATCCCTTGTGGCGATCTTCTAGTGTTACTTGGTGAGCTGGTGGTCTTGGTTTCACCAGTGTCTTATCACAGCTTGCAGTTATTTTATTTATTCTTTCATCTGTCTCCAGGAGAAAGTGCGCTCCATCAGAGCACAGGCCAGGGTAGTTTGTTCCTTCTTGTATCCTTGGTATGTGTGCAGCATATTGTTTTGTCCATAATGGGTGCTAAAGATTGTTGATTAACCAAAATACAGAGAGTATTCACTTAAAAAAAAGGAAGAAAAGAAAAATGACTTGGGAGTTGGTTCTTATAGGTGCTTATGAACAAGTCCCCTCCCTTGCAGGTCCCCCCGGGCCTGCCCTTGCCAGCCCCAGTTCACTGAGCATACAGCCTGTGTTGCTAACCTGGGTGTCAGTGAACTGCACGGGACATCAGAGTGTGCTGTGGCCCACTGCCAGCCCTCTGCGGAGGTACGCACCGCTGTGTGGTAAAGGAGTCTTCCAGAATTATCACCGTTATTAATCTTCCAAACGGAGAGGAGTCAGAGAGACTTGAGGCTCTTTTGCAGAAAAAGGAATCCAGCTATTTTTATAACTTTGGGAGTTCCAGAGGCCAGTCTGAATGCAGTTTGCCAATTGACAACTAATTGGTAGGAGATTTTTGCCCTTAATGGATACTTTCTTGATTAAACTGTGAATGTTCAGATATTTCTAAAGGAGTCTTCTAGACAACCTTGCAAGAACTCTTGTTTTAAAAAATGGTTGTAAGTACAAAGGCTGCAAAGACTCCATTCTTGTGAGTGGTACCGGCCTTCATCTCCACCTAGTGGGCTTTCTGGATCGGTTTTGCAGCTCAGTATTTTGTCTCCATTCCAGTTGACCTGTGCCATCATCTCTCATCTCTTCAGAGTTTCTTTTCATTAGCAACTGCTAGTTCGGGAGCTTATTGACTCTGACTTTAGGCAGAATTTTATTCATCAGAACTGAGAAGAAAATATAGGCCTTTTAGAAATTTGGGTCTTAATGAAAAGAATAGAGAAAATGTTATTTCAAAGAAGAGAATATTATGCGTTCAGTATTCTGGTTTAACAAATATTTTGTGAAGTCTCTCATGAAAGCAGTTCCTGGATTTTGCTTGACCCTCTCTGTCTAGGGCTGAGACGCAGCTCTGGTGGGCGGGCATGGAGACCGCAGCCACCTCTCCTCCCCATTTCTCCAGTCGCTTCCCTCCTCACGGCCTCTTCATGCAGACCAGTGCACCAGCCTCACACCCAGAGCAGTTTAAGCCTAACTTTAGGTTCATCTGAGACTCCCCTGTCCCATCACATGCAAACACATACACGCATGCACGCCATTGTCATCATCTTGTCTGCCTTTAAAATGGTCACAATCTAGTGGAGCCGGCAAAAATGTAAACAAACACGTGATACGTGTACAATGGTGGAGGCGGTGCAGAGTGCCTTGGGGGATAACGAAGTGCTCAAAGCTACTTTGTACATAAAGAATCACAAACAAGGTGGCTGGGAAACTGGATCTGGAAGGACTCATATGACTTTGTTGGGCAAAAAGTGGGGAGGTGTTGAGGGGGCAGAGGGGGGACCGGAGATGGAGCTCACACCAGCTGGTTGAAGGAAACTGCTGGTGGTTCCCAACCCTAGAGGTCTGTAGAGATGCCCCATGAGGGTGGCCTCAAGCCTCCTTCCCCCCTTCAGCCAGAGTAGCTCTGCTTTTATCTGTTCTACTGGAGGGTGAGGAGCACAGACCATTTTATTTGGGAAAAAGGATTTTACTGCTAGGATGGTTTTGTGAACAGAGAGAGGACTAAGGCAGGGCCAGGGAACCTCACCAGTGCATAGGCAGTCAGAAGGCGAGGGGCCAGCAAAGGAAACTCCTGGGTAGAGGCTGAAGAAGCGAACAGGGGAGTTTCTGGAAGGGAGGAGTGGTCCACGGAGATGTGTGTGGCCTCAAGCAGGTGGGGAAGGCAAAGGCAGCGTGGGCCTGCCTGCGGTCGTAGGAGGTCATTTGCAGAGGTGGAAGTAGAGTTCATCTTTTATTTTTGCTAACCTTGAAAGGAGGGATAATGTAATTTTTTTTTAATACATTCACAGAACAGAGAGACATCAGTGCTTCAAAATCTCCAGAGCTGATGGCATGTATTTTTGACAGTTTTCATGTATTTCTGACAGTTACAGCTCTCTTCCTCCCCCATCTGTGAAAGTGGCACAGTGCAGTGGACTCATCTCTGGGTGCTGTGGTTATGGTGGTCATCGGGGCAGGGGCGAGGGTGGGGGTCACTTGGAGGTGATTGGTGACATAGGCCATGGGCAGTGGGGTGGCAAGCAGGCCAGAGGAGGTTGAAAAATACAGAAATATAAAGATAGAATGCCTTCCTGTGTGTTGAATGAGTCGATTTATGGAAGTCATTCTTTTTTATCTAATATGGATCTGCTTCAGCTTTTCAGAGATGATCTTAGATTATTTCATTACTTTTCAGTCAGTGATTAGAATCATTTGATCACCACGTTTGTTATGGAACAGTAAATCATCCCTGAGGAACATATAAATAACATAGTGAATCTGTCTGTATGCACACACACGTAATTTCAAGTATAGATAGAAAATTGGTTGTATTTGTCTTGAAACAGATACCATTCTGTTCCCAAAAGTCTAAATGAAAGCAGCTTAGTTCATCTGGTTATTATATGACTGCTGAGCATTAGAATGAAAAATGGACATTTCAGAATATGTTGTTTTCTATCTCTACACATGTTCTTTTTTGGGTAAGTCCTACATTTTGTAGTAGCTAATGTTTCGTGAGGCCTGACTGTGTACCTGGTGCAGAAGGGGAGGGCCACCTGTGACATGGGCACACGCTCTGTGTGCTGGCTCTGGGCAGGCTTTATAAACCAAGAGGAAAGGAATCACTTTGTCTCCCCTATGATTTACTCTTTTCTTTCCTATGGCAGGTGGAGAAGTGAATGCTATAGTTAAGTTCTTTCTAGTTATGACTTTGTAGGTTAGAGGAAGGCCCATTCCTCCGAACCTGACTTGGATGCTGTCATAAACCCCACCCAGTCTTCCCCCAGAATATCTTACGGCCTGCTTATTCTGGAAGTCTCACAATGAGAGTCACTAATAGGCTTGACAGTGGCTCTATTTCCAGAGTTTGTTATTCAAGTGCATGGTGTCTTAATGCTTTTTGCCTGCTATAACATAATATCATAAACTGGGGGGTTGGGGGGTTATAAACAACAGAAGTTTATTTCTCATGGTTCTGGAGTCTGGGATGACCAAGATCAGGCCATCGCAGATTTGGTGTCTGGGGAGGCCCACTTCCTGGTAGACAGACATCATCTCATTGAGTCCTCACATGGTGAAAGGGCAAACAAGCTCTCTTAGGCCTTTTTTGTAAGGGCACTAATCCCATTCATGAGGGCTCCAGCCCAGCACCTAATCACCTCCCAAAGGCCCCACCTCCTAATACCATCACTTTTGTGGTTAGGATTTCAACAAATGAATTTTGGAGGATGCAGACATTCTGACCATAGCACATGGTGTGTAGCTGGGTGGTATTTTTCCTTGCCTTCTCTTATGACTCACCAGCATTGCTGCCAGCTTTCACCTTCAGAGTCACTGAGCCTGTGCTAGGGGTTGGGGAGCAGAGTACAGGCTTGGGAAATGGCTAATGGTAAATCAGGTGTAGGCTCTGGTTTGGGCTGTGAACCAGAGGGAATTGAAGCATTCGCAGAGAGACTCCAGGCAGCTGGAGGTGGAAATGGAGGGTCACAGACTGCAGAGTGTGTACCAGGTGGAGAGAGAATAGCAAAAGCTCCAAGTGCCAAGATGCGTCCTTTGCCCCCAGTACTGACAGGGCACTATTATTTAGGAATAATGACTAAAAGATCGTATGTCATGAAGCATTACCAGGAAAGTAGAGTTGAGAGCAGGAAAGATGCCATTTAAATTGAGCCTCAGCATCATCTCAGAACTTGAATGTTCCGTGTTTGCTGCATCCGTGGGAGGGAACCTTACATAAGGCATTATGCAGACACAAGCTGTTGTCTCCATAATCCAGCAGTTATTAGTTGTGTGTTCACATTGTCCAAGACACTGAGCCTGGGAAAAAGGTATCCTTTCTGCTTAGTAGATGGTATCCTAAATCTTCCAACAGCCAGAAGTGGGCATTTAACATGGCAATTTCGGGGATGAACCTTCTCCCTTATGCCCCAGGGCAAGCTGGCCAGCTGTGCAAGACTTTCAGCCACATGGGGGCAGGGCTTTCTAGCGTGTGCAGTTAGGAAGCGTTGCCAAGTCCTGTTTGGGTCTCTTGTGGTTAAAATACTTTATTTCATTCTTGCTACGTCTTGCCCACCATAACTCTACTTAAATTTATGATGGATGGACTTTAATGTGGAGATGAAAGTGGGATAATCTTTCCAATTTAAAGTTATTTTCATTGTTCGAATTGCTGGAAGCAATTGATATTTTGAATGGTGTTACTTAGGGCAGAGTGGAAATTTCAGACACCCTGTGCTTATTCGAAGGTGATTTATATACCAAGAACTGTGATAACTGGGGGGTGGTAGTCGAATGACATAGTGCTCTGTTTTATAAGGACTTCCGTGCTGTCAGAAAGAAGTCAAGCTTTTTTTCTTGTTTACTTTCTGCAAGTAATTGGTCAAAATTCTTTGTTTAAAACTAGCTGTAAACTTGTACTACAAACGTGATTTTTGATGATTTCATAATTATGCTTTGATATCATTTTCATGTTTAATATAACATAAGCCATCTTTGTAAGCATTTATTAACTTTGTTTCTCCATTTTCTATTGTGTATTAATTTTTAAAAGATTTATTATAGAGAATTAAAACCATAAATTAGTTTTTAAAATGTTTTTATCTTTTTCCTTTTGCTCTAACTATATACTTTGACTTACTGCATTTTATTTAGGTGAGTCAGTCACCGACCTTCCCATACCATTGTGGCATGAAAAGTTTTGGGATTTACGTAATTCAATACATTCATGTTACTGCTGTTTACATTTTAAAAACCTGTTTTAACCTTAGGCTTCCACATAAATGTGATTCTTTTTATATGTCAAGTAGAACAAGCATATTACAGGTCCTGTATTCACAGCAGAATGTTGAAGATGGACTACTTAAATGCTTCAATTTCTTTTCCTCTTGAGTATGTTAAGTGAGATACAGTAAGATTGGTAAGACATGCTCTTGCTTTGAGGCAGGCCACATTTTAATTCATCTAATTTTTTTTAGTGTAACCTAGATTTAGCATTTGATAATTGAACTTCTTTTCTAGTGGATGGGAAATGCTTGCCTTTGTACTTTTCCACATCTAGGTATATTTTGAACCAGGGCAAAAGAACAGCCCAGCTGGAGCTCCTCAGTTATCAGGAGGGTCATTTTGGAAAAGCCTGGAGGGTCGCGCTGCTGCCCTTCTTGACTCATTCTCCAAATGAGGATTGTGTGAAGTACGACTCTGCATGTCACTGCATATCTTTGAGTGGGTCCGTGTTGTCTGCTTTAGGTTGGATACTTGTTCTGTCCGTGGCATCTGATGTTCAAATGGGCATTTCATAACTGCTTTTTAAAGCTGTTAAGTATTCTGTGTGGTACATTCATGAAGTTACTTTAGAACTAGTTGCTTTTAGCATGCCTTTTTCCCCTTAGTTTTCATTACAGAAGATAAAATATATAAATTTACTGCTATTTTTTCTCAGTATTTTCTTAGATTAGTTTTAGATTATGGTTTTTATTTTAAAATATAATTTTCAGTTCCTTTGTTTAAATGATATAAAATGAGAAAGCCAAGACTTTACCCAATAGAAACCAATACATTTGTAAGCCTGGGGATCCCCAAATGTTTGTTCAAGGTTTGGTTTTCTAGTGTATTACTATCTGATATTACTTTTTTAATTTGTTTTTGCCTGATTGAATGGTTTTACAAATACCATAGGTGGGACTCTTAAACAGAGATCTTCTCATGTTGTGTATAATATGTGGTTATGAAATATAATAGAGTCTATAATAGTAGTATGGTTTGCTAACCACTGAAAGAATTGTGTAAATTTCAGAACTTATAAATTTCATAACACTTATAAATATTATGGTTATAACACTTCACCATAACTTAAAATAAGTAGTTAATGAATTGCTTGTTATAACATGGGTGTTTGCCCATAGGTATGATGGGAAATTGGTTGGAGAAGGAAATGAAAGGAAACAAGAAACAAGGGATCCCAGGGTAAACGCGCCGAGCTGTGTAGCTGGACTCCACTGGGCTGCCAGCGTTCTAAATATATTTTCTAAGGGAACTTGATAAACCCAAGGTGGATCTTATGAACCCAGTAGAGCGGTCTGTAAGCAATAACAGTACTTCATTCCACTAGTTAGTGGTAGTGACATGAATTTGGGAGCACGGGGACCCCTAATAATTTGCGGGATTGAGATAAGGTTTGTACCCCCAGGGAAAAGGAGCTGGTGTCTTGTCAGGACACTGATTGGACATGAGTGCAGTAAGTGGGAGTTTAGTCAGACTGCAGTACCTGGAGTACTAATCTGAAACCAAGCCAAGAGTTGAGCAATCAGAACTGCAGATGTGGGGAAGAAAGCCTCAGTTTGGAGAGCCGGCGGGTGGCCCTGTAGATGCAGACACAGGAAGCCCAAAGGCTTGGTCAGGATGGCTTAGGAAGGTTCTGGGGCTGAAGAAACAAGAAACAAGGAATGAGCACAATGTCTACAACAGGCTGGACCGGGGAAGGCAGGCACTGACAGGTGCTGGCAACATAGAGGAGCTAGATGATGAAGACTGACTGGACGACTCTATTCAGTATTTAGTGGCGTGTTAATGTTCTCTATAGAAGTCTTTAATTTTTAACATGTGCCATTTTTTTTAAGTGGGAGAGTGTTGAGTATCTTTAGATGGCTGTGGAGAGTCTTCGAAGATACCAGAGGGAAAGGGAGAATGGAGGGCCCTGGTGCTGTAGGGATGGGACAGATGGATGGACTCTAGCGCATAGGAGGGAGGAAACCCCCAGCGAGGAGGGAACTCATATAGAGACCAGTTTGGGGTTGGGAGGTAGTTTCATTCCCTGAGTGGGCATTGAGATTGCCAGTTGAGGAAGAGGGAGAAGGTGGGGATGCTACAGAGAGGTGATGATGTAGGATTGCTGCTGAGGACCAGAAAAGGAGAGGGAACCCTGGCTAGGAACATGTTGAGGACTGTACCAGGGCCAGTCTGGTGTCACTCTCTCCAGCAAAGCACATCTGCCTGGGGGTGGCAGTGGAGAGCTGGCACTGCTGGTTTTGAAGGGTGGTATGTGGAGAAAGACAAAGGAAGGAAATAGTTGTGATTAAAGGTGAGAGGGTGATTGAAATGATGGCCCAGGAGACCAGATTGTTGATGCAAGGAGGTGAAGTCAGCAGGAACGGGGGTGTAGGGGACCTCTTGTGCAACACAAGAGCCTTGGCCTAAGCATTAGATGTGAGCATTTAAGAGATTGGCAGGGGAACTGTGGTGAGAAAGACCATGTATGGTTTTGGGATTGTGCTATAGGAATGGGGCAGGGATCAGGGTCATTCCAGGACTGGAAAAGCCAGGAATTTTGAAGTCCTTTGTAATGACCATAGGTGGTGAAGCAGGCATGAGAGTCTTCAGCAATTCCTGACTGTCCTGTCCTAGTCATGGCTAATTTCATGCTGCTCCGGCGACATTTCTAAAGCTACCAGCACCTCAAGGGAGGTGTAAGAATTTTAAGAAAATGCCTGGCAATGGTTGCTACAAGACACAAGGGCTTAGAGAGTTGTTCCTGTTTATTGGAACAGAGGAGGTGAATACAAAGTTTAGAAGGTAAATGTAAGGAATTTAAATTTGGTTGAAATTCAAGGAACATTTTGAGAATAAGGAACGCTTGAAAGAAAAAGATGTTCTGTGGAGGCAGTTTGAACTGATCAAAGAGTTGAATGCTAAATGTTCAAATGACCTAGGAGATCTACAAGTGTTACTGGTGAGTGTGAAAGCAAAGAGAAAAGAGTTCATGTGAGCAATAGAAGAAACATCTGTGGAACACGGAATAATGTGAATGTAGTAATTTCTTTGTGACTTGATTTTGACAGTCACTCTCCAGATATTTGAGAGAGATAATTCTCAGTTTCCCTCTGATGGCCTTGCTTTGTTATTACCTTAAAGACTTCCACATTTAACTTACTAATTTATTTTAACCTATATTAACTATTTCAGGAACTGAAATTGTTAAACATTTTGTAAATCTACAGTCAAATGAAAATCTTTGCAAACTTTGCTTCCTCAAGTCACATCAACCCTTCACACTACTCATAGCAAAGCTAATGGCTTTTGTCTCTAATATAAGTTTGTATTTGAAGTTGAAAACTACTTTAGAAGTTCCAAATATTTCAGTTGTAGGCTTTAGTTATGCATACACATAGAAGGTAAATGTTCTTTTTAGAATTTTATTACTCATAAATTTTAGATCCCTTTTTAAGAAGTAGTTAAGGAAGGAGGTCAATAAGCATTCTTGTTTCTCTGGTTTGTTGGCTTTATGACAGAGGATGTCTACATTAGTGTTTTAACTTGGCGTCATTCAAAGTGGGGCTGAGAAGGGAAGTGAGGGTTTGGATGTGGAAGGGATTGGGAAGATCACAGTGACAACCCAGCCCTACTTCTCAGTTACAAAAGGGCAACCTCAATATAAACTTAATGCCAATACTGTGAATCATTACATTCCTTGTTGAATCACAGATGTGTAGGAAAACATGGGTGGGGTATTTCACCGTGAATTGTTTTGCTCTTAATGCTGTACCTTAAACTGGCAATTATGCAATTGACCATGTAGCACAGAAACATTCAGTACAGGTAGCATGAACCAATATTTATTGACTAGCTACTACAGATGGACACTTGTATCATCAAAAAATAATATCAAAACAAATGAATATTTTGCTTATTTTAAGGAAACCGGAGTTTCTCAGTCATTTATGTCAGTGCTTAACTGGTTTGAAACATTCCCCATAGTTTCAGTTGTTTTGAAGCTTCACCCAAATACCAGTATTGGTTCTCATGTCATGGGTGAGTTGAAGCAAAGACATAATGAGGGATTTTTTTCGTCTCTTATAAGCCCTTAGGTATAGTTTAGTGTGGATGCTTCTTGATTTAAGTTGAGTTTTGTCCCGTGACGTACCTTGGTACTAAAATTACTAAGTTTACCTAGCCAGAGGTTTCTCCTGTCCTCTTCAGCTTGAACTATGTCTGTTGTGACCCCGGTTCTTTTCTCCTGTGTCAGATGACAAGTCATGATCCAGAACTCTTTTAAAGTCCATCCTCTCCCTCTGCTTTCAGGCATTTGTGTTTTTGTTTACTTCTCTCTTCCCAGCATCTTTAGTCTTTCAGTATACTGGGCTTCTCACCCAGAGAAGGTAGACAGATAACAGATCTCTAATATCTTGAAAAAAAGCTTGATTTGCCACCTTTCTTTCTGGCCAGATTTGTTGACTGTGTGGTGTAAATATGCACATATCCCTATCCCTTCAATCTGTTTTCTTTGCATTCCTGTAATCAGACGTTTACTCCACAGCCGTCTCTCTCAATTGTTAAATATGTTGGCCTTTTCTTAGGATTCATTCTCCTTAACTTCTTTTCAGGATTGGCAGTTGAATGTTATCTTCTTCTTGACATTCTTCCACAATATCCTGATTCTCCTCCTACCTATCTAATTGTACTTTCTCTTTTTTCAAGTTATTTTTCCCAACATATTATTCTGCTCCTTATTCTAATATTGTGTCCTCACTCTTATTTTCTTCCTACAATCTCTTCATCCAAGACTGAGTCTTAACTTTTATTGCTCTAAGCATGACCTCCCAAGTCAACATCCCCAGACCTCACCTCTTTCCTAAGCATTAGCTTGCATCATCTACTGACTGATGGATGTCATCACTTGAATAAGCCACCCTCACTTTGGACCCAGCTTGTTGTGCATCTATGTATATGTATTTATTAATAGAAACAAAGTAAAGAAAAAATCCAAAATATTGACAAAATGTGTGTGTGTGATGCATGAGGGATTTTTAATGATTTTTATGCTCTTTACATTTGTTTCTTTTTAATTTTAACATTTTAATTAAATATTTCAAATGTGTATTTTGATATCTTTACAAAATTCATAGTTACACATTATTTTATAATCATAAAAACAGTTCAAATGTATTAATCATTAAATTGTTTTCAATAGTTCTAATACTATTCAAAATCAGTGTTAGAATTCTGTGTTAGAAATTACAATAAGGAAAAGAATATTTTCAGTGAGCCTAAATAATTCATTTTTCAAAATGAAAACAAAAATGGAGGCTTTTCATACTTTTGAAAATAGTTGTTTGGAGAGAAGATTGTTGATTTGTAGGAGTTCTTTGTGTATTCTGTTATTAGTCCTTTGATGGTAATATACACTGGAAATGTCTTCTTGTCAGTAATTTTACCTTTTATTTTCTGCTTCTCGCTCATAATTTTAATGTAGTCATTTTATCAGTCTTTTATGGTTTCTTTTATTTTAATGTCTTGTTTTAAAAAACCCTTTTTTTTCCAGGTCATAAAGATGTTCTCCCATATTTTTTTTAAAGTTTTAAAGTTTGCTTTTTACATTTGAGTCTTTTATTCTGAAATTTAGTTTTTGGATGTGGCAAGAAGTAGAGATTGCTTTGTTATTTTCAATGTGGATTACCAGTTGTCTCAGCACCATATATTGGGTGTTTCATCCTTTCCATACTGATCTATAATACCATGTCTGTCAAATGCCAGGTTTCCATATATGTGTGGATTTGTTTCTCTCATATTTTCCCTTGGTCTGTTTACCTCTCCCTGTGTAGAAACCTGTCTTAGTTACTATAATTGTATAACAAATCTTGAAAGCTGGTATTGTCAGAGACGTGTGAACCAGAGCAACTCCATCTTGAATAGAGGCTGGGTAAAATGAGGCTGAGATTTACTGGGCTGCATTCCCAGACGGTTAAAGCATTCTAAGTCACAGGATGAGACAGGAGACAGCACAAGATACAGGTCATAAAGACCTTGCTGATAAAACAGGTTGCAGTAAAGAAGCCGCTAAATCCCACCAAAACCAAGATGGTCACAAGAGTGACTTCTGGTGGTCCTCACTACTACACTCCCACCAGCACCATGACAATTTACAGATGCCATAGCAACATCAGGAAGTTACCCTACATGGTGTAAAAAGGGTAGGCATGAATAATCCACCCCTTGTTTAGCATATATTCAAGAAGTAACCATAAAAATGGGCAACCAGCAGCCCTTGGGGCTGCTCTGTCTATAGAGTAGCCGTTCTTTTATTCCTTTACTTTCCTAATAAACTTGTTTTCACTTTACGGACTCACCTGAATTCTTTCTTGTGTGAGATCCAAGAACCCTCTCTTGGGGTCTGGATCGGGACTCCTTTCCTCTAACAGTAGGGCAAGTACTTTCCCACCTTAGGCGGTTCTTGAAAGTTGCCTTGGTTGTACTTGGCTCTTTGATCTTCTTTATACATTTTATAATTATCAATCTGTCAGATTCCACACAGAAAACCCTAGCAGGAGTTTGGAATTACATTGAACATATAGAATTAGAATGGGGAAAATTAATAACTTTATAATTTGGACTCGTTATATGTGAATAGAGTACATCTCTCTATTCTTCTAAAATTACTTTCAATAAAACTTTATGTTGTGTGACTAGTTTGATTTGTTATATAGTTTTTTTGCTGTTGTACATGACTTACAGTTGACCCTTGAACCATATGGGTTTGAACAGTGCGGCTCCACTTATATGCAGATTTTCTTTTGCCTCTGCCACCCCTGAGACAGCAAGATCAACCCCTCCTCTTCCTCCTCCTCTGTAGCCTACTCAATGTGAAGTCAACAAGAATGAAGACCTTTATATGATCCACTTCCACTTAATGAACAGTAACTATATTTTCTCTTCTATATGATTTTTTTAACAATATTTTCTTTCCTCTAGTTTATTGTAAGAATACGGTATATACATATAACATACAAAATATGTGTTAATCGACTATTTATGTTATTGGTAAGGCTTCTGGTCAACAGGAGGCTATTAGTAGTTAAGTTCTGGGGGGAGTCAGGAGTTATAGGTGGGTTTTTGACTGCATGAAGGTCAGCACTCCTAACGCTCACATTGTTCAAGTGTCAGCTGTATATTTTTATTTTTATGCTCATGTCTAGACATGTAACTGACTATTGTATTTTCAGGTTATAACCAGGAACCTTTCATTTTAATTCTAATAACTTATAGATTTTCTTAGTTATTCTGTGTAGACTTTCCTATTCTCTGCACATTATGACAGACTTGCCTCTTCCTTTCCAATCCTTACGCCAGTCCTTTTTGTCTTACTTCCATGTCAGGCACTTCAGCACAGTATTGAATGGAGGCTGTGATTGATAGTGGGCACCCTTATCTTAGTCCAGATTTTAAAGGGACTGCTGTATGTTTTTGTAGGTAGTCTTTATCAGGTTAGAGAAATCCTCTGTTGGTCTTGGTTTGCTAGGTGTTTGTATCAGGAATGAGTGTTGAATTTTAAAGAGTGATTTTCCTGTACCTGTTAAGATGATAATGCAGTTTTTCTCCTTTAGTCCGTCAATGTGATGAATTAAATAATCATACTAAAGTATTTTCTAGTATGATATTGTTTTGTGTTACTTGGATAACTTGTACTTGACAATGGTGTTGCCTAAGATTTTGTAAAATTGTATTTTCTAACATTTTATTTAGGTTTTTAAAATCTGTTAGTAAGTGAGATGTTCATGCTGTACTTGTTTGGCTTGGTTTTTGGGTTTTCTTAGCTTCATTATATGAGTTGGGAATAATTTCTTTTTCTGTCATCTGTAATAGTCTGTGTAAATAGAGATTATCTGCATTTTGAATGTTTGATATGATTTGCTGATAATACCATCTAGGGCAGGTGTCCAGGGTTTTATTTGTTTATTTTTAGTTTATTTTGAGGGAATAGGTTTTTAACTACTGGATCAATTTCTTTAGTAGGTTTGTTCAAGTTTTACATTTCTTCTTGACTGAATTTTAATGTTACTTATTTTTGGAATTGTCCACTTTTCCCTAAATTTTCAGTTGTATTGCATAAAGTTGTTCATAGTATTCTTTTTCAAAAATGTCAGCTGTATCTGTAGTTGTAATCATTTTTTCATTCCTATTTATGCCTTCTCTATTTTCCTGTAGTCTTTTCAAAAAGGCAGCTTTCAGTTTTGCTGCTGTTTTAAAAATCAGGATTTTTTTTTTGTTTCAAGTTTCATTAATTTCTGCCCCTGTTATCTTATACTCTTGTTCTTTTTCTGACTTCTTGAGTCATACATTTATTTATTTATTTATTTTTAATTTTATTTTGAGACAGAGTTTCGCCCTGTCACCCAGGCTGGAGTGCAGTGGCGCCATCTTAGCTCACTGCAACCGCCACCTCCCTGGTTCAAGCGATTCTTCTGCCTCAGCCTCCTGAGTAGCTGGAATTACAGACATGCACCGCCACACCCAGCTAACTTTTGTATTTTTAGTAGACATGGGATTTTGCCGTGTTGGCCAGGCTGGTATCAAACTTCTGACCTCATGTCATCCACTTCCCCCGGCCTCCCAAAGAGCTGGGACTACAGGCCTGAGCCACAGCACTCAGCCCGAGTCATACATTTAAATTATTGGTTTTCAGGCTTTCTTCTTTTCTAATACACACATAAAACTCCACATTTCTCTCTAAGTAGTGGTTTAGCTGAATCCCATATATTTCAATAGTTAGTGCTTTCATTGTCATTAAAGTTGTAAGTATTTCCTAATATCCTTTATGGTTTCATCTCTGACCTGTGATTTTTTAAAACTATGTCCATAAATTTCCAAGATTTTTTTTGTCCTTGATTTCTGATTTTATTGGGTTTAAATAATGTAAATTGTATGATAAAGATTCTTTGATCATTGTTGAAATTTGCATTTTTTCTTTTTCTTTAATGACTGTGGAGTTGAAAATAATGGGTTCTCTAGTTGGATCTACATATTTCCTTTAGATTGGGTTTATTGGTTGTTATTCAGCTTCTCTCTACTTGATCAATTAGTTTATTGAGACAAGTGTGTGTGTGTTTTGTTTTGGTTTTTTTTTGAGATGGAGTCTCATTCTGTCGCCCAGGCTGGAGTGCAATGGCGAGATCTCGGCTCACTGCAAGCTCCGCCTCCTGGGTTCACGCCATTCTCCTGTCTCAGCCTCCCGAGTAGCTGGGACTACAGGCGCCCACCACCACGCCCAGCTAATTTTTGAATTTTTAGTAGAGACGGGGTTTCACCGTGTTAGCCAGGATGGTCTCGATCTCCTGACCTCGTGATCTGCCCGCCTTGGCCTCCCAAAGTGCTGGGATTACAGGCGTGAGCCACCGTGCCCGGCCGACAAGTGTGTGTTTTAACTCTACTATTGTGAGAGTAAGATTATCTATTTTTCCTTCTAGTGATCAGATTTTGCGAGTAGGAGTTATCTTGTCTATGTCTCTTGATGTAGATGTGCATGAGTTTCTGTTGGATGTATAACCTTGCCATAGAGTCACTGCATCATAGGTTACACATATGTTCAGTTTTATTAGATATTGCCGAACAGTTCTAAAATGGCTTTAAACAATTTATAGTTGTACCAGCAGCTTATGAGAATTACTCAATATATTTAGCAACACTTGTCGTTGTCACTTAAAAAAATTTTTAGCCATCATAGTTGGGATGTACTAGTAGTTTATTTTAGTTTTAATATGCATCTCCCTAACTACTAATGATATTGAGCCTCTCTGCAAGTTTATTGGTTCGTCTTTTGGTTTACAGTTCTCTGCCAAAACAATCTCGTCTTTTATCTTGTTGAATATAGTAAACATAGTTCTTTTGCTCTAAATCTAGAGCAATTGTGGGTATGTTTCTGTTGCTTGTGGTGTCTACTAGTGGTTTTTTTTTTCTATATAATCTTGCCTGTTTGTATGCCTGGTTATTTTTGATTGAGTTATCTAAAGATTGAAAAAATGTAAAAATAAATTGAGGTCTAGGATGATAGATATTTCTCCTCCGAGATGGGTTTGTGTTTGTTTCTGGTGGGCACTTGGCAGCAGTAGCAATCTGGGTTAACATCAGTCCGATTTCAAGGACTGAAATGATTCAGAACTAAGCTGCAGTGCCTATGAGGGCCTGCCAACTTCTGGTTGGTCTTTGCTTTTAAAGAGTACCCCTTCAGGATCCCAGTCCAAATTAACCAAGCTCCCTGGCTTTCGGGGGCCTTGGATTCCAATTTATGTGCCTTCAGCCCTGGATGGAGTCCTTGTTGCTCAGCGATGCTCTCCAGAATCAGAAGGTGCCCCAAGGGGAAGATGGCCCCATATGCGTGGCTCACCTTCTCAGACCTCCATTCTTCCAGGATCTTGGCTTGGCCATTCTTTACCATCTTCTTGATTCTATAATGCCTTCAAGAAAATATCCTTTATATTTTTTCCAGTTGTGTTCAGAGGGGGAGTTAATCTGAATTATCTCATCCTTCAGTCTCAGAATCTAAATTCCTCCAGTATATTTATTTTTTCCTCTTTTTCTCTTAACCTCTGTGTATCTGCATGTGTCTCTATGGATTTTGTGGGGTTTACTTTTCTTTTTACATGGTCTAAATTTTCATCCAGTTAAGTGGACACATTTTATTTATTTATACTTGTGATTTATGATGTACTTGGATATATTTCTATCATATTTTTCTTTCCTTCCTTTTTTTGAGGCAGAGTCTTGCTTTGTCAGCCAGGCTGGAGTGCAGTGCTGTGATCTCAGCTCACTGCAACCTCTGCCTCCCAGGTTCAAACGATTCTCCTGCCTCAGCCTCCTGAATAGCTGGGATTACAGGCATGCGCCACCACGCCTAGCTAATTTTTGTATTTTTAGTACAGATGGGGTTTCACCATGTTGGCCAAGCTGGTCTTGAACTCTTGACCTCAGGTGATGCACCCACCTCACTATCATGTTTTTCTATGCTTTGTATTTACCTTTTGTTCCCTGGGATTTTTATTTCTTTGGGTCTTTAATAATTTCAAATGTACTCATTGTAGAACTTCTATCTGATAATTATATTATCTAGAGTTTTTTTTAAATTTCTGTAATTTACACAAGTAGCTTGAATACTAGGGTAATTTTTCAGGCAAGAGTTTTTCTTTTTATCTTTTTAACATTTATTTCAAAACGTGTCAGTCATTTTCACTACTAAAATCCAGAGAAGACACCAAAGTGAAGACAGGATTAGAAAATATGACCAGTGAAAAATAAATGAGAAACAGAAAATATGTCTTGAAAATATTCCTTACAATAAGAAGCAATCAAAAGTAGAAATCAAGATGAAGAAAGTAGAACCAGATTAGGTATTATTAAGTCATTGTCCGTCACACATATTAATTCATTTCTTGTCCCCAAATACTTTTTTTTTTTTTTTTTCTGAAATGGAGTTTTGCTCTTGTTACCCAGGCTGGAGTGCAATGGCGCAGTCTCGGCTCACTGCATCCTCCACCTCCCGGGTTCAAGCAATTCTCCTGCCTCAGCCTCCCGAGTAGCTGAGATTACAGGCATGCTCCACTATGTCCGGTTAATTTGTTGCATTTTTTTGTAGAGACGGTTTCACCATGTCGGCCAGACTGGTCTTGAACTCCTGACCTCAGGTGATCCACCCGCCTCGGTCTCCCAAAGTGCTAAGATTGCAAGTGTGAGCTTCTGCGCCTAGCTCTTGTTCCCAAATGCTTCTTTACTATTTGATAGGTTCATGTGGTTGTGGGATTTTTGACTGCTTGTGGGAATAAGGATAAAGATTATGCAGTAAAGCTCTTTTAAAAAAATATCAGCTTTTGCTTATAAACTCTAGACTTATTTACTGTACTTTAAAAGTTCACAAGAACACTTCTATTTCTTTCACCTCATTTTTATCCTTGTTTCTTTGGTTTTCATAAAGTCTGTTGTCTGAGCATAGAGCTTATTCCACTGGGGGGAGTGTGGGTCCTGGCATGGTGAGCTAACTGCTGCACTAGCTGGCGGCTCCCTCCCTCCAAGTCTTGCTGGCCACCAGGAGGTGCTGCTGAGGGGTCTGAAAGTGGCTGCGGGTTAGAGGGGATGCCCAGGCAAACATTACTGGAGGGAAAGATTAAGAGATGGCAGGGAACAGAGGATGCAGGCCACTAGAGAAAGGAGCTAATTTGTTTTTTATCTTTCTCTCTGTGACAGTCAAGATCTGCTTGTGTCAATAATGAAAAGCGTTGAACTTTACCCTTTCAATGTTGAATTTTATGGTCTGTGAAATATCCTTCCATAAAGCTGTAAAAATGGAAGATCTACCTGTCAGAAGAGCTGAAGGAGAATGTGTCAGAGACTGCTGACCTGCCTATGGACCCAGGAGCCTGCTGACTCAGTGTGACACATACCTTTAAGAACAGCCCATACTAGAAAAAAGGGTGCCTGTATTTGTGTATTTCTAAGAATAATGTCCCAGCCTCTTGGTGAATGCCACGGCTTAGAGGGTGTAACCTCCCTTTTGAAGATGAGGAAACTCAGGTATGGAAGTACTGAGTAGCTTTCTTGAGTAACCAGGAGAAGAAGAGGAGTAGCGCCTGAGTGTCTGCCCTCATGACCTCACCACACACGTGGTGGCAGATGTGCCAGAGTTGTCAGGGCTTCCCGATGCCCTCTGTCCTCAGTCCTCAAAGATGTGGGTGCTATCAGATCCTGGGCTGGAGAGCACTTGCTTCCTCATGCTGTGTGACATCTGGAACATGCTGTGAGAGTAGAATAAGAATTCCAAGTAAAATTATACAGTATATTCTGAAAGAAAGGTAAATTTTGCATACCCAGCCTGCAGAAAGTGTAACAGCTTGTGGTGACCAGGACTGGTTGCTGCCCCTCTGAATCACGCTTTAGACAAGTGGTTGGAAATTGTAGACTGCCACAACCCCTGGTTGTTTGCATAGCATAATCAGCTCTCTGATTATTTCCTGTGACTGGAGTGGGTTCAACAAGAAGATGCTACAGGGAACTGCTGGCACAGGTAGACACAGCCACCATTCCCATGGGATTAGCCTTGCTGTTCACAGCCACTGCATTCTGGGAGACTTCCTGCTCCAGCATTTCAGCAAAAGCTAAGAACCTTGGAATTTAAGCACTGAGACTATGGGGAGGAGTCAGAGCTGCCCCGTGGGCCTAGCCCCTACCAGCATTCCCAGCATTCCTTAGATAACAGCTAACTGCAGCTGACTTGCAAACCGGCCCTAGGTTAAGATCTCCGTTTAGGAGAGCAACCAAGTTGAATCTCATGGCTGAGATTTCTGGGAAAGAGCCTGTCATTAGCCCACCCCATCCCCAGATTAGCCCCTGCTCCTGAGACTAGGCAGTGTGGTCACATTACACCAAGACAGTGGCTCTCAAGGAAAGGGATGGTATTCAGAGAAGGCAGTAGGTGCTCCCACATCCATGTTGTTGTAGAAATGTATAATATACATAAAAGGGATCACATTATATATACACTTTTATGTTCTGCTTTATTCACTTATACATCATGAACACTCTATAGTTCATATTCTTTGAAAACATTTTAATGTCTTTTTGCTATCTCTTGTATGGGCATATTATGGTTTATTGATTCTTCTATTGTTAAACATTTAGATTTTTTGCAGTTTTTTCCAATTATAAAAATTATTGGCTGAGCATGGTGGCTCATCCGTGTAATCCCAGCATGTTGGGAGGCCGAGATGGGCAGATCACTTGAGCCCATCTCAGAGTTTTGAGACCAGCCTGAGGAACATGGCAAAACCCTGTCTCTACAAAAATTAGCTAGGTGTGGTGGCGTGTGCCTGTAGTCTCAGCTACTTGGGAGTCTGAGATGGGAGGATCATTTGAGCCCAGAGAGGTTGAGGCTGAAGTGAGCAGTGATTGTGCCACTGAACTCCAGTTTGGGTGACAGATTTAGTTTTTGTATTTCCTTATTAAAGGTTTCAAAAAGATCACCTCTGAATTAAAGGATAAGAAATTTTAGCTGTCATTATGTACTGTCAATATGTCAGATAGCTTTTTAGAAAGGTGGAGTAACAAATGAATATAGAGCTGATTTGTTGCATGCCAGTGGTGAAACTCACACACATTAGAATAACACATAGGCATGTTTAGCTGTAAGCATGAGGGTACTCAGGTGGCAGGGGTCACGCAAACATTCCACATATGGGAGAGCTTTTGGTTTTTAACAGCTTTATTGAGAGAATTTAAATGCCATACAATGCACTCATTTAAAGTGTACAATTCAGTGGCTTGTACTATATTCACAGAGTTGAATATACTACTACATGCATAGAGTTGAATATGCATCCATCACCACAGTCATGTTTAGAGTATTTTCATTACCAGCTGTCACCCCCTACTACCTCCATCCCAAGTCTGCAACCACTAATCTACTGTCTTTATAGATTTTCCTATTTGGGATATTCCATGTAAATAGAATCATATAATATATGGTCCTTTGTGTCTGGTCTTTGACTTTGCATGCTGTTTTTAAGGTTCATCCATGTTGTAGCATGTATCAATACTTCATTCCTGTTTATTGCTGATAGGAGAGCTTATATCACATCAGCAGAAGGGCCTGTGAGTCTGCGGTTAGAGAAAGGGAATTGAGGACCCATTTGGGAGCAGTGATCATGAATTATAGTGGCACTGATTTTCTTTATTATGTGACTTTCTCCAGCATCCTTACATTTTCAGTGACTGTAGCAGTAGTCATTTTTGTGAATGTACCTGTTTATTTACCCTATCCATTATTAGTGGATAAGTCTTTCCTAATCTTCACTCTTTTGAAAACTGCTTCAATAGATAGATCTTTGAACATTTATGTGATTGTCTTTTGTGGGTGAATTTCTAGAAATAGATTTGGTGGGTGAAGGGGTATGGTCAGTTTACATTTTGACACAGAGTGCCACTCTGCCTTCCCAAAAGCTGGAAGGAACTTGTCTTCATCACACTAAAAATGTCAGTCTTCTTAATCTGTGGTGATTTGCAGTGTGAAAAATTGTTCATTAGTGTTATTGTTAGCATTTTTTGCACTGTTCAGATTAAAGTTTTTTCATATGTGTTTTACCATTTGTGTTTTTTCTTTTAGAATTTATAAGGTTAGAAGTAAGTAGAAGTGTACATTTTTATGTAGCCAAGTATTTTATTTTTCAGTATTTCCTGCTGCTGCTTTAAGTTTAATTAAAATTTTAACAATATCTTGTTACTGTTAATTATCATTATTACACTGTTAACCTGTTTATTATCCCATTATGCTTTTCTTTGATTGTTCTGTTACCATTTCCTTTCTACTATTTTTCCTGTGGTTTATAATAACCATTTAATTTCTTTTAAACATGCCACCTTCAATGTTACTCTTCAAAATATTTATTCTTCTCAAGATAGAAGAAACTTACAACCCTCAATTAGACATTTTCTAACACAGCTAACCCTTGCATTTTCACACCAATTATTTCTTTCTACTTTAATTTTAGAAGACTCTAAACTGCTAACTGAAGATTTTCTTAGAAACTTAAAAACATAGCCCTTTACAAAAATGTTTATTTGCAGTCTAAGAGTTAGTTAATTTACAAATGAAAACTACTAAATATCAAATTAATAGACAGCAACTTTAGCTGTAGCTGACCTTTGCATTAATTTCTTATATTTTAATTTGCACAACTCTGCAAATACATTTGAAAACAGATTAAAAATTTTCTGTAGAGACATGACCTCACTATGTTGACCAGGCTGGTCTCAAACTCCTAGACTCAAGCAGTTCTCTCACCTCAGCCTCCCAAAGTGCTGGGATTACAGGCCTGGAGTTTAAGAGAGGCACACTGAAGAAGTCTGAGTTCCTTTAAAATACTTGAGCAAAGAATGAAAAGAAAAAGTCCGGGTGCGGTGGCTCACACCTGTAATCCCGACACTTTGGGAGCCTAGGGCGGATGGATCATCTAAGGTCAGGAGTTTGAGACCTGCCTGATCAACATGGTGAAACCCCGTCTCTACTAAAAACATGGAAAAATTAGCTGGGCGGGGTGGTGCATGCCTGTAATCCCAGCTACTCGGGAGGCTCAGGCAGGAGAATCACCTGAACCCAGGAGGCGGAGGTTGCAATGAGCCGAGATCGCGCCATTGTACTCCAGCCTGGGCAACGAGAGCAAAACTCCGTCATGGAAAAAAAAAAAAAAAGAAAGAAAGAAAAAGAAAAAAAATGGGATAATGAAGCAAATATGCCAGACTCTTGTTACTGTTGAGAATGGGTATATGTGGGTTCATTATACCATTCTCTCTTCTTTTGATTATATTTAAAATACTTCATAATAAAAACTGTTTAAGCTGTTGAAAAATATGATCCATCAAAATGAGAGTAAACTGAGCTATCTGGGAAGATGCAGCGGTGGAAAAGAGGGGATCCAGCAGGGGAGAGAAGCACAGGCAAGCCCACAGGAACCATGGCAGCAAAGCCCCGTGAGAGCTGTGCCCACACATCTCCTCCGTCCCTACTCGCAGCTCCAGATGAGCTTGCTGCAGGCAGGGGCTGTGAGGTTGTTTCCTGCCCCTGTGTTCCTCTTCCCTGACAGTGGCTGGCCCTGCAGGTTTGCAGGGAAGGTGCTGAGGGGGCTGATAAATCTCTGTTGGATACAGAAGCACCAGAAGTCACGGGGAAATGGAGGGTTTAGGTGTAGATACCTTCCTGAAGCGGAAGCACCTATGAGGCAGTGAGCTGGAATGAAAGGAATCTGGTCTGAAGAGATAGTTTAAGATCAAGGCAGGACTGTTTTAAGTGAGGTAAGGTCCAGGAGGTGACGGGAGAGTGCCGGCATTCAGAGGGCCAGGAAGCTTGAGGCTGGGTTGTTGAATTAATCATTCACATGGATATTGAAATAATCCAGGATGATGGGAGAGTCCCTCCCTCCCACTCTCCCTGACATTTTATTATGAAGATTTCAAAACTACAACAAAGCTGAAAGAATTTTACAGGGAACGCTCATATATCCAATACCTGAATTCTACCTTTATTCTTTTACTTTGTTTTATCACGTATCTGCCGATCCATCCATCTGTCCATTTCACATGTTTTACTCATTTCAAGTAAATTGCAGGCACCACTGTGTTTCCCTCACGCAGGAATGCTGAGGGTTAAATGTGGGGGTATTTTTAAACTGTTAGATATTATTGAAATACAGTGTTTTAAATCTAACTAAGATGTTCCTTGACTTCAGGTTGCGAATGATGACTCAATTCCTGAATCAGCTTCGGGAACGGAGCCAGACCCAGGTGGAGACTGGGCCACTCTAGTTCCCTTGCTCAGCAGGAGCAGCAGGGCTGTCACAGCAGCTTCCTCTGTGGGCATGCAGTGGCCGCTCCTCCCACTCAGCACCTTCGCCCCGCAGATGCAAATGCTCCTCTGCTCTTAGAACAAAACTGCAACCCCGAAGATAGGTAACGGAAAGGAGATTGCAGCGTTTGGAAGGGAAGGCTGAGGCGGCATATTCTGGCGGGGAACTAGTCATAATGCTAGTTATCCGATCGTTGAAACATCTTCTAGGTAGACTGTTCCATCCTTCAGTTTGCTTTTCTTTTCCCAAACGGTAATTGCTCCTAATCTGAGGTGGAGTAAGTCTAACCAAGTTCTAGTGCCTGTCTCTGACCCATGGGTAGCTAGAAAATTACAGCTCAAGGTGAAGTCTCAAGAGGAGTAGCCTTATATTTTGTGAAATGCTAAATAAAAAGATCTTCTGTTCTCATGAACCACTTACAACTTGGGCTTTATTTTTACCTGTATGGAAAACATGAAAAGTAACAAGAAAAACATGTTTACGTTTGGTTTTGACCTAGCACTGGTCTCTGAAGCAGGCCTCAGTGAGAGTTCGTACTGTAACTAACAGGCTCTGTGACCCTGGGCAGGTTCCTTACCTGGCAGTGCCCCAGTTTCGGCATCTGTGCATGATGGTGGTACCTGTTCTGCCTCTCTTGCTTGTGAAAATGCACAGAAAGAGCAGTGTAAGTGTCAGATGTTGTGTCTGCCTAGATGGCTTCAGGGCCTGGACTTACCACCTTAGCACTCAACCACTTGCATCCTTTCTGTCTTCTGGGGTCCCATCTCTCTTGCAGAGTCTTGTGTCGTCTCCCCACTGGGAAGGGGAAAGAGGACTGGCCCAATAGGGCCCCAGCCATGTGGTAATTGGGGCTGCTTAGCCCTGCCATCTGCCTCCAGGCAGAGTTGTTTCCCAGAGGGTCCAGAAGAAATGAACAGGCTGGGAGCAAGAGAAAATCTTGTCCATTGGAGAATGCCTGTCAGGAGGCCAGGCTGATGAGGGCAGCTGGTCCTGAAGTCCCTCTGCCTAAGAGCTCTCTCTCCAGACCCCCAAAATGCCCAGGGCTCTCTCCCTCACTGCACTCAGGTCTCCAAGGTCACCTCTGGTCTTTCCAGTCTAGCACTCCACCTGGTTACACTCTATCCCTTTTCCCTGCTTATTCTCCTCATAGGACATTACCTAACAAGGTATATTTGTTTATCGTCCCTCTCCCGCCTTAGAATGAAAACTGCACCAGGACAGGAACTTTTGTTTTTTTCACCTCTGTTCCCAGCACTTAGAAGGGAAGAGTGCCTGATACATAATAGACAAAAAACACTGTTGTATGACTGCATGAATCAATCAGAAACAAAGCTACAGACCCATAGTGTGAGGCCAGAAGCTTTCATCTCCTGTGCCCTTGTGCCCACCAACCTAATGCCCTCTGGGCCTGCTGCCCCTGTTCCTGGGACTTTTCTGCTCCTCTCCTCTGATGGAGACCTTGTTTGCCTCTTTTTTGATTCATGATTTGCTTAGGTACAGAATTCTAGCTTAAAAGGTATTGTTCTCTGAATTTGAAAAACATTGTTCTGCTCTAGCATCTGAATGTTGCTATTGAGACCTTTGATACTATTCTGTGTCCCAAACCTTTGCATGACCTGCTTTTTGCTCTGGAAGGTTTTAGCGTCTTTATTCCCGGCATGGTGACATTTCACCACGATGTGCCTTGTATGGTCTATTTTCATCTTTGCAAGCCTCTTGGAAGGCCCTTTGAATGTGGATACCAATATCGTTTTGGGAGGAAATATCTCCCGTAGTTTATTTGATAAACACCTTTCTTCTCTCTAGAAATCCTATAAATTTGCTGTTGGACCATCTTCATTGATTATTATCTTTTCTCTACTATGTTTGATCTCTCTTTTTACGCTATTTGCTGGGAAAGTTCTATGACTTTATTTTCCAACCCATCTAACCTTTTTTATTTATACTTTTTTTTTTGAGATATGTTCTCACTCTGTCACCCAGGCAGGAGTGCAGTGGCACAATCTCAGCTTACTGCAGCCTCGACCTCCCCAGGCTTAGGTGATCCTCCCATCTCAGCCTCCCGAGTAGCTGGAACTACAGGCATGTGCCGCCACACCTGGCTAATTTTTTTGTAATTTTTTGTAATGATGGGGTTTCGCCACATTGCCCAGGCTGGTCTGGGACTCCTGAGCTCAAACAACCCACCCGCCTTGGTCCCCCACAGTACTCGGATTACAGGCGTGAGTCACTGCTCCTGGCCTATACCATTTTAATTTTCAAGAGCCCTTCCTCCTTATTTATTTTGGTTTCTGTCTTTAACGTTGGGAAGTTTTCCTAAAAAGTCCTCTGATCCTTAGTTATCTGTTCACATGTAAGAGTGAGTCACTAGAAAGCAGGGATATAAAGATGTATTTGTACACCCAATTTCATAGCGGCGATATTCGCAATAGCCAAAAGGTGGAAGCAACCCAGGTGCCCACTGATGGATGAATGGATAAATAAAATGTGGTATATTCATACTATAGAGTGGTATTCAGCTTTAAAAAGGAAGGAAACTCTAACACATGCTACAACATGGATGGACCTTGAGGACATTATGCTGCGTGAAGTGAGTCAGTCATAAAAGGACAAATACTGGATGATTCTTCTTACATGAGGTACCTACAGTAGACAGAGTCATAGAGTAGAAAGTAGAATGGCAGGGGTTTGGGGGAAAGAGGGAGTGAGGAGTTAGTGTTTGATAAGTACAGAGTTTCAGTTTGGGAAGATGAAAAAGTCCCAGAGATGGATGGGGGTGACGGTTGCACAACAGTGTGAGTATACTTAATGTCGCTGAACTGTTTATTTTAAAATGGCTAACATGGTAAATTTTATGTTATGTGTATTTTACCACCAGAAAACCCAGTGAGTCACTAGGAAGCAAATTGGAAGCTCTTGAGCAAGCCAGCTCTTTTCCTGGGAGAAACTGTCTCTGCAGGTCAGGGGAGAAAGTGTCTGTGCAGGATCTGGGGATCCAAGTGTTGCATATGCTGGCATTCATTCACTCCCCTGTTCTCAGCCCTACACCCACCCTACTATTCCCTTTGTGGTTGGGTCCTGCTCCCCTAAGCCTGGAGCCTGGGTTGCAGAGCAAATTTGTTTCTGTGTGGTCTTCCCCTCTGTAGCCTCTGCTATTTCTCATCCTATAACTACTTCTGTATTCATTTTCCATCTTCTGAAAAGTGTTGCATCTCTTGTTCACTTGGATCTTTTCTTCTTTGTGGCCTTATATATTGTTTTTGGCAGGGGTTCAGGAGGGAGAGGAGGTAATACACATGTACTATCCACCCTTTTAATTAGAAGTTAGCTTAGGTATTTTTAATAGTAGTGAGCATGTAATTATGGATATAGCACTTTAATCTTTTGAATCCACTCACATACAAATGAAAATTCAAAATGCTTATTTCAGCTAGCGATTCAGTTTATCTTATTGTACACATCAGTGCAGCCACCACCTAGGAGCTGTGATGAAGATGTGGAGTCGGCATCTAAAACCAGTGAGCTATAGACACCTTCAAGGTCGTATCCTTTCGTTTACAGCTGAGCTAGCATAGCTGTGTGTCCTGATAGGACGAGACAGTTCTTAAAGAAAGCAGAAAACAACAATAATGAATACTTTATGGACCTTAATCTTAAATGTCTTCTATCCTTGTCAATTCTCTAAAGGGGTTGAAAAATACACCATGAAAGGTGGTGGTGGAGGGGGGGTTCTGTGTGCGTATGTGCACACGTGCATGTGTGTGTATTGGCAGGTGGAAGAGTGGATTAAGGGTAGGGCTTGAAAGGAAGTGGCTCTATGATGTCACAGCTCACTGTTTTGTAGTGGTTTATCCTAATTGTTTAGTTAATACTGTATAATGACATACTAAAATTAACCTGAGTTAGTTTTTAATCTAATTTATGATGAACATATATTAACATTTAGGTACATTTGCTCTATAAATGTGGGATCCATAAGAAAGAATCCCATCTTTGAATTGCAACCAAATATTTTAGAACAAGTAGGTCAGGTTGTATGGAGCTAATATAACTTGAGCAAAACTTCTAGGACTAGAGGAAATTGTATTTGTGCAACAACGTTTGCGTAGGGCTTTAAAATTCATGAAGCTCTGGTAGTTTCCATTTTGGCTTTCTATTGTAGGAAGTAAATGTAATTTTAATAGTACCTTTTTTTTTCTTTTTTAATTAAGGATGATGTTAGCCTCCAGTGAATTAAATGTAAGGGAGCTCATTACCCATTCAGGAAATCCAGTTCTGTCTTCTCAAGTTGCTCTGTTATGTTGAATCCTGTGTGTAAAGATCAAGTGCCAACCCAGAGCATTTCATAGGGCTTCTGAGACCTTACAAAAATGCTAGAGATATATTATATACTAATATATTGATATTTTAAGACACTGAAGAAAGAGCTATGATCTTTTTTTTTTTTTTTTTGAGACAGAGTCTTGCTCTTGTCGCACAGGCTGGAGTACAGTGGCGCAATCTCACTGCAACCTCCACCTCCCGAGTTCAGGTGATTTTGCTGCCTCAGCCTCCCGAGTAACTGGGATTACAGGTGCCTGCCACCACGCCCGGCTAATTTTTGTATTTTTTGTAGAGGCGGGGTTTCACCATGTTGGCCAGGCTGGTCTGAAAATCCTGACCTCAGGTGATCCGCCCGCCTTGGCCTAGTAATGTTTTTATAACGTGGATTTTAAAGCATCAGTTTTAAAAAGAGGACAGCTCCTCCAACTGAATACATTTTTCAAAAAACATGAATAAAGTAATTATTCAATAAAAGGACAAGTTTCTTATCAAATTTAATTTCAGTAGTTACAACTTGAATGTTTTACTCTCTAGTATCTTACATTGCCATATACCAAAACAAAGAAAGTAGTAGCTACATACTTTGCATTCAAATTTTAATTTTAAAAGTTTTTTGAAATGATCTTCAATATCTAAAATTTTGCAACTGGAATATAATTGATGACAAACACTAAGAAAGTGCTTTGCTAGAGCACTTCATATATTTATTCAGGCTCTAAATTCTTTTCTAGGTTGTATGAAATCTTACTGGGCAAACTGAAGGAAGATTTGGCAATGGTTAAGGTTTAAATCTTAGTATAAAATCCTTTTTAACAAGTAAAGCTAAATCTACATCACAGTAAATGAGATTGTATGGTTTGGAAATCATCTTTGATAAAGACCAGTAACAGAGCAATGATTTTCCAGTTGGAAGGGAGTTTAACTGGTAATGGGAGTGATGTTGGCTGACAGTGGGAGGTTGTTAAATTTATGTAGAAGAGGAATTGGGGAATCATTAGGTTTTTGGTTAATTCTTATAGTAGTTGGCCAGTAAACAGAATCTCAAAAAAAAATGATCCATATATTCCTTAAACATTTTATTTTAATTACATACACAGAAATGCACATTTACTCACCAGTTATTTGACAGAAGTCCCAGGCTATTTCTTTTAATATGGATCTGCCTTATTCCACATCTTTGTTTTTCTGTTAACCACAGCCGTATTACAGTTGGAAGGACTTAAGGACACCTGGAAATCTGGTAGATTTCTTTTTAACAATTTTCCTTCCTCCTTTTTACAGATAATGTCTTTCACACCTGATTTGGCAGCATTTTTTTTAGCAGTCTACCTCCATCATGCATTTCCAGAGTATTCATTGAACAACAGTTTTTTTGCAGTCATTTGTTGGTTACGGTAATATGTACAAATGAAACAGTGCAACTGACTGAGGTTGTATTGTTCACAGACCTCAGTTGGTGAGTGTGTGCCTGTGTGTGCATGCATGTGTGTGCGTGCGTGTGTGTGTGTATGTGTGTGTGTTGCAGGGTGTGGGAGAGGGGCCAGATGGCCCAAGCGTGCCGTAGTTCTCAGTGGGTGTGCTTGCTTTAGTGAGGAGACCCAGCAGAGCAGTGTGAGTGGAATTCAGGTGACAGCACTCTGCTATAAATTGAGGTATGAGCATTTAGGAAGCCTCAGATACTCTCCCCGGAGGTCTTTCTTCTCAGCCCTCTCGACTCCCATATGGTGACAGCCATATGTTCCCTGGAGCCTCCCTCCCTGGCCGTGGGGTTCTTTCTGCACAGGGCTGCTCCTACATGACTGAATCTGACACTCTTGCCCTGCCCTGATCACTTCATTACAGACAAGCTGAGAGCCCCTCACATCTTTGTATTTTCCAACCCCCATTATAGTATCTGGCTATGAATACAGATTTGTTGAACAAAATCTCACTGTCCTGCTGCTGCTTGGCTTTCTCCAGGCTTCCTGAGGTGGGGGTGCAGCTCTTTGGATCCCAGGGCCTCTGGAGGTCAAATGAGCTAACAGAGCAATTAGGGGAGCTCTATATAGCATCCCCTTTCAACTTCAGGCAAACGTTTATTTAATAAGCAAATGTTTACCAAAGAAACATAAATTTGCTCCATGATGTATGAAAACACCAGGGAAGAAACTATATTTATTTAAGGTGTAATCCATGCTAGTGAGTCGAATTTCTAACTTACAAAAATCCTCAAGTCATATGAAATGTTTTGTACGTTTAAAACATATTAATACTGTTTGGATGGCTATCTTCAGCTTATTCCAATACTATATGTTACATTCATTCCCTTGTGTGACAGAGGCAGATACCATCCCCCTGAGGTTTCCTAATGCCATGAGAATGTGGAAAGCAAGCCTCCGGAGAGCGAACTCACTCTGAGAAAGGCTTTGAAGATTGTTTTCTCATCTGCTTTTTATTTTCATATGCAAGTACGGTCCTCTGTAGTACATCTTATCTCTCTCTTTAGCCAGAAATACTTTGGCCCATAAAAATAGAAGAAAATCTCGAGCTAAGAGTGACACAAGTGCAGAGGTTAAATATTCAGTTCTTTGAAGTGAAATCATTTTTTTGTTCTTAGTGTAATGATACCCCTTTTCCTCCCTCTCCCTTCCTCTCCCTCAACACTTCCCAGGTCAGCAAGCTAGAAACTTTGTTGTCATCTTTAGATCCTCCCTCTCTCACTCTCACTCACTAGTTATTTTTAAGTCCAGAAATGCGATCTTCATAAGTGTCTCTGAATTTATTCTGCTCACTGCAAACTTAACTCCTGCTGCATCTTGATGCACTTGAACAATACAGTTCTTAAAGTTCTTAACCCTTTAGAGGTTATGAACTCCTTCAGTAGCTAATGAAAACCATAGACCCCCTTCTAGAAAAAGATGTGTGTATGTACAAATGTGTGTGCACATACACAATATTGCAACCATTTTAAGAAATTCACAGACCCCAATTAAGAAACCCTTGTAGGTCATTCTCCTGCCTCTGATACCTCCCACAACCAACAAATCCTCCATATTTTTATCAAGGTTATCTTTCCAAAATAGATTTAGTCATGTCAGTCCTTTGTCTAAACACTTTACTAACTTGCCATTGACTGTAGAATAAATTCTAGTGTATTTAATCTGGTCTTTTAAGTCCTCCGTATTCTACCCCCCTTTTTTTTTTTGTGATCCCCCTGCTTTCATGAACTATCTACTGCTCTATTTGCTATTCTCCACACCTGCTGTGAGTTTGTAGAACTTTTTGACTGCTTGTGCTGTCCTTGTCTCTAGGATATTTACCTTCTTGCCCTTCTTTTCTTCACTGTTGAGGGCTTTATTTTTTCAAGGCTCTGATGAAATGGTTGTTGTTCATGAGACTATCACTCCTCTATTAATCTCTGTTCGTCTCTGCTTCCTGCAATCCTGCAGAACTGTCTGCCTGAGCTGGCGCATCTACTAAGTTAAACCGTATGAAATTACTGATATTCAGCTGCTTTTAAAATTTATTTTTAAATTTACATACGGTAGCATTCACTCTATTTGGTGTACAGTTTCTGAGAGTTTTGATAAGTGCAATAAGTTATGTAACCACCACAATCAAAATTCAGAACAGTTCCATCACCTCCCAGAATATTTTTTCCAAGCTCCCTCTTTTTTTTTTTTTTTTTTTTTTGAGACAGAGTCTTGCTCTGTCTCCCAGGCTGGAGTGCAGTGGCATGATCTCAGCTCACTGTAACCTCTTCCTCCTGTAACTTCTGCCTCAGCCTCCTGAGTAGCTAGGATTACAGGCATGCACTACCACATCGGCTACTTTTTGTATTTTAGTAGAGACATGGTTTCACTATGTTGGCCAGGCTGGTCTCAAACTCCTGACCTTGTGATCCGCCTGTCTTGGCTTTCCAAAGTGCTGGGATTACAGGCGTGAGCCACCACTCCCGGCCCCAGGCTACCTCTTTGACTACAAATATTTCTGTTTTTCACCACAATTAACATAATTTTGTGTGGTTCTACCTAATATTTGATTCAAAACTAAATAGTTGTTTTCTTGTGGTTATGGACTGCCTATTTGTGTTAAAAATTCATATGTTGAAATCCTAACTCCCCGGTGCCATGGTATTAGGCGGTAGGACCTTTGGGAGGTGATTAGGCCGTGAGAGTAGAGCCTTCATGAATGGGCTTAGTGCCCTCATATGAAGAAGGGGACCAGTGCCTTTCTTTTCTCTCTCCACCATGTGAGGCACAGCAAAAAGCCATCTACAAAGCAGGAAGCGGGCCTCTCCAGGCATTAGATCTGCCAGAGCTGTAATGTTGGACTTCCCAGCCTCCAGAGCTGTGAGAAATAAATATTTGTTAAAGCCACCCAGTCTGTGGTATCTTGTTATAGGAGCCCAGGTGACTAAGACACTCATCTTTCTCCTCATTGGATTGCAAACTCCCCAATAATCCAAATCATGCCTTATTTTTCTATATCCCCATAACTCCTAACATAGATAAAGCCTGGTGCATTTTAAGTTCCCAGAGCCTGAGTCTTAGTTGAGTCAACAGAGGAATGCATGGTTAACAAAAATAATTATGAGATTTGCTTTCATTATGAGACTGAACTTCCGTGATATGGTTTGGCTCTGTTTCCCCATCCAAATCTCAAGTCAAATTATAATCCACAGTGTTGGAGGAGGGACCTGGTGGGAGGTAATTGGATCATAGGGGTGGATTTCCCCCTTGCTGTTCTCGTGACAGTGAGTTCTCACAAGATCTGGTTGTTTAAAAGTGTGTAGCACCTCCCCCTTTGCTCTCTCCTGCTGGCCATGTGAAGATGTGCATGCTTCCCCTTTGCCTTCCACCATGATTGTAAATTTCCTGAGACCTCCTCAGCCATGCTTCCTGTACAGCCCATGGAACCATGAGCCACTTAAACCTGTTTTCTTTATAAATTACCCAGTCTTAGGTAGTTTTTTATAGAAACATGAAGACAGACTAGTACATTCCCCCTTCTTATTTTCCTGCCTCTTCCTTCTTCTGCTGAATTTACTAATGGGTTCCATTATGCCTTGCCCGGTTCTTGAGATAGTCATTCTAGAAACAGCAACTCAGCTCTGTCAGCCTCTGGGTTTTGGAGTTAAGTTCTGAGACTGAGCAGATCTGGTGTGCTGTATGCCAGCTCTGAGCCTGAAGCATTGGGACCACCTCAGCTGCAGTGGGCAACTGCTGACATGACTGCATTTGAGTAGGTTTCATGAGAGATACCAATGCAGGTAAATGTATTGTAGAGGAATAAGGTGACTGAATCTTTAGCATATTATTTATTTGCATCTGCTCTCCCTAAGATCATCATAGTACAGCTTACTGCCTCCAGTGGTCTGAAAGCAACAGAGTTATCTGGAGCTAAAAGTATCAGCTAGTGAGTGTTAGAGGGGCACCCGTTGATGTACTCTTACCATGCAGGTGTATGTTCTCCTCTCCCTGTCTTTCAGGGCTCATTGATCATTTAATTCCACCTCAGATAATCTGTCACTCTCTTTTAGTTTACCCCATCACATATAATTGACAATGCAGAATCCGTGTATAAGTTGGGACTTCTCTGTGCTTGTAGCGTGTTATTTTTAGGAGAGGAGGTGATTACTCTCATATCATTAGAGTTATTGGGGAAGCAATTTTGTTAGTCATTATGCATATCAATAATTATACAAACTGATTTATGAGTGCATTTTTATCACTAGTATTATTAGTGCAGTTGTTAGAGCTCAACCACAAATATAATTACTTTCAACTTTAATGAAATATAGAATAATCTACATTCAGATAGTAAGAATAGTATTAATCACTGACAATAATTAAAATACACTTCTACATATAAACAGTGTTTAAAATGTAGAAGTAAACATGATACCAGACAATATTTTCAAAGTGGAAAGGCTAAGGGAGTGGTGAAAGTGTTTAAAAACAGGCCTGTGTTTAGGACTTCCTAGCGATAGGCTAAGCACCTTGGCAGAGAGTCAGGTATTGTAGCAATGAACTTGGGTGGAGTGAACCTAATAAAATCACTCTTTCCACTTTAGTGTTTAAAAATATAAACACACTTTGATGTTAAAGGAGAAAGTGAGTGTACATAGAAAATAAGTACTGTATTTATTTCTTCTCAGGTTTCTGTAACATTTCTTAGTATAAACGTTCTGTTTCTACTGCCGGCTATTGTTTTGCAAGGAAAATGGGTGTTAGATATCAATTTAGATTTGAGGAGGTGAGTAAAAGTTCAAACTATTTTTCCAGATAAGGTATTTTCTCCTGTGGTTTTTAATAGTACAAATAAACAAATATCACGTTGCCTTTTAGAGTGTTTTCTGATTTCAATGCAGATACGCAGTCCTCTGTGGAGCATAAATCTGGATCAGCCTAGAAACTCTGCTTAGACTGAGATAAGTGATGAAGACTTAAAGAATAATTAAAATTAAAAGCTAAGTTGGTTTCCCGCCTCTGCCTCCAACAACTTAACTGATGGATGGGTTCCATGTGAAGTCCTGGAAGGGTTTAGCTACCCTATTCTTCAGAGACCCAGGTTCTAATCTGCAGACTCCAGCTTGGCCCTAGTGCACAAAGACATTCTGCTTGGTGGGTAGGATGCCCCGCTCACCTCAAAATCCTGTGTGAGCATGGTATGAGAATTGGGGTTTCCAGGGAGCAGTACCCTAAGGGCTGCAGCAGGTCTTTGCACAGTGGGAAACCAGTCTTTCTCCTGTAGGTGCTGAGGACTCAGGACTTGGGCATCAAGAAAGTGAACTTCGTTTTGACTCATAAGTCTGGTGTTAGGGCTGGCTACAGGGTAGGCTTAGTAATATTTCCAAGGACTTAGGTTCTTTCCAACTTTCAACTCCTTCTTTGAGCCAACTTTCAATTCTTTAAGGTGAGGGTTTGTCTTCATGGGATAGCTGCAAGGTAGCTGCCATGTCTCTGGTGTCATATGCAGACCACAATAGCTGGAAGTTTAAAAATGAACCATTTTCTCTGGTGAGCCTCTTTTTTTTTTTTTTTTTTTTTTGGAGATGAAGTCATGCTCTGTCGCCCAGGCTGGAGTGCAGTGTCCTGATCTCCACTCACTGCAACCTCTGCCTCCTGGGTTCAAGCGATTCTCCTGCCTTAGCCTCCCAAGTAGCTGGGACTACAAGTGTGCACCACCACGCCCAGCTAATTTTTCTTTTTCTTTTTCTTTTTTTTTTTTTTGAGATGGAGTCTCCCTCTGTTCCCCAGGCTGGAGTGCAGTGGCGCAATCTCGGCTCACTGCAAGCTCCGCCTCCTGGGTTCATGCCATTCTCCTGCCTCAGCCTCCTGAGTAGCTGGGACTACAGGCGCCCACCACCACACCCGGATAATTTTTTTTTGTATTTTTGGTAGGGACGGGGTTTCACCGTGTTAGCCGGGATGTTCTCGATCTCCTGATCTCGTGATCCGCCCGCCTTGGCCTCCCAAAGTGCTGGGACTACAGGCGTGAGCCACCGCGCCCGGCCTAATTTTTCTATATTTAGTAGGGATGGGGTTTCACCATGTTGGCCAGGCTGGTCTTGAATTCCTGACCTCAGGTGTTCTGCCCACCTTGGCCTCCCAAAGTGCTGGGATTACAGGCATGAGCTGCTGTGCCCGGCCGAGCCTCTTTTTAAAAGCCAGGAGATTATTTTCTCAAAACCTCCTAGCCAACTTCACATCTCAGGGTCGTATCAAAGGGATTGGAATTGCCATAACTGGCGTCTGCTAATAAATTCACCCTCTTGGGACTGGTGCCCCACCTTCAAAACAGATGGCCACTTAATATCAGAATAAAATTTGAATTTGTTAGCAAGGAAGAATGAGGGTGGCTGCAGGGGTGGACATCAGTGGTGGCTACTGTAGTGTCAAGGGAGGTACAATGACTGAGAATGTCTTTATATCACCTGCCCACTTGATAGCTTGGTTGAGTATAGCATTCTAGGTTGGAAATTTGTTCTTCTAATTTTGTAGGCATCATTAATTGTTTCTAGTTCCCAGTGTTATCACTAAATCCAGTGCTATTCTGATATCCCAGTCCTTTACACTTTCTCAAGTCTTCTGTCTCTTTGGAAGCTTTTAGGCTCTTCTCTTTATCCCTGGTGTTCTGATGTCCATGGAATAGGTCTTTTTAAATTCGTTGTGATGGGTACTTGCTGAGTAGGCCCTTTCAAAATAGAAAATGTCCTTCGAAATTTGGGAAACATTTTCTTCTTCTCATGTTGGACCTTTTATCTCCTGTCTCCTCCCTCTTTATCTTTCCTTCTTCTTCTTCTTTTTTTTTTTTTTTTTTTTTTTTTTTTTTTTTTTTTGCTTTATAAGGTAATTTCTCAACTTTATCTTCCAAATTTCTATCGGTGTTTTTCCCCTCTCTGTCCATATTTTTAGTTTCCAAGAGCACTGTTGTTCTCACTTTGTTTTTCTAAAGAGCAGAAAATGATAAGAGGAATGGAAGAACTTGTGGTTGAAAATTCTGAGGAACTTTGTTATGCAAGCAAAGGAATTAGGCGGTGTTCAACATCTCTGCATAGGGAGACAGGTTGCCAGGCAAAAGAAAAAGAGGTCGCGGGAACCTGGGGGAAGCTGGGAGGAATGGAAGAGGTTACAAAGGCCATGAACATGAATGTGATGGGTAAGTTAAAACAACAAAGCAGGTGGCATTGATAGCTTAGTTGAAGAGGTTTGTTATTTTTCAAATTAATGTTCTTAGGTTTCTTAGACCCTTGCATTTGTTATTGCTTTTAAATGACATTAACTCTATGTTCCTGATTACAAACATGTTTATTGTAGAAATGTTGGCGAATATAAGAAATCACACAAACCTCCGAAATTGTGCATAATCTCATCGCTCAGAGATAACCAGTATTAATAGTGTAGTGTTTTCTATGCCTTGTCTAATGGCATATGAATACATGTATGTACCACTTCTTTTCAATTCTTTTTTGTTTTTTTGAGATGGAGTCTCGCTCTGTCACCCAGGCTGGAGTGCAGTGGTGCGATCTCGGCTCACTACAAGCTCCACCTCCCAGGTTCACTCCATTCTCCTGCCTCAGCCTCCCGAGTAGCTGGGGCTACAGGCGCCCGCCACCACCCCTGGCTAAGTTTTTGTATTTTTAGTGGAGATGGGGTTTCACTGTGTTAGCCAGGATGGTCTCGATCTCCTGACCTCATGATCTGCCTGCCCCGACCTCCCAAAGTGCTGGGATTACAGGCATGAGCCACCGTACCTGGCCTTTTTCAATTCTTTTACTTTTTATTTTGAAAAAGTTTCAAACCTACACACAAGTAGCAAGAATAATATAATGAACTCCTATGTACCTTTTCATCCAGATTCACCAATTGTTAGATAATATTTTGCTACCATATACTTTTTAAAAACAAAATTAGAATCATACTGTAGTTTATATTTTTATATTCTGCTTTTTCCAGTTAATAGTACATCACATGTCTTGAATAACCTTATCATCAAATACTTTTTCAAGGCCAGGCACAGTGGCTCATGCCTGTAATCCCAGCACTTTGGGAGACTGAGAAGGGCAGATCACTTGAGGTCAGGAGTTCGAGACTAGCCTGGCTAACATGGTGAAACCCCATCGCTACTAAAAATACAAAAATTAGTTGGGTGTGGTGATACACACCTGTGGTCCCAGCTACTTGGGAGGCTGAGGCACGAAAATCGCTTGAACCCAGGAGGCGGAGGTTGGAGTGAGCTGAGATTGCACCACTGCACTCCAGCCTGGGTGACAGAGTGAGACTCTGTCTCAAAAACAAAAACAAAAACAAAACAACAACAAAAAAACCCAGTATTTTTCAAGAACATTTTTTAATTTTTATTTTAGATTATTAAACTTTATTTATTTATTTATTTATTTATTTATTTATTTATTTATTTATTTTGAGACGGAGTCTCGCTCTATCGCCCAGGCTGGAGTGCAATGGTGCGATCTCGGCTCAACCTCCGCTTCCTGGGTTCAAGCAATTCTCCTGCCTCAGCCTCCTGAGTAGCTGGGATTACAGGCGTGCATCATGACACCCGGCTAATTTTTAAATTTTTGGTAGAGATGAGGTTTCACCATATTGGCCAAGCTGGTCTCAAACTCCTGACCTCAAGTGATCCACCCACCTCGGCCTCCCAAAGTGCTGGGATTATAGGCGTGAGCCACCGCGCCCGGCCTAACTTTATTTTTAAGAGCAGTTTTAGGTTCACAGCAAACTTGAGTGGAAAATACAGAGAGTTTCTGTATACCCCTTGCACCCACGTAGGCATAGCCTCCCTCACTATTAATATCCACACCAGAGCGGTACTTTAGTTACCACTGATTAACCTACATTGACACATCATTATCATGCAAAGTTCATGGTTTACATTTGGGTTCACTCTTGGCATTCTGCAATCTATGGATTTGGACAAATGTATAATGACTTATATCCACCATTATAGTATCATATAAAGTAGTTTCACTGCCCTAGAAACCCTCTGTGCTCCACCTGTTCCACATACCACCCCTGGAAACCCATGGCAACCACTAATCTTCACAGTCACAGTTTTTGCTTTTCCAGAATGTCAGATAGTTGGAATCATACAATATCCAGCCTTTTCAGATTACTAAGTAAAAGAAACCAAATACGTATTTAATTTTCCTCCATGTTTTTTGTAGGTAATAGCTCATTTCTTTGTATTGCTAAATAATATTCTAAACTGCGGTAAATAAATGTACCACAGTTTGTTTATTCATTCACCTGTTTGAGGACATCTTGGTTACTCCCAGGTTTTGGCAATTATGATTAAAGCTGCTATAAACATTCATATGCAGATTTTTGTGTGAACATATGTTTTCGACTCATTTGGATAAATACTAAAGAGTGTGATGGCTGGATGGGTTGGTAAGATTGTTTGGTTTTGTAAGAAACTGCCAAACTATCTTCCCATCATGGTACTTTGTTGTAAGTTTGCACCATAGTTTTTTTGACTTATTTTAAATTTTTGAACATTTAGATTTTTTTCCAGTTTTAACCCTGTGAGGAACATTCTTTTAAAATCTTTGCACATGTTTCTAATTATCTCCTTAGAATAAACTCCTCACATTGGAATTGCTGAGTCAAAAGATCTGGTCATTTGCAATTGTGGCAAGCATTGCCAAATTATTTTTCCCAAAGGCTGTTGTGCTAATCTATGCTTTTGCCAACAGGCCTGAGGATGACTGTACTTTTCACACTCTCAGTAATACTGTCAATTACGTTGTCAGTTTGCTAGGACTGCTGTGACAAAGAACCACAAACTTGGTGGCTTAAAACAACAAAAATGTATCCTTTCACAGTTCTGGAGGCCAAAAATCTGACTCAAGGTGTAGCAGGGCCATGCTTCCTCTAAAGGTTCCAGGGGAGGATCTGTCCTTGCCTCTTCCTAGTTTCTGGCGGCTGCAGTTCCTATTGGTGTTTCTTGGCTTGTAGCTGCATCGCTGCAGTCTCTACCTCCATCTTCACCTGGCTTTCTTCCCTGCCTGTGTATCTCTGTCTGTCCTCTCCTCTTCTTATAGGGACACCAGTCATTGTGCTTAGGGTCTACTGTAATCCCATCTGACCCCATCTTAACTAATTACATCTGCAAAGACTCTCACATTCTGAGGTTCCAGATAGACATGAATTTTGAGGAATACTGTTCAGCCCACTTCGATTATCTTTATTTTTTTTTCTAATAAGACAGGGGAAAGCATTCTAGTTTTTGCTTTAGTTTGCATTTCTGTAATTACTAGTGGTGTTGAAATCTTTTGATGTGGTGATTTGCACATACATCTTTTTTTTTTTTGGTAAATTATTTGTTTATAGCCATTGCCATAGTTTTCCTTTGAATGATGTATCTTGACTACTGGAACAATCTGTAGTTTATTTTTGTGAAAAGTGGAAGAGATTTGACTTTCTCTTCCTCTGCAATCCAGATCTGACTGACCATCAAGTCCTGTTGGCTTTCTCCTCTAGCTGCATGCCAAATTTGATAACTTCTCACTGCCTGCTCTACTGCTTGGTGATCCGAGCCACCTTTGTCTCTCACAAGGATTATGCAGTAGCCAGTACCTGGTTTCTCTGTATCCACCTGGTCTCATCTCCGCAGAGCAGTTGGAGCAGTCCTTTTCAGATGTAAATCATCCTGTCACTCTCCTGCTAATCACATTTAGAAGGAAATCCTGAACCCTCATTGTGGCCTGCAGCACCCGCCACCCTTTTGCTACCACTTTGCCCACCCCTGGTCTCCGTCCTTTATCCAAACACATCTATGGATCCAGGATTTTAGATGTTAAGGCCTGAAGGAGTTCAGCTGGTGAAGTAAGTTTATTTTTAGCCCTCACACCCAGCTCCAAGAGGTCAAAGAATTGATAATGGGGCTGCCTCCAGGCACTTGTGCTTCTCAATTCTGCAGTTCATTTTGTATGAGCATGATATTTTGCCTTCAGGTTGCCCTCTACAAATACGTCTTTATTTGGATTTTTACAAGCAAATTTTCCATAAAGGAATTTCTTGTTGCTGTGGTCTACTTAGATTGCTGCTTTTTCCCCGAAGTTCCCCTGATTTCAGAAAAAGAGGACAAATATCTAATTTCCTAATTTGTTAAGATTCTGCAACTTGGGCCGGGCGTGGTAGCTCACGCCTGTAATCCCAGCACTTTGGGAGGCCGAGGCGGGCGGATCACAAGGTCGGGAGATTGAGACCATCCTGGCTAACACAGCGAAACCCCGTCTCTACTAAAAATACAAAAAATTAGCCGGGCGTGGTGGCGGGTGCCTGTAGTCCCAGCTACTTGGGAGGCTGAGGCAGGAGAATGGCGTGAACCCGGGAGGCAGAGGTTGCAGTGAGCCGAGATCACTCCACTGCACTCCAGCCTGGGCGACAGAGCGAGACTCCATCTCAAAAAAAAAAAGATTCTGAAACTCGGTAAGATTGAACATGTAATTTGTTCATTTAATAGTTTCTCAGTGCATTGGGCTTTAATTTTTACCCACTGTTTTACCAAGTGACAAGAAGATCCTTCTAGATAAATATTACATGATATTATAAGTACAGTTGATCATGTAAGAAAACTAAAATTTTGTGGCATGCAGGGTTTGTGCCTTTATAAAATATTCATCTTGAGCTTCATATGGAGCTTAAAAACGATGACACATAGATCAGTTGGAAAGTTTTGCTTCCTCCTGGCTCACCCTTCTCCAAGCCAGAAGCCGCCAAGTGTATGTATGGGGAGGGAAGTGGGTGAGACAGGGAGCCTGGCAAGGGCCCCCTTCTAGTGTGTTTTGTGGGAACAGCCTCATTTTGTTTATAGAGGCTGGGCTTGCCTGTAATCACTTAGGTCAAAACCTGGCATATTAGATAGAAAAGATAGTTTTCTTAAATGGGATTGACAATTTCCGCCTTCCAGGTTCAAGCGATTCTCCTGCCTCAGCTTCCCGAGTAGCTGGGATTACAGGCGCCCGCCGCCACGCCTGGCTAATTTTTCTATTTTTAGTAGAGACAGGGTTTCACCGTGTTGGCCAGGATGGTCTCGATCTGTTGACCTCGTGATCCACCCGCCGTGGTCTCCCAAAGTGCTGGGACTACAGGCATGAGCCACCGTGTCGGGCCTTTAGTGTTTTTTTCTTTAGAGGTGAATAGCATACAACAACTGAGATGTTAACTTGCTGACTTGTTGATTTCCACTTCTCTAGTCCTTATTTATTTCCGTTGGATCAAAGTAATTCCATTATGGCTGAGCAAATGATGCCTTAGTGCAATTTATTAAATAAAGGAATTTTGTTCATACAGAACAGGTTCATGACAAAAAAGGAACATCAATGAAGAATAGCTCTGATTTTCTTGTTCATTTTTAAAGGTGTTTTTACTAGGACTTGACCCTTGTAAACTTGAGTGCGTGTTGTGATTTAATGGAAAGTTTTTTTAAAAAATGAAGCCTGACTGTTGATTGATTTTCATATAGTTGAGTGTATTTTACCTTTAGTTTGCTAATGATTTCTTCCTCTATCTATACCACAGTTAGAACAAACTTCAAACTAATGATACTGGGCGCGTAGTCTATATTTTTTCCAAGCAGTTGAATCTATACTTTCACCACCAAGAGGAAGAGAATGCAGTGGAAAGTTTTAAAAAGTGCATTTCTTTATGAACTATTTCTGTTAGTTTTTAATTTTCCAGTTTTCTCACAAAATAAACTTTCAAAGTTCTTCATGATTCAAATTAAAGAATAAAATATGATAGTAAAAATTTCATTTACTATCTGGATTTTTTCCCCTCTTCCAATTTGTGGAAATAGAGTTGCATTCAGGGTTGATGACATGAACTAGAGGGTTAATATTTGTGGCTTCTTTTTTCATATTATTCTAAATGTTTGTAGTCCTTTTATTTCATCTTACTAAGAAAATAAAAGCAAATGCAGAATTACGGGCTGGTACAAAGTATATGAGAACAGTATGAAAATACCTGAATCATAATTGATGATGATGCAGACATGTCATCAATTGAGTAATGTTATTAAAAGTGACACTTTTTTTTTTTTTTTTTGAGATAGAGTCTCGCTCTGTTGCCCAGGCTGGAATGCAGTGGTGCAATCTTGGCTCACTGCATCCTTCACCTCCCAGGTTCAAGCGATTCTCCTGCCTCAGCCTCCTGAGTAGCTGGGATTACAGGCGCCCGCCACCAAGCTGGCTAATTTTTGTATTTTTAGTAGAGATGGGGTTTCACCATGTTGGCCAGGCTGGTCTTGAACTCCTGACCTCAGGTGATCCACCCGCCTTGGCCTCACAAAGTGTTGGGATTACAGGTGTGAGCCATGGTGCCTAGTCAGACGTGACACTTGTTTACTGCCAAGGATCATTGGCAGAACACACCAGAAGCATCTGTGGTTTTTTGGATCTATGGATAGAGAAGGCCCCAAGGAGTGGGGATCAGGACTTGCCTCCTCAGGCAGCTATACTTTTGCACAATTTTGCTTTGGAGGTGTACAAGGTAATGTTATATTGCTGACTAGAGTTGACTGGACCAAATTATAATTGTGAAAGCAGGAACAGTCAAACAAATAACTATGTAGTTGCAGAATATTTACAAGAAACTGTGTACGCATTGCGATCTTCAGGATGTCGTGCCTACATCTCAGGATTGTGGTGTTAGAAGAGACACAGTCTCTATCTTCAACAATAAGTGATCATCATTCAGTAGCGGGTAAGCGTTCCGTCAATGCCCTTCTCTATCACCTTTTTCCCAGCTGTGCCGTTCTCATCGATTTTCTTCTTGAGAAGTCTAGCCACTACTGTCCTCTTTATCACCTTTTTCCCAGCTGTGCCAGTCCTCATCGATTTTCCTCTTGAGAAGACACCACTACTCTGTTGTCACCTACTCCAGGCAGCCCTCCTAGATATCCTCCCTCTGAGTCAATCATTCCCTTCCCTGCTGACATCTGAATCTTCTACTCATTTCTGTGGCTGCTGGGGAAGCTTGTACTATAAAGGATGATTCTTTGTCTCACTAGATCATAAACTCCTGAGGGTGGATTTCACACTTACTCATGTTTGTATTTCTGGACCTAGCAAAGTCAGGGCAAAGCACAAAGTAGAAATTCAATAGAGTTTGTAAACTTGAACCTAAGCATACCACACAAGCCCATGTGCCGTACACTGGGCTGTGCCTTCATGTATATTGATTACTCATCTAGTCCTCGGGGTCAGAAACAAGTTTGTATGCAGTTTATACAGCTAGTAACTTGTTGAGGCCAGAAACCTTGGGGTCATCCTTGACTTTTTTCTCTCAGCTCTGCATGTATCCAGTCCCTCAGCAAACTCTGCAGAGGCTGCACTTTTGGAATAGATCCAGTATGTGACTGCTTACCACCCTCACCTAAACTCTTATCATCTCTCACCTGTACTGTTGAAGTAGCCTCCTAGTAGCTTCTGCTGTGACACTTGCCCTGTTGCAGCCTGTTCCCACTGCACCCCTCAGAGAACCAGAAGGATCCTGTTAAAGGTAAGCTGCACTATGTTATTTCTCTGCTCAGAACTTGGCTTGCCCTTTCATCTCACTCAGTCAAAGCCAAAGGAAGGCCTGTACCTCTCCCTTCTCACCATCTCCTCCTTCTCTTTCCCCTGTAGCTCTTTCCAGCCACCCTGGCTGTGTTCACGTGCCCAGCACGCTCCTGCCCCAGAGCCTTTTCAGGTGGCTCCTTGCTTCTGGACAGCCATGCAGCTCCTCACTCACTACTTCCAGTCTCATTTCCATGTCACCTTTGCCTGAACCCCCTGTAAGATCACATTTGCCATCCCCCCACCCTGAGTTTCCTCCTTCTCTTTCTCTAATGGCACTTAACCACCGTTTAATATACTATACATTTTGCTCATTCATTTTATTAGTTGTGTTTTCCCTACTGGAATAGAAGCTCCACGAGAGCAGGAGCTTTTGCCTGCTCACTGCTGTATCCTCAGTACCTATAACAGTATCTGGCATGGAGTAGATCAAAATGTAAATAAATATTTCCTGAATAAATTAATCAGTTAATCCAACTTCCTGCCATTGGACAACTATTTTGTGTTAGTGTGTGGGTGAGTGGGTCGGTGGGGTCCTTTTTACTTAATGATTTTCTTCAGGGACTAACACATTGATTAGGAGGTAAAAAGAAAACTGACAACTTTATTATGATTATTGAACTCCTAATGTAGAATAGCTTTAAACTTCAAGCAAACCTGTAGTGATGTAGATGTGGCTGTTCCATTTTACTGAAGATGAGGTTGGGGTTCAGAGGGCTCCACAGTTGCCTGTGCTCACACACCTGGTGAGACAGGCCTTGACTCCCTGTCAGGTGGTCTCCAGCCAGCCCCTGCCCCTTTCCCTGCCACCACATCTTCTGCCCATCTGAAGAGCTGATAAAACTTCCCAAAGACAATAGTAAGGAAGTAAATGAAGTAGGAAAGTAAATTGGAGGATAACATATGATTAAAGGGAAAATGGTGACTTCACTTAATTGAGAGCAGAATAGAAAATGAACTCAAATTGCAATAGGAAAGGAATAATTGAAGTAGAAAACATAAAATAAGGATTTGGAACTTGTCTGTCCATATATAATTAAAAACAGAAGAGACGATTATTTCTTCATGCTAGTGGGGGTCCACTTTTACCTAACAGTTGGGAGGATCATGGCTTTGTGGGGGCTTCTTTCCTTAGAAGTCACTTTCTGCCTCATGAAACATTGGCTTTATCTTTTCAGGGCTACTGATTGAATGTACAAAATAATAGAGATTAACCTAATTGGATAATTATTATCATCCCAGTAATGTTCCACATTCCCTTCCTAGGGACCCACCCTAACACTCCTTATCTTTGTTCTTATTTCATCTGTTTATACTTCATTTCAACCATCCATATTAGCTGAAACGGAATCAAAATGAACCAAAAATCAATACATTTTAGTTTCTCTGTTATCTATAACCTATGTATTTCCATATATTTAATAAGCATTTTATTGTTTCCTCACTCCAAAGAGAATTCAAGGTGGGAGTAATTCTTCAATATTATGCCTTGTCCAAATTGCTTGTGAAAAAGTATGTTGAATTTTAGATATTTTTCAGATTTTTGAATATTTGCAGATACCTAACAGGTAGAGCATCCGTAATCTGAAAATCTGAAATCCAAAATGCTCTGATGAACATCCTTTGAACATCATGTTGGCACTCAGAAAGTTTCAAATTTTGAAGCATTTCAGATTTCAGACTGGGGGTGCTCCACCTGTATTAGCATTATGTAATAACCATGTTGTGTTCATTTGTCTAATAGATTTTATATGAAACATTCTGAAATATGATCACTAAATATAACTATTGATGAAAATTAAATAAGTTGTTGCTTTCAAAAAAAATCTGAGGGATCCTATATAAATGTTTTCTATTGCCATGATTTGAATGTTTGTTGTATTCGTTCATTTTCACGCTGCAGATAAAGACATATCCAAGACTGGGCAATTTAGGAAAGAAAGAGGTTTATTGGACTTACAGTTCCACGTGGCTGGGGAGGCCTCACAATCATGATGGAAAGTGAAAGGAATGTCTCACATGGCGGCAGACAAGAGAAGAGAGCTTGTGAAGGAAAACCCCCATTTTTAAAACCATCAGTTCTTGTGAGACTCATTCACTATCACAAGAACAGCACAGGAAAGACCCACCCCCATCATTCAATCACCTCCCACTGGGTTCCTCCCACAACACGTAGGAACTGTGGGAGTTAGAATTCGAGATAAGATTTGGGTGGGAACACAGCCAAACCATATCATTCCGCTCCTGGCCCCTCTCAAATCTCATGTCCTTACATTTCAAAACCAATCATGCCTTTTGACAGTCCCCCAAAGTCTTAACTCATTTCAGCATTAACTCAAAAGTCCATAGTCCAATGTCTCATCTGAGACAAAGCAAGACTCTTCTGCCTATCAGCCTGTAAAATCAAAAGCAAGTTAGTTACTTCCTAAATACAATGTGGGTAGCAGCATCGGGTAAATACAGCTGTTACAAATGGTAGAAATTGGCCAAAACAAAGGGGCTACAGGCCCCATGTGAGTCCAAAATCCAGCAGGGCAGTCAAATCTTAAAGCTCCAAAATGTTCTCCTTTGACTCCATGTCTCACATCCAGGTCACACTGATGCAAGAGGTGGATTCCCATGGTCTTGGGCAGCTCTGTCCCTGTGGCTTTTCAGGGTACCACCTCCCTCCCAGCTGCTTTTACGGACTGGTATTCAGGTGTTTGCGGCTTTTCCAGGCACATGGTGCACGCTGTTGGTGGATCTACCATTCTGGGGTCTGGAGGACAGTGGTCCTCTTCTCACAGCTCCACTAGGCAGTGCCCCAGTAGGGAATCTGTGTGGGGACTCTGACCTCACATTTCCCTTCCACACTGCCCTAGCACAGGTTCTCAATGAAAGAAAGCCCCACCTCTACAGCAAACTTCTGCCTGGACATCCAGGCATTTCCATATATCCTCTGAAATCTAGGCAGAGGTTCCCAAACCTCAGTTCTTGACTTCTGTGCGCCTGCAGGCTCAACACCACATCGAAGCTGCCAAGGCATGGGGCTTACACCCTCTGAAGCCACGGCCTGAACTGTACCTTAGGCCCTTTTAGTCACGACTGGGATGCAGGGCACTAAGTCCCTAGAATGCACACAGTATGGGGACCCTGGGCCTGGCCCACAAAACCATGTTTTCCTCCTAGGCCTCTGAGCCTGTGATGGGCAGGGAGGGGGCACTGCTGTGAAGACCTCTGACATGCCCTGGAGACATTTTCCCCATTGTCTTGGGAATTAACATTTGGCTCCTCATTCCTAAGCAAATTTCTGCAGCTGGCTTGAATTTCTTCTTAGAAAATGGGATTTTTTTTTCTATTGCATTGTCAGGCTGCAAATTTTCTGAAATTTTATGCTCTGCTTCCCTTATAAAACTGAATGCCTTTAACAGCACCCAAGTCACTTCTTGAATGCTTTGCTGCTTAGGAATTTCTTCTGCCAGATACCCTAAATCAGCTCTCTCAAGTTCAGAGTTCCACAAATCTCTAGGGCAGGAGCAAAAGGCTGCCAGTCTCTTTGCTAAAACATGGTAAGAGTCACCTTTGCTCCAGTTCCCAACAAGTTCCTCATCTCCATCTGAGACCACTTCAGCCTGGACCTTATTGTTCAGATCACTATCAGCATTTTTTGTCAAAACCATTCAACAAGTCTCTAGGAAGTTCCAAACTTTCTCCCATTTTCTTGTCTTCTTCTGAGCCCTCCAAACTGTTCCAGCTTCTGCCTGTTAACCCAGTTCCAAAGTTGCTTCCACATTTTCGGGTATCTTTTCAGCAGCACTCCACTCCTGATACAAATTTACTGTATTCGTCCATTTTCATGTTGCTGAAAAAGACATATCCAAGACTGGGCAATTTAGAGAAGAAAGAGGTTTATTGGACTGACAGTTCCATGTGGCTGGGGAGGCCTCACAATCATGGAGGAAGGTGAAAGGCACATGTCACATGGTAGCAAGACAAGAGGAGAGAGCTTGTGAAGGGAAACTCCCCTTTTTAAAACCATCAGATCTCATGAGACTCACTCACTATCAGGAGAACAGCACAGGAAAGATCCGCCCCCATCATTCAATCACCTCCCACTGGGGTTCCTCCTATGACACATGGGAACTGTGGGAGTTACAATTCAAGATGAGAATCGGGTGAGAACACAGCCAAACCATATCATTTGTGCTCCCTCAAAATTCATATGCTGAAATATTAACCCCTAAACTGATGGTGTTAGGAGATGGGGCCTTTTTGGAGGTGATTAGGTCATGAGTGGAGCCGTAACAAATGAGATTAGTGAACTTGTAGAAGAGGCCCCAGAGAGCTGCCCTGCCTCCTTACATCACGTGAGGACAGAAGAAGGCGGCACTATATAAGAGAGAGTGGGCTCTCCCCAGACACTGGGTCTACTGACACCTTGAATTTGGACTTCTCAGCCTCCAGAGAAATAAATAACTGTTGTTTATAAGCTACTTTGTCTATGGTATTTTGTTATGGCAGCCTGAATGAACAAAGACAGAAACTGGTACTGGGAGTGTGGTTGTTGTTATAACAAATGCCTAGAAATATGGAGGTGGCTTTGGAACTGGATAATGGATAGAGACAAGAAGAGTTTTGAGGTGCATGCTAGAAAAAGCTTAGATTGCTGTGAATGGACCCTAAAGGGCAATTCTGGTGAGAGCTTAGAAGGAGGGAAGGAGAGCTGTAGAGAAAGCCTCCATCTTCTTACGGAATGCTTAAGTGGTTGTGATCAGAATATTGTCAGAAATATGGACTGTAAAGGCAATTCTGATGAGGTCTCGGAAATGAGGAACATGTTATTAGAAACCATAGGAAACATGATCATTGTTATAAAGTGGCAAAGAACTTAACTAAGTTGTGTTTGGGTCCTCACATTTTGTGGAAGGTAGAACTTATGAGCAATGAAATAGGATATTTGGCACAAGAAATTTCTAAGCAAAGTGTCAAAGATGTGGGTTGGCGTCTGTTGAGTGCTTATAGTAAAATGTGAGAAGAGAATAATGATTTAAAAGCAGAATTTTCAATCAAGAGGGAAGAAGAACTTAAATATTTGGACAATTCTAAACCTGTCCATACTGTGGAAGTGTGTTTGGGAGAGAACAGCAAGGGTGTGGCCAAGCAACTCTTTGATGAGATTGGTGTGAATCCACCAGGTGCTAGTCATGAAGACATGGAAGAATGACTTTGAAGACGTTTTCGAGATTATTGGGGCTACCACTGTCATCACAAGGCCAGAATGCAAGGGCCTTGGTGGCAGAACAATTTGAAAGGATGGGCCAAGGATGAACTGTGGGACCCCTGTGCTTGCTGCACAACTGGGCACCATCTCAAAGCTCTGCTCTCCACATTCTAGGGCAGGGATCCTCAGCTACCCCAGGTTTGGCTTTAGTAGGCCCAGGTGTGGCAGTGGCTGCCCCTCCAGGAGACAGAGTCAGTAAACCTTGTCAGCCCCCAGGCAGTGCCATCTTTGCAGGTATGCAGAGTGCACAAGCTGTAGGGGTGTTGATACACCCACCTAGATTCTGAAGAATGTAGCAGCTAGAAGCCTTGGTCAAGTGAGCCAAGCAGAGGCTGCTGTGAGGGTGGACCACCACATGACTCCAGACCAGTAGAGCCACTGGTGTGCGATTCCAGCCTGGGAGAGCTGCAGGCACCTGACTACAGCTCGCAATAGGTGTGCTCTGGGCTGTGCTCAGCAAAGCCATGGGGTTTGGCTGCCCAGAGCCTACCCAGCCTATGGGATTTTGTTATAGCCGCACAACAGGCCAAGACACCTATGTTCATATTCCTTTATGTGTATGGTTTTTTCAATTTTGCATATATATTTTTTGAGACAGAATCTTGCTCTGTCACCCAGGCTGGAGTGCAGTGGCGTGATGTTGGCTCACTGCAACTTCCGCCTCTAGGATTCAAGTGATTCTCCTGCCTCCGTCTCCCAGGTAGCTGAGACTACAGGAATGTGCCACCACATCCAGCCAATTTTTGTATTTTTAGTAGAGACAGGGCTTCCCTGTGTTGGCCAGGCTGGTCTCAAATTCCTGACCTCAAGTGATCTGCCCACCTCAGCTTTCCAAGGTGCTGGGATTACAGGCGTGAGCCACCACGCCTGGCCAATTTTGCATATTTTAAAATCTCAGATATGTAGGTAGTGCACATCCTTCAATATGTATCCCTTAAGTGACTTCATTTCTATCCATCTGGCCCCCCACACACTTAATGAAATCACCAGTAAAAACTAGACCTGGTCAGATGGAATTTCCCAACCTTTTGTGTAAAAATCTACCTGTTAGATAAATGTTGCTTCCTAGTATCTGATCAAAACACAAAGGAAAAAACACAGGGCAGCAAAGAGCATGATTTTGTGACTCTTCAGCACCTTATTTCACAGGGGAACAAGTATAAACCTATTACTTCAGAAGTTTTGTTTTTTTATCGTTTATAGGGATATCTTGGGGGTGTTGTGGGTTAGATTCCAGACCACCACAATAAAGCAAATATCACAATGCAGTCAGTCATACTAATATTTTGGTTTCCCAGTGCATATAAAATATGTTTGCACTATACTATAGTTTATTAATTGTGTCTGAAAAACAATATATATACCTTAATTTTAAAATGTTTCATTGTTAAAAATGCTAGTGATTATCTGAACCTTTAGCAAGTCATAATCCTGTTGCTTGTGGAAGGTCTTGACTCGAGGTTGTTGGCTGCTGGCTGATCAGGGTGGTGCTTGCTGAAGGTTGAGGTGCTGTGACAATTTGTTAAAAGAAGACAACAGTGAAATTGGCCACGTGGATGGACTCTCTTTCATGAAAGATTTTTCTGAAGCATGGGATGCTGTTTGATAACATTTGATCTACGGTAGGACTTCTTTCAAAACTGGAGCCAGTCCTCTCAAACCCTGTCACTGCTTTATCGGCTAAGTTTATGAGTATTCTAAATCCTTTTTTGTCATTTCAACAGTGTTCATGGTGTCTTACCAGGAGTAGATTCTATCTCGAGAAACCATTGTCTTTGCTCATCTACGTGAAGCAGCTTCTTGACTGTTCAAGTTTTATCATGAGATTGCAGCAATTCAGTCACATCTTCAGGCTCCACTTCTAATTCTAGTTCTCTTGATATTTCCCCCCACATCTGCAGTTACTTCCTCCACTGAACTATTGAACCCCTCAAAGTCATCTATGAGGGTTGGAATCAATCAACAATGTAGATATTTTGAACCCCTCCCATGAATCAGTAATATTCTTAATGGCATCTAAAATGGCAAATCCTTTCCAGAAGATTTTTAATTTACTTTGCCCAGATCCATCAGAGAAATCACTATGTATGGCAGCTATAGCCTCATAAAATGTATTTTTTAGATATTAAGACTCAAAAATTGAAATTACTCCTTAATCTATGGGCTGGGCTGCACATGGATATTATGTTAGCAGTCATGAAAACAACATTAATCTCCTTGTACATTTCCATCAGAGCTCTTGGATTACCAGGTGCATTGCCAATGAGCAGTAATATTTTGAAAGGAATCTTTTTCTGAGCAGTAGGCCTCAACAGTGGGCTTAAAATATTCAACCAACCATGCTGTAAACAGAGTGCTGCTATCCCGACTTTGTTGTTCCTTTTATAGGGTATAGGCAGAGTAGATTTAGCATCATTCTTAAGGGCCCTAGGATTTTCAGAATGACAAATAAGCATTGGCTTCAACTTAAAGTCACCAGCTGCATTAGCACCTAACAAGACAGCCTGTCCTTTGAAGCTTTGAAGCCAGGACTTGACTTTTCCATTCTAGCTATGAAAGTCCTAGATGGCATCATCCTCCAATAGAAGGCTGTTTCATCTACATCGAAAGTCTGTTGTTTGGTGTAGCCACCTTTATCAATTATCATACCAGATCTTCTGGATAACTTGCTGCAGCTTCTGCATCAGCACTTGCTTCCTCACCTTGCACTTTTATGTTACGGAGATGGCTTCTTTCCTTAAACCTCATGAACCAACCTCTCCTAGCTTCAAACTTTTCATCTGCAGCTTCCTCAAATCTCTTAGCCTTCACAGAATTGAAGAGAGTTAGGGCCTTGTTTTGGGTCAGGCTTTGATTTAAGGGAATGTTGTGGCTGGTTTGATCTTCTATCCAGACCACTAAAACTTTCTCCATATCAGCAATAAGGCTGTTTTGCATTCTTATCATTCATGTGTTCACTGGAGTAGCACTTCTGATTTCCTTTCAGAACTTTTCCTTTGCATTCATAGCTTAACTGTTTGGCATAAGATGCCTAGCTTTCAGCGTATTTCATCTTTTGACATGGCTTCCTCTAAGTTTAATCATTTCTAGTTTTTGATTTAATATGACGGACCTTTTACTTGAACCCTTAGACCTTTTACTTGAACATTTGAACCTTTTACTTAAACCCTTACAGGGTTATCAATTGGCCTAATTTCAATAATGTTGTATCTCAGGGAATAAGGAGGCCTGCAGAGAGGGGAAGAGATGGGGGAATGGCCGGTCAGTGGAACAGTCAGAACACACCCAACATTTGTAGATTAAGGCTGCCATCTTATATGGGCAGGGTTTGTGGTGCCCCAAAACAATTACAGTGGTAACATCAAATGTTGCTGATCACAGATCACCACAACAGATATAAGAACGATGAAAAAGTTTGAAATATTGTGAGAATGACCAAAAGGTGACATGGAATCACAAAGGGAGCACATGCTGTTGGAAGAATGGTGCCAGTAGACATGCTGAACAGAGTTGCCACAAACCTTCAATTTATAAAAAAGTCAATATCTGCAAAGTGCAATAAGGTGAAGCACAATAAGATGAGGGTTGCCTGAACTCTACAAGATGGGAAGAATAGAAAGACAAACTACCATTCAGGGAATCCCCTTTTTTCAGTTCACATTTTACATTTTTACTGCAAAGAAAAGATGACCAAAAAGGATCTGAGTCAAGTTTCCGATTTCAAACTCTGGTCACAGAATCTCAGAATTGGAGAGTAGGAGGACTTCAGAGCTCTGTTCCCCTTGGGGATTTTCCTATGATGGCACCAGGCACTGCATTTGATGCTCCTACTACCTGTTGACATTTAGTCCTCACCGTCAATCTGGAAGGCCACCTCACATCCATTCATAAGGGACTGCAGCCCAGGGAGGGTTTCAGAGTATTGCATGGAAGAAGGGGGATTTGAGCTTCCAGCTCCTGACTTCATTCAGTTGTTCATAGGGCCACAAAAAGTATCTTTGGAAAAGATGCTGCTCTAGGAGAATGTGGGCCCTGCACCAAGGTACCTGGCAGGGAGGTAGAGCTTGGCCTGGTGCCAGTGCCCTTGCCTCCCTCATACCTTTTTAGAGAGCATGCACTGATGCAAGCTCTCTATGCAGGCTTCACCGGGCTGCACTGGAACAAGTAGACATCTCGCTGGCAGAGTCTCTTATTTATAGCTTTCACTCTCTGGCATTGATTTTCTGATGATTCTATTTTTTTTTTTTTAACAGTAGATGTAGATGTAGTGAAATAAGATTACCTTTCCCCCATTAGCAGTTTGATAGAGATGTACTGTCTCACCAAGTCCTCTGTGAAGGACTAGAGGATAGCCTAATCATTTTTCAACATATTTTTTATTGAGCGGACTCTATTCCTTTCACAACCGAACATTCATCTAACAGTCTGTCCTAGGATTTCATTAGGATTCCAGGCCATATTTACCAGAACATTACTCTTTGCTCTTTTCAGAAAACCGAGAAACATTCCTCTGGCTTCCATTTCCTGACAGCTGTCCATTTTTTCCCTTAGGAAACTACACCAACAATGGCTGCACAGAAACATATGTAATTGCTTTTCATTGCAGTGGGAGTAATTCACTGCGCCTTGAAGTTGTTGAAATGCTCTTCCTGGGCTCCAGCCTTTTCCAGTTTAAAGATCCTTACTGGTGGCATGAAGAGTTAAGCAAAATAGTGAAGTGGCTCTGCTTCTGTTTCCTTCAGGTGGCCTGTTTCCTGTTATCTCTTATTTCGCTTCAAATTATGTATAACAATCAGTTCATTTTAAATGACAGGAGAAAAATCTCATTTCCTTGGCAGCGGGATCCCACCCCGTCCCCTCCCAGTTTCGTTGGGCTTTCACATTTGGCGAGGTGGACTCAAGGTCGGGGTGGATGGCCACTCTCTGGCCCATGGTGGAACTTTTGTTTTGCTGATCGGGGCATGCCATTGACAGCCAGATCTGAATCTGAAGAGAGGGGTGGAAGAGGAGAAAAGAGAGACAGTGAAGCTGGCGGGAAAGGCAACTTTTGAGCAGAGGAAAGGACACAAATAATGGAAGAAATTAAAATTGTTTTGCTATGTGGTATGTGGGAAAGATATTAATTCTACTAACCATTTTCCTGTGGTTAGCAGTTTAGTGAAGTCGTTTACCAAAGACTTAGTCGTTTACTAAGTAGTTTAGTAAGCCATTTACTAAATGACTTTTGTAAAACCACTTTGACTGAATAATGTCTCACAGCACTGGGTCTCTTCTGGAGGAAGGAATGGATTACTCAGTGCCAGCTAAAAGTGGGAGAGGACTGAGGAGAGGCTAGGGACTGCCATGACATTCATATCAAAGTTTCCCATGGGTGTGCCTGCTCCGTGGAGCCTAGCTTACATCTCTGCAGCCTGGCTGCTGGAGAGGTTGGGGTGAGTTAATGCTAGTTTGTAATGTCCAAAAGAACTGTTGTAGTTACTGGTGTTCAAAAGTAGCATTCAGTTTACTGAAGTTAGACTTTTTTAAAGCTAGTTTTTCTTTTCCTTTTCAATTTATAAGACTTGTTATTCTATTAATGAATCTAATTATTTTTGCATAAAATAAGACTGATTGTTGATTAATTTTAGCTAATTAGATTTCCCTCAGACATTTAAAACTACATTTGTAGGTTTCATATATTTTAAGTATTTAAAATGTCTGAGAAGCAAACTTACCATCTTAACAGAGAAAAAAAGTATTTCATACAAAATAGATTAAACTTTGCACTAATCAAGTGATCTCAAACATAGCAGTTTTATTTACAAACTTAATAAATTTCTGATATGTCTTTCAGCTTACAGATGATAAGAACATTATGACAGGACCCCTGGAATATTATAAACACTTGAAATGACAATCAGTCAAAGATTATTTTGTATTTAACACTAAAACGTTATGCACACATGCTGTGGGTTGATTTACTTGGAGGCCTGCTCACTTATTTATCTTCCCAGAGTTGTTTACCCAACTAAGGGAGCAGATTTGCGTCTCTGTCTTGGGGAGCAGGAGTCCTTGGCTATCCACAGAGCACATTTCCTGGGCATTTTGCACTTATAGCACTAGATTAGATCCAGTCCATCCCTGCTGCCTCAGAACACAGTTCTGCATTCTCCTGTGATTCTCGCTGGGCTTTTAGCCCCACTCTTTAGCACTGCTGATGCCATCCCGCATTCCTCTGTGCTGCAGTCAGTGTGTGCGGCTACACACTGGGGTCATTCTAATAGCAGGGGTGAAAATGCATGAGAGCTGCTGGAACTCTGGGGACACTGAGCCAGAGCCACTCCTTATCTAGGGAGAGAATGTAGGTTCAGGATGTACGCTGCTGGAAGTAGAAACAATAAAGAACTTTTATCCAGAATGTTTTTGTGTTGCTCACCATTTTAGGAAACTAAATGATTTTATTTGTATTTAAATGCCTCATAGCTTTAAATATGAGAAGGACTCTTTAATATACGTTTAATTCATTAACCAAGTGTTTCTTTTATAACTTTATTTTGGTTGGAAAAAATTGGAACTTTAGGATGATCTGAGAATTAATTATATTACACTTTGAAACAAATGGTAATAATACATTGATGTCTTAGCCTCAATGCCTTCTTTTTTGAATAGATTAAAGGCATTAAGCAGGTGATTTGTGTGTGCGTGTATATATGTGTGTGTGTATATTCCTATTGCATATATTTCTGTTATACCTAATATATTTCTACATATGTGTAAACATATGACATATGCACATATATATGTACATACACATATAAAATGGATATAATAGTGTTTAAATAAATATTTTAATACTTTCATATATAAATCTATATTTAAAAAATAAAATTGTATTTTTATTGAATATGCAATTTAGTATCTTGATTTTTTCTTTAACATTTTATTATAAACACTTTGAAATACTATTATACACTCTAAGTACCATTTAAAATTTTTAAATCATTTACTTAACTGTTCTTTAATATACTTTTAGATCGTTTCAGTTTTTTTCCCTGTGAAGAGCATCTTTGTACACAGAGAATATTTATTATATGTGGATTGTTTCCTTAGGCTAGATTCCCAGAAGTGGAATTACTGGGTCACAGATACAAATATATTTAAGGCTCCAGTTACATGTATTGCCAAATTGCCTTCCCCAAAGCTTGTCTTAGCTTACTGGGCTACCAAAAATCTTATACAAATGTTATAGCACTGTTTATTGGAAAGCGATTAGTCTTTTGATGATGACCTTTGCTACAAATACTTTTTCCAATTTGGTGTTTGCATTTAAGTGTATTTAAAAAATAAAAATAGAAGTTTAAGATTTGTAGATGATAAAATATGTTACTCTGTTCTTTTTAGATTCTTCTATTATTTTTTAGCTTAGAAAGTCATTTTTTTTCCTAGAAGTGATTTAAAATATCTGATATAGGCCAGGTGCGGTGGCTCATGCCTGTAATCCCAGCACTTTGGGAGGCCGAGGTGGGCGGATCATCTGAGGTCAGGAGTTCAAGACCAGCCTGGCTAACGTGGTGAAACCTCATTTCTATTTAAAATACAAAAAATTAGTCAAGCTTGGTGGCACGTGCCTGTAATCCCAGCTATTCGGGAGGCTGAGGCAGGAGAATCACTTGAACCTGGGAGAGGAGGTTGCAGTGAGCCGAGATTGCGCATTGCACTCCAGCTTGGGCAACAAAAGCAAAACTCCGTCTCAAAAAACATATATACATATATATGTATATATTTATATTATATATGTATATATTTATATTATATATATACAATATATTTTTCTACCTTAACAAAATTTTTGTTGCTAAACTCTAAATTCATGTGGAATATATTTCACCATATAGAATCAGGTGAGGGGCTCTTGTTTTTGGTCTGAATTGTTACCTAGTGGGTGCCATCTTTTCTCAATTTTATTTGATGGATTTGTGGCATCTTCTGAATATGGATGGGTGTTTCTTCTGGGTTATCTTCTCTGTTCCATTGTTCTGCTTGCCTGTCCTTCTGTCTGTGCCACACGGCTTACATGTTGTGGCATCTGATAGGGCCAGTCCCCCTGCAGGACTCTTCTGCAAAATTTTCTTTGTTGTTCTTTCCTGTTTGTTTTTTCAGATGAACTTTGGAAAATTTATGTTGAACTTACAGATTATTTGGGGAAAAACTGTTTATCTAACAGGTTTTAGTCTTTACCACCGAGCCCATGACATGTACTAAGCATTTATCCAAATCTTACTTTTTATATTTCTCACAAAATTTTCCAATTTTCTCTAAATAGGTCCTACATATTTCTCATTATGGTTATTGTTATGTTATTACTTATTTTATAGTTTGTGTTTTGATCTTTTTTTACTATACTTTCAAACTGGTAGTATCTGGTAATTTGGTTTTGTATATCTAGTATTGACCTACTTTTTTTTTTAAGACATGGCCTCTCTCTATGGCTCAGGCTGGAGTGCAGCAGCCAGTCACAGGCACAGTCATAGCTCACTGCAGCCTCAAAATCCTGGGCTGAAAGAATCCTCCTGCCTCAGCCTCCCAAGTAACTGTGACTACAGGGACCCTCAGCTGTAAATTAAATGTAATTGTTTACCATTTGATTCCTATAAACACACCATCCAAAAATACATATTTTATTATCTTCCTTTTTAATATTTAGGTTTTGTTTTCTGCCTCATATCTTTTAACATTGGCCTGAATCTGAAAATTTTTTAAATAATAAAAGCTTAAATGAAAAAATAAAAATTTAATGACTGATGGTGATGGTGGCATGATATGCTTTTAAAGCTCATATTAAGTTTTGCAGAGACATTTCTTAGTACCTTAAACAATATGTTTTGATATAATGTGGTTTTTCTACACTGCTGATGTTTAAGTTTATTTAGAGCACACAGTATTTTTAAATTGGCATCTCATCCAGTTTGGTTCTGTTGGCTCAAAGAACAGGCATAGCCTGGATTATAGATGATGAGGGGTTTTAAAATCTGAAATTGTCGAGTGGAACTTTATGCTTGTTGGTACGTCTTGAAAAACCCTAATGCTTTTGCTCTTTCCTTTCCTGTCCCAAGCCTTCTTCCCCCTTCTCTTTTGAGTCTCTGAGCTATGCTTATAGAAACTTACAGAAACTTAAACAGCCTGCAGCTGTTTCTAAGTACTACAGATGGGGCGACATGATGCAGTTTTTACTAGTCCAAGGAAAAATGATTTTTACAAAACAGATAAAACATCATATGTTTGTTTTTATAGTCTGAATTTACTCTACTTAAAGGATTGCTCTTTACTGAAATAGAGGCTTTTCTATTTTGCTTATTTTTCAGATGTTCTTAGATGCCCAAATAAAAGGTTGGCAATTCTAGGTCAGTTCTCTGTTTTCTTTCCCCTGCTTCTTTTTAAAATTTACTGATCCAAGGAAGCAAAGAAAAGCTGGTTGTTTATCAGGTTTTAGTGTCTTTGTTTTTTAAAGCTTAGCAGGGCAGTTGTCTGCTAACTGTACTGCCACATGGCATGGCCATAGCCCAAGCATGGTTGGGGAGCTCTTACTGCTAAAGGAGTAGGAAGAGGAAAAGGAGCGAGGAGCAAAGCCTCGCAGCCTGCAGTCCCTCCCCACAGCCTTCAGAAGTCTGCTCTGGATTCCCTTTCCTCTCCCAGATACTATCTCCATGTGTTCCCTTGCCAGGGAACTCTGCAGTGGTAGGAACACTGGCTTGGGCTCAGGGTGGCTGCATGACCCTGGTAGCTGACACGTACTCATTTTCTGACCCCAGGGAGATTGCCAGTCCCCTCAAAGGATATCCTCCTAAAAGGATAATGTATTATCAATGGTGAGTGTTAGGATTCCCTATCATAAGTTGCGGGAGGAGGACAGGATCGAGATCTACAACAGAACCCGAAAAGGAGGAGTATTTGAGGCTGGGAGTCAGGGAAAAGCAGGGTTAGAGATTCCATACCTAAAATGAGGATCCTGTTTTCTTTCACCTCTAATTTTTAGTTTGTATAAAGAACTTCCTTTGAAGGCTGCAGCCCCAGGATGACAGAAGCCTTTAATGTTTACACTTGCTAGGGAACGAGAATAGTAAGGTGAGTTTATCCCTTGTCCATCCATATCTGTTGCTAGCTCAGCCATGGCCAGAACAGCCCCTCCTCTGTGAAGTCATCTGGGTCATCTGAACCAGAGGTGAGGGCTAGCTGCTTAGAACTTTTTGATCCCTTTAGTTAACCTGCTCCTGTGGTGTTTGTGGCAGCCTTCCTTGAACTGTACCTCTTTGTGTAATGTCTCATCTCCGCTCAGTTGTAAACTTAAACTGCTACAGCATCGATGCCTTAGGTAGTGCAGGCATTCAATGAAGGTTTGTGGAATAAAAGAATGGATAAGAAAGGCCTAAAATATTGCTGTATGTTGCAGAACTTTAATAGAAATATTAATTCTGCTTTTCTATAGTTTAGTTTTTAGTAAATGTTATATTACAGAAGAGCAGTGTGGTATTTTTACTATTGGATGAAGTTCTGCCTACCTCTGCTACTCTATCTTGGACAACCTGGGTAAGAGTTTCTTTGTTGAAAATGGAAAAGATAGGACAACAGAGATTCTCAAAATTTAGTGTATGGAAGAATGAAATAAGGTGCTTGGTAACACTGTAGATGTCTGGGCTCTACCCTCTAAGATTCACTGGGCCTGGTGTGGGGCTGACAGCCTGCACATTCAATATACCCCCAAGATGGTCCTGATACAGATGGTCCAGGGAGCATCTGTTGAGAACCGTTGAACAAGATGATCTCTAAGGTTTCTCCAGCTGTATTTTAAAAGGATAACATGAGACATCTGTTTAGTTTACTCAAAAGATGTTTCATTTATTTTTTCTATTGTGAGTTCAACACAGCAACAAGTACAAATTATGACCACATGCTGCATAATATAGGAGGAAAAGGTGTGCTTTCAAATTTTGTTAAAGGAGAGAATAATCATTAGGGTATCCTTGTTTTAGTAGGGATACCCTAGTTTAGCTTTCAGCCTAAAATCGTTTTCCTGGGAATTTTTACCTTCTAAGAATTCCCATACTTGTCACAAGCATTTTGTTTATTAATAGCATTGTACGAGTGGATATAAATTGTGATAATTTCACCACCAAATACATAAGACTGTCAAACCCTGTGTAAATTTTGTCTATTCCTTTATAAACTTGAGGTGTAAATATTTTATTAATAAAATACATCCACAAATTCTACAAGATTTATAAAAATATAATCATTTGTTGAAATACAGCTCTTTTATCACTACAGGCATTTTCTTTTCTTTTCTTTTCTGAAAGCCATAACCTCACAATTAAAGCCAGAAATGAAAAAGGAAACTCTTACTCAAAACAATCCTTTTTCTTCTTTGTCATCTGGTCATTCCATTAAATGGCCTTAATAGACTAAATCATCCTGAGATTAAAAGGAAAAAAAAAAGGACACGTACCACTTCACTGCTGAAAAGTTGTTTGTGTGTGGAAGGAGGTAGGGAAATGGTTGCTGTGAGGAATGTAGGAGATTATACTTACTTATTTTATAATTTTATGCCTCAGTCATGATACAGAAGAAATTTAACCTCCAACTGAGGAGCAAATATAAGTTATTTGAGCAAGCATAAACAATGCAGAGTGAGAAGGAACACAGAACACCATGCCACATTCCCTGCATTCCCTGTGCATTTCACCCAACGCAGTCAACAAGGCTCCCTGAGAGCCTCACTTGCAAGTGTCCCAGGGAAAGACCCAGGAAACGGACCCAGCGTCACTTAAGTCCCAAGGCAAGCTGAGAGTTTGGAAGAAATCTTTTACTTTGTTAAATTCCAAATTAACCTTCTTTGACAATAGTTGGAGGAAGCAGACAGATTTCCAGTGGGCTTTGGGTTGTATAAAATCAAAGGTCTCCACAGTTTAGCCTGGGAAGATTATTAAAGGTTCTTCTGTAGCAGAAACAATTGTCCTGAAGTGCAAGTAAAGGCATTTTTTTCCCTGTTAATTAGGTTAGCTCTTTCAAACAACCTTTTTAAAAGAATTTAAGTATTGTAGGAGTTTTTGTATTCCTTTCATGTAGAAGTCCTAAGAGTGGCAGAATCAAAAGGGGCAGCAAGAAGACGAAGGGAAATGTCTGGAAGGCATTCCAGAGCAGGGAAGCCATCGCTGTGGCCAAAGTGGGAAGCAGCCAGGTGGCCAAATCTTGGGCCAAATCTTTTTCTAGTTACTCTGTAAATCACCCTCCACCAGATTGATCCAGCAGGTTTTTAAAAAACCTTTATTGATAACCTGTAGGGAACCTCAAACTGAATTGGACCAGTGGCTCTTCGTTTGGGGAGGGTCATTATACAAGGACCTTTCGGTCCGACACATGGAGATGCAGTTGCTCTTCATTTGCCCAACACATTTAATCCAGGCACCTAAGTCAGTTAGGAATTTTGCACTTAAATCTCATAACAAACTGAATTTTGTCCCCATACTCTCTTATTGTGTATGATATCATGTGCCTCCTGGTCATTTTGTGGCCCATTTTCTGCAGTCTATTGAATGATTTGTTTGCCTAGCCATTTAGAATGAAAGTCACAAAATCATTTTTAGAAAGGTTACTGATGTCTCTAAAATCTCCAAGTGTTGCCAGGAAGTCCTTGGTTGTTGATACTGGCAATGAGATGAAGGTATGAAAGCCATTTCATATTTAAAGTCGGCTCTGTAGTTATAGCTTTGAGCCTACTGACATGTCCTCTCCCCTTCACCAAAACCAAAACACAAACGCACAAACACAAAACATATGGTGAAAACTCTGTCAGGTCCTTGCTAGTGGGGTAAGTGTGCTGATGAAGGGCTCACTTGGTCTTTTTAGTCGGTGCACTTGGGGAATTTAAGGTTGGCTGGGGTTGATGTGAGGACAGAGGTTTGTAGTCTGACTTCTCAGTATCCAGCACAGCAACACATTCATTTGAAATTGTGTTTGATGCCATCCCTAGGTTTAATGTTATAAAATACCACAGAAATAAGAAAAACTTCAAATTTTGAAACCACCCTAACAATGATGAACTCAATAACTAAAAATATATATATCTATATATATCTATATATATATCTTTATAAGCTTAGCTATATCTGTCAGACTCTTTGCAAATAAACATCCTTGAACACTTTACTTTCTGTAGCACAGAAAATATTTTAGGACTGGTGTATATAGGTAGTGTTAGGGAATAGACCACTCTCAAAAACATTGTCGTAGTTTTATTGTCCAGAAGCACTTTTTAAAGCTCCTTGTCGGTGAGTATATGGAATTACTGGTAAGTATCCACAAAGCTTCCAGAATAGAGGTGAAAAATATATATCCAATGTGTGGTTCAAATTGGAATCTGCTGATAAGTAACAGATGATGAACATTAATTGGATAAAATTTTAGTGGCTGTGAACCTGTCACATTCAGTTAATATTATCCTAGATTAGCAAATGAGGAAACCAGGCGAAAGAATAAAGTATCTATCAAGGTAAAACAGTGACACTGGCAGAATTTAAACTCAGGTAATAGGGCTCTAAACTTCACCTCCTTACTACCACAATGGACTGCCTGTCTCCAAAAGGGACACATCAACAAAGGAAACAATGAGCAGTGTGAAAAGGCAGCCTACAGAGTGGGGAGAATATATTTGTGAACCGTGTATCTGATAAGCGGTTAATTTCCAAAATATATAACGAATTCCTACAACTCAATAGGAAAAATACAAATAACCCAATTTAAAAACGGGCAAAGGACTTGAACAGACATTTCTCCAAAGGAGACATACAAAAATGGCCAAGAGGTATGTGAAAAGGTGTTTAATATTACTAATCATCAGGGAAATGCAAATCTAAACTACAATGAAATATCAGCTCACATCTGTTAGGATAGCTGTTATGAAAAAAACCACAAAAGACAAGTGTTGGAGATCATGTGGAGGAGAAAAGGGAGCCCTTGCATTGTGCACTGTTGGTGGGAGTGTAAAATGCCACAGTTATGGAAAACAGCTGGAGCTGTTCAAAAAATGAAAAATAGAATTACACGATCTAGCAATCTCATTTATAGGTATATATCCAAAAGAAGCGAAAACAGGATCTTGAAGAGATATTTGCACTCCCATGTTTGTTGCGGCATTATTCATAATAGCCAAGATATAGAAACAACCCACCTGTCCATCAACAGAGGAATGGATAAAGAAAATGTGATATATACGTACAATGGAATATTGTTCGGCTTAAAAAGAGAAGGAAATCCTGCCATTTGTGACAACACAGATGAACCTGGAGGACATTATTCTAAGTGAAATAAGCCAGTCACAGGACAAATATTGCATAACTCCATTTATTTGAGATATCTATAAATATAGTCAATCTCGTAGAACAGAGAATACAATAGTGGTTGCCAGGGGCTGCAGGGTAGGGAACATGGGGAATTGCTGTTCAGTGGGTATGAAAGTTTCAGATATGCAAGATGAGTAAGTTCTAGAGAACTGCTGAACAATGTAGTGTCTGTAGTTAACACTATGGTATTGTGTACTTGAAAATCCGTTAAGAGGGTAGATTTTACCACAAAAAACAAAGCAAAACAAAAAGGACATGAGGAAACTTTGTGAGGTGCTAGATATATCTATCCTTGATTGTGGGGATAGTATCATAGATGTTTGCGTATGTCCAAATTCATCAAATTACACACACTAAATACGTGCAGTTCTTTGTATATCAATTTTACCTCAGTTAATCTGTTTAAATTTTAATAAACTAAACAAAGGACACACCAGAACAAGGACAAGGATGTTTATTGTTATTACAGCTTCAGTTTTAGACACCAAAAATGAAAACCCTCGAATGTACATACACAGAAAAATGATTGAATAAATTGTTGAAAAAAATTGCACCGAGAGAAATTATTGAAGATGTAGTGGAGAGGAAAGCAGTAAATATTATATAGTAAAAGCTCTCATAATTTTAAAATTAATTGTATTCTAATGATAATTTTTTTGAGGTGATACTCAACATATTTTAGAATAGCTAACACAGTTGAAATATTCTCCATTGCCCTTCCAATACATTTATCTAATGTTATAAATTGGTCCCCAGTCTGGCTGACGTGGTGAAACCTCATCTCCACCAAAAATACAAAAAATTAGCTGGGCTTGGTGGCACACACCTGTATCCCAGCTACTTGGGAAGCTAAGGTGAGAGGATCACCTGAGCCTGGGAGGTGGAGGTTACAGTGAGGTGAGATCACACCACTGCCCTCCAGCTTGGGTGACAGAGTGAGACCCTGTCTCAAAAAGAAAAAAAAGAGAGTCTAAGCTATATGCGAAAGTGCACACACCTGATGTCACAATTCCATCACTATGGTACCAGGTGGCCAGAGGAGTGTGACTGATGGTGGTGACCACAGGATTGCTGTCGCTAGGGTAGATGGTTCCTAGAATACCCAGACTTAGCTTTAAAACCACTGTAAAAGTTCACCCGACTAATAATCATTAATGCAGCCTTAGAAATATAAACCTAAGAAATATTCAAAATTTAAAATTAAAAAGGCCACTGGAGAATTGGGCTCTCAGGTCTTGGCTCCAGGGAGGCTTCTGGGCAGCAAGCGCCGGAGGCAGCTGGAGGGATAGGGAGGCGTCTGTCCACTGGTGGTGAAAACCAGCTCAGGGGAGCAAGCACAGGAGCCTGAGCCTTGCCGTCCGTCTGTTCCCAGCCTCAAGACCGCATGGCGTTACCTTTCCTACCTAGATGTTCTTCCCCACGGAAACTGTACTTGATCCTCTCTTTAGCCTATTTTAGCCACTTGCACATGAATGTCAGGGGATGGAGGAAAGGAAGCCAGAGGAGGCATGGGAGTTAATTTTTTTTATTTTTTTATTATTATTTTTTTGAGACGGAGTCTCACTCTGTCTCCCAGGCTGGAGTGCGGTGGCACAATCTTGGCTCACTGCAAGCTCTGCCTCCCAGGTTCAAGCGATTCTCCTGCCTCAGCCTCCCGAGTAGCTGGGGACTACAGGCGCGTGCCACAACGCCCGGCTAATCTTTGTATTTTTAGTAGAGACGGGGTTTCACCATGTTGGCCAGCACAGTCTCGATCTCTTGACCTCGTGATCCACCCGCCTCAGCCTCCCTAAGTGCTGGGATTACAGGCATGAGCCACCGCGCCCGGCCAGCATGGGCGTTAATTAATATGCAAGTCACTTTTTCTCCCATACTCATCCCAGGCCAGCCCCTCCTCCCACATCGGCTTCCCTGACAGTCCAGGAAGAATGGCTAACAGATACATATAAAAGGGAAGTTGCTTTTCCTTTCAGCTGTTTACATGCATGGTTGGATGTTATACAGAGCTATGAAACTAAAATTGTAGAGACACCTTTCAAAGATGCTTCTGGGCTTCCGGAGGCTCCTTTTTTTTTTAATTTTGCAGATTTCTATTCTAAGAACAGATTGTTGTCATATACTGAACTATGGGCTGTGTTTCTAAAATAAGATTATATCAGAATGATCTGACATAAAAATGAGGTATTTATTTGAGAATATATCAGCTGCTTCCCAAGAATTCATAACAGCTCTGGGGAAAGTCCAGAGGCTACTCAAGGAGATCAAGTCAGTTTAGGTTGTACTTGATTAGTCACAGTTAACCCGCTTCTTGAAAACTATTCTTGGCCAGGCGCGGTGGCTCATGCCTGTAATCCCAGCCCTTTGGGAGGCCGAGGCGGGCGGATCACGGAGTCAGGAGATCGAGACCATCCTGGCTAACAGGGTGAAACCCCGTCTCTACTAAAAATACAAAAAAAATAGCCAAGCATGGTAGCGGGCGCCTGTAGTCCCAGCTACTTGGGAGGCTGAGGCAGGAGACTGGCGTGATCCTGGGAGGCGGAGCTTGCAGTGAGCTGAGATCGCACCACTGCACTCCAGCCTGGGCAAGAGCAAGACTCCGTCTCAAAAAACAAACAAACAAACAAACAAAAACTATACTTTTGGGAAAAACAGGCAAATTTCAGTTTTTAAAAAGTCAAAGTATTTGTTTTAAACAATGAAATAATCGGCCGGGCGGGGTGGCTCACACCTGTAATCCCAGCACTTTAGGAGGCCAAGGCAAGCGGATCACGAGTTCAGGAGTTCAAGACCAGCCTGGCCAACATGGTGAAACCCCATCTCTACTAAAAATACAAAAAATTAGCCAGGCGTGATGGCACGCGCCTGTAATCCCAGTAATCCCAGCTACTCGGGAGACTGAGGCAAGAGAATGGCTTGACCCTGGGAGGCGGAGGTTGCAGTGAGCCAAGATTGTGCCACTGCACTCCAGCCTGGGCAACAGAGTGAGACTCTCTCAAAAAAAAAAGAAAGAGAGAGAGACAAAGAAAGAAAGAGAAGAAGAAAGAAGAAGGAGGAGGAGGAGGGAAGGAAGGAAGGAGAAAGGAAGGAAGGAAAGAAAGAAAGAAAGAGAAAAAGAAAGAAAGAAAAGAGAAGAGAAGAAAAGAAATAATCTAGGCCAGGTGTGGTGGCTCATGCTTATAATCCCAGCACTTTGGGAGGCCAAGGCGGTGGGGAAGATTGCTTGAGCCCAGGAGTTTGAGACCAGCCTGGGCAACAAAGTGAGACCCTGTGTCTATGAAAAATACAAAAATTACTCAGGTGTGGTGGTGCACATCTGCAGTCGCAGCTACTCAGGACCCCGAAGCAGGAGGATCTCTCAAGCTCGGGAGGTCGAGGCTGCAGTAAGCCGTGATCACGCCACTGCACTCCAAGCCTGGAAGGCAGAGCATGTCTCAAACAATAAAAATAAAAGAAATACTTCTATTTATATCTTGGAGTCAAATGTTAAAACCAGTTTTCTAAAATCTTTTGCATTTGTTAATTGGTTTACATGAAATTATAAGAACAATGAGTTTTAATTAATGTAACATCCTCATTTAGTTAACATTAGCTGTAGAATCCTGCCCTATCAGAGAAGCAATGCAGACTGGCATGTTACACAGAAAATTTTGACAAAAGTGAGGAGAAACTGAGTCAACCCTGAGTTGAAATTAACTGAAGTCACTTCCATTTCTTGAGCATTTTTGCTTCACTGTGTTCTCATAAATGTGTGTTGTATGCACTTAGGAGGTATAAATGTGTCACAGGAAAAGGTTGGGAACAGTTTCAGGATATGGTCAAGAGTGTGCTAGGTCCTTAGGCTTCAGCTCACAGCACTGCCTGATGTTACATTGCACCCGGATTCTGCAGAGGAATAGAGGGCTGCAGCAGTCCACGTGGTTTTTACTCATTTGAATATTCTCAGTTGAATGTATACTAGTAGAAACTATTCTATATGAACCAAGATCACAAGCAGACCCGTCTTGCATCATGTAGAGCAGGGATGTCCAATCTTTTGACTTCCCTAGGCCACATTGGAAGAATTGTCTTCAGCCACACATAAAATACACTAACACTAATGATAGCTGATGAGCTAAAAAGTCACAAAAAAAATCTCATATTTTTTTTTTTTTTGAGACAGAGTCTCACTCTGTTGCCCAGGCTGGAGTGCAGTGGCACGAGCTTGGCTCACTGCAACCTCCAACTCCTGGGTTCAAGCAATTCTCCTGTCTCAGCCTCCTGAGTAGCTGGGATTACAGACATGCACCACCACGCCTGGCTAATTTTTTGTATTTTTAGTAGAGACGGAGTTTCACCACGTTGGTCAAGCTGGTCTCGAACTCCTAACCTCAGGTGATCCACACGCCTCAGCCTCCCAAAGTGCTGGGATTACAGGCATGAGCCACCACACCCGGCCAAAATCTCATAATGTTTTAAGCAAGTTTACGAATTTGTGTTGGGCTGCATTCAAAGCCATCCTGGGCCACATGTGGGGCAGGTTAGACAAGCTTAATGTAGAGCAATGCTTCTCAACAGAACTTTCTGCACTGTTCAGTATCATTGCTACTAGCCACATGAGACTATGGGTTATTTGAAATGTGGCTTTTGTGTGTCTGAAGAGCAGATTTTAAAATTTTATCTAATTTTAATTAGTCACGTGTGGCTAGCAGTTACCATATTGGACAAGGCAGGTATAGAGTTTTGACTTAAGTAACAACTATATTTGGTCATTGGAAATGCCACCTCACAGGGAGCCTGGTGACAATGTTCCTCCTAATATTGAGGAGAACTGGCCAGGCACAGTGGCTCACGTCTGTAATCCCAGCACTTTGGGAGGCCGAGGCAGGCAGATCACAAGGTCAGGGGTTCGAGACCAGCCTGGCCAACATGGTGAAACCCTGTCTCTAATAAAATACAAAAATTAGCTGGGCATGGTGGCGCACGCCTGTAATCCCAGCTACCTGGGAGGCTGAGGCAGGAGAATTGCTTGAACCCGGGAGGTGGAGGTTGCAGTGAGTCGAGATCATGCTACTGCACTCCAACCTGGGTGACAGAGCAGGACACCATCTCAGAAAAAAATAAAAATAAAAAAATATGAAGAACCAAAACCCACAACATGTATTTGGGGGAGAATTTATGGATTTGAACACCGCATCTTTAGGGAGAAATTAGTCCTCAGACACTTGCACAAAAGCAAATGCATGATTTGCTTTAGGAATAGTAGTTGGAAAAGGGGATGCAAATGAATTGAAGACAATAAGGCCGGCTGTAATTTTCAATGGCAACAAGTACTTAAGTAAAATGAAATAAAACCAATGAAAACAAGGTCAGTATCACTCTTAAAAAGCCTCCCAGGTATTGGTTGAAAAGTACAGATTAGAGGCTTATCTTCTGCCTATTCTGCGGATGGCCACAGTGCCTTATCATAGGGCTGCACACTTAACAGGACAGAGTAGAAGGTTTTGCTTGAAGTCCCCAGTGAGTTGCCAGACTTGGATTTCACACTCCTTATAAGGAACTGCTAGGTAACTGATGGGTGTGGGTGTGTGGAGAGTGGGCCTACATTTAAAATAAAAAATCTTTATGTAATAGGATTTCTCATCCTTTAGGCAAGTCACTTTTCTGCTTACTACAACCCTAGCCACAGGCAGATGTTCAATACATGCTTCTTTTTGATGAGGAAGAGAATGAAAATCTAATACCCTTAAAAAATGGTTTTCATTGGTATTATTTGCTTCTTGTAATTATTAGCTCTGTATTTACCTGAATGGTCCTACTTTATGTACGTGCATGTCAAAATCAATTAGGCACCACATTTTGTGTGACATTTGTCAATTTACGTAATATTGATACAGCTATGCATTAAGTTGTGGTGTTTAAAAGCCATTCTTCATTAAATAGGAAATCAGACTTTTTTGTTCCAAAAGCTCACAATGAAGTTTATAAGCAAATAAAAATAAAAATTTCTAAATTTTTTTAAAATGATGGTTTTGCTCATTTTTCTGGACTTAGAGAATTTCATTAGCATGGATTTTGAGGGACTAGCTACCCTTAGTTCATGGTAATACCATTTTATCAGCTCAGAGAACATAGACAACAACTTGCTGAGGTTTCTTCTATTTCATAATGGGGTAGATTCCTTTTTTAACCCGGGGTATTGTCTCTGACTGCTGTCTGTTGTAGGCTCATCTCATATGGTTGATGATGCCAGCCCCAATCATGTCCTCCAACTAAGATGTGTCGTTTGCAAGGTTTGCCCTCCGCCCTTACTGCTGAGGGGACAGAAGTTCCAATGAGCCGAGTGCCTGATTGACTCCGACAGCCCACAGTGGGGACTGCACAGTGCTCTGCAACCCCATCCCTGATACACTCCTTTACTGTCACCCTGCAGGCGTTCTCTTCTGTCACCCTCCTTCTCAGGGATAGAGGAAGCCATGACGCAGGCCCTATCTTGCCCTAGAACAGCCCTCATGTTATTAATGTGACCGCACCTCCGTTACTGTCATTTGGCTTAATGGTGGTGACAGCCTTAAATGGGAAACCTGAAAAAGTACATGGAATATCATCTCTGCCTAAGCCCTAAGCTGTGCAACTCCCCGTGGGTGGTACATTTCAGGCGAGAGGAGGAGGAGGTGGAAGAGAAGAAAACTGCTTTTCTTTCTGTCCCTTTGTTTTCTTTTAATTTAGAGTTTTGAGCCTGTTGGGTAAAAGCTATGCCTCATGCTGTACTTTGTGCAATATCTCACGTACTTCTTGTTCTCAGCAAAATGCAAAATAATGATCTGCCGTTCCATTTACAGAAGGATTTCTAGATTTGGAGAGAAATACCTGTTCGTGTTGAAATGGCAAGGAAAAGGGGTACATCATTAGCTTGACAGTTCTCCAGCTCTCAAGTCTCAAGTCTCCCCTAAGAAATCCCAAAGGCCATAAAGCCCCATGCCTAGTCTGAGCAAGTGGAGTCTGTCTTCTTATACCCTTGTTGAAAGAAAGGGAGAGGTCAGTGCTTGAAATCTACCAGATGAGAATATTAAAATAGGAAACTGTAAAAGAATATAAAGCATAGCAAAAATTGTCTTGATCATAAAAGAATAGCTCTCCATATTTTCTTAACATTTCTGTTTTGATTCAAAAAAGAAACTGACTCATCACAAGAAACAGTTTGCTCTTGCACACAGAGTTGTAGCAGCCAGGCTTGATCCCTGGGAGTAGGGACCGCAGGAGTGTGAGCTCCTGCAGCAGGGCCTTGTCGGTTTCCAGGACCTGTGTTAGGTTTTTGCTGTGAGGGATGTCGCCTTTGAATTTGGGAACAGCTAATATCCAGAATCAATTTTTTAAAATCTGAATGGCAGAGAGAATTTCCCACAAGTGTTTAGTGTATGTGACAAAATATAAAGTGAGTTGTCTATTTAATAAGAAATTCTTTTGCTAAACGGACCTCAAAAGAAATGCTTGAAGCTCCCAGCACTCACTCTGCCCTTCAGGGACAGAATTTGCCCTTCACCCACAGCAGGCCTTTGTGTGTGTGCTTGCTGAATGAATCCATGAGCCTATGCAGTTTTCTTCTACCAGTTTTCATCTGTGAAATCCCATTCATCCTGCAAGACCCATTTCAAACGCAGCTTTGAATCCAAAAATGACTTTCTGTGGAAATGAATGGTGCGTGCACATGTGTGTTTGTTCCAGCCTTCTGTCAGCTCTTGGAGGCAGGGACCTGGCCCTATTCCCATGCGTATCTCTGGAATGCTGAGCCCACAGTGCAGGTAATACCTTGCAGAGTGAAAGAGGGCATTTGAGATCCCCTGTGAGACTCACTCAGAGTGGACGTGCCGCACGACCTCTTGCTGGTGACTGGACCTTTCTGTGTGGTGGCTTCTCCAAAGAGGGGACACCAAGCCCTTGGTGCAGGGCCATGACGAGGACTAAAGGAGGTTTGTATGAAGGGGCCTAATGCAGGGTTTGAATGCAGTAGATGCTTCTAACGTACCAGCTCCTAGTTCTTGCTCTTTTTCCATCGTTTCGCTTAAAGCTCTTACCTAGAACTTCACCACCATTGAGGATCACAGAACCATTTTTTCTTCCCAATGAAGAAATAGTTTCAAAACAATTCTGAAGATCTCAAGTCTCAAAGAGGTTATGTGCCTTAAGGCCCTCGGCTTGTCAGAGGGCAGACCTCCGTGGAACATGGTCTATTGCAAAGGACCAGCTTTCTTCAGTATCTGAAATATGTTTTTGTTATACTATCCTTGAATTGTGTTTTTGATTTTCTGTTCTAGTCTGTGCTTTCATCTTTGTTTTAAATTTGAATTTGAGTTCAAGGCTCTTCATCATCATGTCTGATTGAAATATAAGATGACAAATCTAGGGAAAATCAGGTTGCCACATAATCTAGCACAGTTATTTGCACATGTATGCTTACAATATAAGTACCTCTCTAACCCTACAGCATACTAGAGTTTGTAAGAGAAAAAACAAGCAGAGCTGACTGTGTTTTGGACTGGTAATGAAATGGTATCAAGGAGTCTTCCAGCTGACAGCCTCATAGGCCTTCCTGCAGTCACCATTGTGTCCCCCGCTGCCTACGAGGTTTCTTCTTCCACAGCCCACCCTGTGTAAATGCCTGGCCTTCCTTCTGACAGCTGTGTGCTGTGTGTTCAGACCTGTACTCCTTCAAAATACCTCAGAAAATATGGAAGTATTTCTAAGGCCTTCCATTCAAAGAAGAGGCATAGGCGCTCTGTAATTGTTTAGTAACTTTTTTTTGTTTATACTTCTCATGTCTTATGGCAATAAATCTATTTTAATGCTTTTGTACAGCTTGGCTAGCCAATGGTTCAGTTATCTGTTGCTTTGCAAGAAACTTTGTGGATTGTTGATCATTCTCCCTCTTGGTTCTGTGAGTGGGCAGTTCTCCCTCGGGTCTCTCTTGGGGCTGCAGTCCGATGACGTTAGGGCTGGACTCACGGGAATGCCCAGTGGGGCTGTATGCCCAAGACGGCTTTTTCACGTGCAGCTTGGCGCCTCAGCTGGGTGGCCGGGCCAGCTGGGGCCGTCTCCTACGTGACTAACGCACTTCCTCATAGGAAGGCCTCTCCAGGCGGTTGCGCCTCTCCCACGGCAAGCTTTCCCAGAGGCGCAGGTGGCAGCAGCAAGGCTTCTGATGAGCAAGTCTCAGAAAGCCAGTGGCTTCGCTTCTCCTACGTTCACAGAGAGGGGGCTACACGGGCAAATCATAGCAGGTTTTGCCCACGAGGGCATGGTGGGAGTGAGGGGAGCTGGAAGGAGATGTCATTTTTGATTAGCTACCACAGCCGGAAAAACCAACTGTATATATTTTCCCATTTTATAACGTTTGCACGTTTATTAATATGTCTAATTTTATAGTTACTCTCAGAATTTTTGAGGTCTCTTTTATCTCACTTCCTGCTTTGCATACGTTTTTAGGACTGTGTGGGTAATATCCCAAAAGTTGGTTAAATGAGCCTTGAGTTGCTGACAGAGGCTTCTGTTACCGTCTCTAAGTGAGTGTTCAGTGCCGTCTTTAGAGGAGTATCTTTCCTTTCCTTTGTCCAGTGAGAACACAGCGGAGTATTCAGAGCTTGCCTCTGGGAAATGCCTCCTCCCTGCTCTCCAGCTAGCGTTGAGGAGGTGGCTGGAGGAGGGAAGCCCTCTGTGTCCTGGGGCTGGCCGCCAGTTCCCTCGTGACCTTGGGCCAGTGATCACACATGCTCGGCCTCGGTTTCCTCTCTTTGAATATATCAATCAACTTGTTAGCTTTATTAATGTCCTTTATCTTCTCTTCTCTTTGCATTGGCCCTCTGTTTAAAATTGGTCTTTCTAGTCCATAAGCAGGTGTAAGAGATAAGCTGCTGTTTCGCAGCAGGCTCCTGGGAGCACAGGTTGTGTTACTGAGGCAGAATCGTTAGTCTTCCTAACATCCCTGCAGGGACAGTTCTCCTGACAGGAATTGATAAGGGCACATTATGTAAAATCTGGAGGGCAAGCCTTTCCCTTTTAGGTCAACACTCACCCGCAAGCTAAAAAGGCTAATCAACAGAAGCATTTTCTGTGTTCATTCCAGAGAATTTCCCAGGGGCACAATAAATCTAGCCTGCCTGTTTACAGGAACATTGTTATTTAACAAGCTAGTTTCCAAGCTTAAGAGTTTTCGGTTTCATCAAATCTAACCCAGCTTGCTAAATGCCTGACATTCATTATTGTCTGCTCCGGTTCCTCTGTGTATTATAAGATAATTTTGCATACTTAATATAAAGATAGTTTTTACACACAGGACTAACCTTAAATTTATTAGAAAACTATTCTAAACTCTTGGATCCCTTTCTCTTTTTTTTCTTAACCATTTACCTATGATTCCATCCTGTCTTTAACCTGCCCACTAGTACTTCTAGCTAGCTAGTTTATCTGATTTACACATTCAGTAATTTATTTGTTCATCCATCTAATGTTATTTTGAGCCTCTGCTCTGGGCTATATAAATGTGATATTAGAAAGAGGAAAGGGACAGGCACAGTGGCTCACGCCTGTAATCCCAGCACTTTGGGAGGCTGGGCGGTGGGGGGCGGGGTGGTGGATTGCCTGAGGTCAGGAGTTCGAGACCAGTCTGGCCAACATGGTGAGTCTGGCCAACATGGTGAAACCCCATCTGTACTAAAAATACAAAAAAATTAGCCAGACGTGGTGGTGGGCACTTATAATCCCACCTACTCGGGAGGCTGAGGCAGGAGAATCACTTGAACCAGGGAGGTGGAGGTTGCAGTGAGCTGAGATCGCGCCACTGCACTCCAGCCTGGGCAACAGAGTGAGACTCTGTCTCAAAAAAAAAAAAAAAAAAAAAAAAAAAGAAAGAAAGAAAGAAAGACAGGGGAAAGGATATCGTTCTGCCTTCAAGATGCTGGAGTCTAGTGAGGAGGCACAGACCCTTGGCAGGTGGAACAGGGCAGCGGGTGATGCGGTGTCTGTAAGGTGCCTGTCTGATTTGGCTTCAAGGGACTGATAAGTCGCCTCAGCAGTCACATCGTGGGGTGTGGGGTTTAACCTTGACCACAGTAGGAAGGATGAACTTGGGATTGCATTACTTCTTCTGGAATCTGGACCTTAGTGCAGAACCTTGGGTAGTGGGAGTTTAGGATAAATTATTTGTGGCTCAGGGATTGCTGAGATACATGTTTTCTAAATTTTGATAAACACTGCCAAATCTCCCAGAGATGTCACGTCTAACACACACTCCCTTCAATAGTATCTCAGTAAATGTTTTCCCAGGCCCTCCCTAGAGTTTTGCCAGTGTGATGGATGAAATAAACAGTATCTCTCTAAATTAAGGAAGCCAGCCCTTTGTAGCTGTGTTGAAATATTTTTCCTGTTTGTTGTTTGTTTGACTGTTGTGTCCTGCATAGAAAGAGACCATGCCCCTTTGAGATTACTCACACATTCGCTGTTCACCCTCGCTTTCTCTTATGGCTTCATTTTTACATTTGGAAAACTTGATTCATCTGAAATTAATTTTGGTATAAGGAGTGAGATCGGAATCTGGCTTTATTTTTCTCAGATGGTTACCTAGTTGCATGAAACACATTTATTAAGCAATCTCTTTTCTTGAAATGCTGCCTTTATAATAATATAATATACCTTTATTGTATACCTTTATAGAAAATGAAATTCCCTTATATATTTTTAATTTGTTGTTGTGATCCATTGAGCTGTGTCGATTATTTCTTCTCCAGTTCCACACTTTTAATATGGAAGCTTCAGAATGTGAAGATTTATTATCTGTCTGCTAGGGCCAGTTTCTGCTCATTATTACTCTTTTCAGATTTTGCCTGTGCCAAAACCTTTCTTTTCAAAGTTTTGCAAACTTTGTTAGCAGTAGCAAAATCTTTCTCTTATGTCCCCAGAACTGATCTTTAAGGGAAGTTTCAACAAACTTAAAACTTGGGCTATTTTGTTTAGAGGGTTCATTTTCTTAAGAAATACGGGAACCCAGTGGATACCAGCGCCATTCATGATCTAACTGTTTCATTCTCTTGGTTTATTTTTTCCTTCCCTTTCTTCCTTTCCATAAATATTTATTTGACATTATGTGGTAGACACTGTGCTTGACTTGGGGATTGAAAGGAGAACTCAACAGTCCTGATTCATTTATTCATTTATATTATAGTGAGCTTAGCCTTGGCCTCTAGAACGCTGAGAGCCACACAGGCATGCGTGGACCAGTATTAGAGCTCACATGTAGATTTTATATGAAGCCACAACACTGAAAAGGGAAAGAAGCCTCCTCAGCTCCTGTTTCTGTATTTTATCCTAAGCTTTTGCACAACCATTGAGCAGAGTTAGCCACCTCCTAACTGACCAGTTATTTTTAATGCCCAGAAAATTACAAAGAGGGAATTAGGAGCTATTGCCGCTGATTTTTTCCTTTTGAGAGAGGGTCTCACTCTGTCACCCATGCTGAGTGCAATGGCACAAAACATGACTATAACTTTGAACTTATAGGCTCAAACGATCATTCCACCTCAGCCTCTGAGTAGCTGGGATTATAGGTGCATACTACCACGCCCAGCTGATTTTTTTTTTTTTTTTTTGAGACAGAATCTTAATCTATCACCCAAGCTGGAGTGCAGTGGTGTGATCTCAGCTCACTGCAACCTCTCTGCCTCCTGAGCTCAAGCCATCCTCCCACCTCAGCCTCCCAAGTAGCTGGGACTACTGGCATGCACCACCACACCCGGCTAATTTTTGTACTTTTTGTAGAGATAAGGTCTTGCTATGTTGTCCAGGCTGGTCTGGAACTCCTGGGCTGAAGCAATCTGCCTACCTTGGCCTCTCAAAATGCTGGAATTACAGGCATGAACCACTGCGTCCAGCCTTAATTTTTAAAATGTTTTGCAGGGACAGGGTCTCACTGTGTTGCCCAGGCTGGTCTTAAACTCCTGACCTCAAGCTACCCTCTTGCCATGTCCTCCCAAAGCCTCCCAGAGTGCTGGGATTACAGGCATGAGCCACCATGCCCAGCCAATTCTTCTTTAAAATGTTTTTAAAACAAATTTTTTACACACTGAGATAATTTTTAAGGGAATATACACACCCAAGGAGCTCATAGAGAGTTGAGAACTGTATTAAAAGCTCCCACATAGTGGCAAGGGAAAGAAATACTTCCCCTGACATAGCACACATGGGCCACGTTGGAGCCAGCAAGGCCCAATGTGAAAGTGAGACAGGAAGCAAGTTACCTTCTTCCAGGGAGGGCTGCTTTTACTTGAACAGACAGTTTTACTGTTTTGCCCTTGTTGCCTTTTGTGATGGTTATGACCTTATCAAAACCATAAATAATTCATTTTTTTCAGTTGATTTCTTGCTCATAAAGTGCCATTTGCTTTGACAGTTAAATGACTTCTAATATTAGCCACAAACAGCATGTCTGGTCTGAGTCTCGCTCAACATCGATGGGTTGAATTTTCTCGTGTCCAGGAATGTTCCTGTGTCAGTCAGAAATTGCTCTTTCCACCTTTTACATTTTATATACTACATAATTTATCTTATTTGTCTGAAATAAATGTCTTAAGTCCAGTTCAATGGATTCTGCAGGAGAACACAGAGAACACAGAAACAACTGGAAGCATAGGCATCTTTGAGTACCCACGTGAATGAAACTGGAACTGAGTGAAGACGCGCTCAGGCTCAGTCTGAGTATCTTTCTGAGTGCTCAGGGTGACGGTGGCTCTTGTGGGTCCTTGTGTGCTGGGGGCCATCCCGCTGTCTTCCTGGTTGTCTCAGGTTAGGGCGGCCCCTGGAAAGAGCCTGCAGATCTCCTTCTCCAGGTTCCTGACAGCTCGGTCTCCAGCCAGACGGCCTCGTTATTTTTTATTAAACATACCTTACCCCTTCAGTTAATTTGTTGTTGTGAAAGACAAATTATATTTTTTAATGGATCAAAAACACCAGAATACTTTCCAGACATTCCGGGGTATTATTTTCTGATGTGACATTTGACTTACATAAAAGCAGCCTGTTTTTTTTCTGCATAAATATACAGTAAGGACAGCTTTTGTGATATAGTAAATAAAATCCCACACAAATTCCACATGACATACTGTGTGGGGAGTTCACATAATAAAATGAAGAATGCTGCCTATTTGTTTTCCAGTGAGTGTGGAGTTTTCATCCTTCCCTGCATCTGCCAAAGCCATGTTCAAATACAGAAATGATGTATTCAAGCAGACTGATTTAAAATGGACATTTTTCTTCATAAACAAAACACACTGTTTATTGCAACCATCCTTTATGTTTCAGTAAGGATGAAGACAAGCTGTAAATATAGTTAATGACTTAAGCTAATGCTAAATTTGTGACGGAAAAATGTGTTGAAATTTGGGTGGGTGTTGCCAGAAGGAACAAGAATGCGGGGAGCAGGACCAGGTGACATGGGGTAAAATCATGCCAGACATAAACGCAAATTTCAAAGAAAAGATTTAACAGAGAATTAATATGCTGCTATTTTTGAAAAGGAGAAGGTGCCATATCACTGAAAGAAAAAGAAAAAGTGCTTAAAGCTGCATTTACATCAAAGTTTATGTCAGCTCTATGTTTCCTTTCTTCCAAGTGCCCAAGATGAAAGTATGCCTTTATGATTGTTAATTGCAGATTTATTTCTGTCTCATTACAATCAAGGGCAGAAAGCTTCTCTTAAATAGCTTGTGTTCCCTGTCTCCTAGCACAGTGCCTGGCGATTTGAATTGATCTCAATAAAACTGGGTACATGTTTCTCTTAAACACTCTACTTCTATTTCTTTAGCTTTTCAGCTTGTCTTAACTCACCCCTCACTTTTCCACATTCACCTCGCTTTATGTGACTTTTTTCTCCAGCCAGCTTTTAATGGACCCTCTGGTTCATTTGATATTTATCATGGTGTCCAGCCCAGATCCCGCACATTGCTCGGTGCATGTCCATCTTTGCTAGGCCTCCTTGCTCCAAGCCTCCTCAGGAGAGTAGTATTCCTCTGGATGCATGTGAGAGGTTTGCAGATGTTCTACATATTTATGCACATGAATGCAGTTCACTCATTTGACCAATATTTGTTAAAATAATTTTTACAAATCAAAAATGCACTTCTTCGGAACTTGATCATATTCTAAACTCCCCTAGGGTCTTAGAGATATGGCAACTTTCCTTCCTTGTAAAAATCACTCTGGAGAAGTTAAAAGAAGCAGCCCTTTATGTTGGGAAGAGTATTATTTTGAGGTTGCAGTGGGCCTGGCAGGGTAAAATTTTTAGCAATGTGGAGTGGAATAAACTGCAGAGTTTACATTAACATTTGTAAGAATCACCAGCTGCATTCCCCATGCTCTTAGGCTTTAAATTGGTGCTGTTTGTTAATATCTTCGTGGCATTTGCTACTGTCGGTAACTGTTGAAAGAGTAATTCTCGTCTTATCAGAAGGATTGGTGTTGATTTGTGTAGCTAAAACCAAGAAAAACAGTCTATTCTTGTCCTTGAATAGTTTCCTGGTCCTGTTACGGATTGCTTATCCTGTTAAAATTCACTTGTAGATTTTCAACTCAAGCAAATTATAAAGCTTTTGGCTCACAGGAACGTTCGTGGTTTCTTGAACCTTCAAATCACAGAATTGGAAGGGTACTCTTAGTGTGTCACTCCCACAGAAGAAGAAAATTTAGCTGCAATTTTGCCTTTTATTATCAATAAATATGTTTTAATTTTAGAAAACAGTTTTACCAACAGAATATAGGTCTTTATAAAGCAAAACACTTAAAATAAATAGTAGCATACAAATGTTCACCCTCAGTACTGAGTAAGGCCAAGAAAAAAGCGTGCCAAGTATAAAGGATCTGTAGGACAGAAAGCCCCCCACGTAGCTAACTGATAAGAAAGGTGGAGATAGTGATAAGACAGACAGGAACTGGAAGCCCGTTCCTGCCAGGCCCACAACATGCCAGCACCACAAAAAAGATCCAGAAATGTGCAGAGGTCAACTTCCAGGTTCCTTCCTCTACTGCCCTTTTTCCTCTTATATGGGTGAGATCCTTTTGCAGTTGAACCCGGCCCAGATGCTTGCAGGTAACTGAGGCTGAAAAGAGCTAATAGATAACAGTGTTGACGGTAGGAAACCTGTACAATTCTCAATAAGCCCCTGCCATGGGTTAGGAACTTTGTTAAGCTCTTGAGTTACTAAGCTAAATGAGATGCACAGTCCCCACCCTCTAGGAACTTACACTCTGAATAAAGACTTGAGTGAATGAAGTTCAAAAGAAAATAAAATATTGTCTTGGAACTAGGGTACTGATTCCCGGGTTCACCCAATTCTCCTTCCTCAGCCTCCCAAGTAGCTGGGATTACAGGCACACACCACCACACCCAGCTTTTTTTTTTTTTTTTTTTTTTTTTTTTTTTTTTTTGTATTTTTAGTAGAGACGGGGTTTCACTATGTTGGCCAGACTGGTCTCAAACTCCTCACCTTGTGATCCACCCGCCTCGGCCTCCCGAAGTGCTGAGATTACAGGTGTGAGCCACCGCGCCCGGCCGGGTACAACTTTTTAATTTTGAGAAATATAAATCCTTTGAAAGATACCAGTTGAAGACAAAAGTAATACTGTATCATTGGCTAGCACCAGAATCCTTAAACAACTTTGGGAAGTTGAAGCCTATGGTTTAAAAGAACCTTTGCTTCCTAGAGAATTGGAAGGTCTACTTTACAAAGCTTCAGCAGGAAAGAAAACACAGCTCCCAAGACATTTTAAAAGACTATGTACTTTTTGTTACTTCCATGAGAGGCCATGAACCAGGAGGGCAAACTGTTCAGAGTAGCAAGTTCAGCAAAAGCTTTGTCATCATTCTGGGGGATGGGGTGTGAGTTAGGCACATTGAAGTCCAGAGACGAACATCACCCTGTGTTCTCTACCACCAAAGAGCAGCACTGCCAGCCCACTTTCTAAATTGTGCTGAGAGTACATGTGCTCTTCTCTGTCTACATCATCACTGCCTTAGTTTAGGCGTAGGTTGCAACTGAAATGCTTACCAGGGCCAGGCTGGTAACATAAATGGGTGCCTCTGCCTGGGCGAGCCTAAAGAGGGAGTGTTGTGGTTGTGACACCCCAGAGAGAGCTTGCCTCTGCCTCCTCCCCAATCAGGAATTCAAGATGCTTTAAAAACACTGTTCTAGCCAAACAACACATATCTGCCAGCCGCATCTGAGAACTTGTTGTGAGCTGAGGACTCTGTTTTTAGGCTCTTGTCATGACCTTTTGCAAGAATCACCTAAACCCTTCCTCCAGCCTCTACCTCCTGCAAACCATCGTCCATATTGCAAGCAATCAGATTTATTTATTTATTTATTTTTTGAGACAAAGGCTCGCTTTGTCGCCCAGGCTGGAGTGCAGCGGCACGGTCTGGGCTCACTGCAACATCCGCCTCCTGGGTTCAAGCGATTCTCCTGCCTCAGCCTCCCAAGTGGCTGGGATTACAGGTGCCTGCCACCACACCCAGCTAATTTTTGTGTTTTTAGTACAGATGGGGGTTTCACCATGTTGGCCAGGCTGGTCTCGAACTCCTGACCTCAGGGAATCCGCCCACCTTGGCCTCCCAAAGTGCTCGGATTATAGGCATGAGCCACCGTGCCCAGACAAGCAATCAGATTTCTAAAGCACAGATCTGGTGGTGTCATTGCCTTGTTATAAAAACCGATCCCCAGCTGGGCACGGTGGCTCACGCCTGTAATCCCAGTACTTTGGGAGGCCGAGGCGGGCGGATCACGAAGTCAGGAGATCGCGACCATCCTGGCTAACACGGTGAAACCCCGTCTCTACTAAAAATACAAAAAAATTAGCCAGGCGTGGTGGCAGGCACCTGTAGTCCCAGCTACACGGGAGGCTGAGGCAGGAGAATGGCGTGAACCCGGGAGGCAAAGCTTGCAGTGAGCCAAGATCGCACCACTGCACTCCAGCCTGGGTGACAGAGCGAGACTCTGTCTCAAAAAAAAAAAAAAAAAGAAAAGAAAAAAACCTATTGCCTACCTCCCAAGGGCAAATGCAGCCTGGTGTTTGGCTCCAAGTCTGCTTCAGCTTTGGCTCCCATCACTCCGCTTTCCTTTTGCCTCAACTTAAGATCTTGCCACATGTACACTTCCCATAACATTCCAGCTGAGAGGCTTTTGTATACGAGGGGTTTTTTTTTGTTTGTTTTGCCTAGAATGATCCTCCCTGGTGAATCTTAGCTTAAATCACCAGGCAGTTAAGCAGGCTTTTCTCTATGATTTCACCCCCACTTTGTATATTTCTGTGATTAGTCCTGAACATCCCATGTTGTACTGTTTACCTCTCTCACTGGACTTAGAAATTCTGAAGAACAGAAACAAAAAGTTTTCTCTTTCTCTGTATGTTCTTTTTTTGTTGTTATTATTATTGACTTGGTATATCTTCTTTCAGATGTATTTTCTTTTATTCTCAACACAAAGTAATTTTAACATGATCTTTCTGGGCCAAAATTTTCTTATCTGTAAAATGAAGATGTTGGACTAGGATTCAGTGCTTCTTAACTAAAGAATTCAATAGATGATGCTGGGACAAGTGTATATCTACCTGTAAAGGAATGAAGTTGGACCCCTTCCTCATACTATACACAAAAATTAACTCAAAATGGATCATAGACCTAAACATAAGAGCTAAAACTGTAAGACTTTCAGAAGAAAACACAGGAGTAAGTCTTCATGACCTTGGATTAAGGAATGGTTGCTTAGATATGACACCAAAAACATAAGTGACAAAAGAAAAAAAATAGGTACAATGAGCTTCATCAATATTTAAAACTTTTGTGCTTTAAATGATACCGTCAGTAAAGAGAACAGGCATTCTTCGTATTCCCTAATCTCCCCCCATCACAAAATAAATAAATTGAAAAGACAACCCACAGTGTGGGAGACAATGTTTGCAAATCCTATATCTGAAAAGGGTCTAATATCCAGAATATGTAAATAACTCTTATGAATCAACAAAAAAAAGACAAGCCAATTAAAAAGTGGCAAAGGACTTGAGTAGACATATCTCCAAAGGCAACATACAAATAGATAATAAGCACATGAAAAGATGCCAGTATCGTTGAATCCCATTTATGCCTAGCGTTCCACTACTGGAATGCTAAACCTGTGGGAGTTATTTATATCCTACTGCTCAAGGTCATCACCAAGGTCTGATTTTTCACACGTCTGCAATTCAAAAAATTGCAACCTCCCTCATAAATGGGTTAATCGTCAGGAAGTGCAAATCAAAATCACAATGAGATACCACTTTACGTCCACTAAGATGGCTGTAATCAAAAAGAAGAGCAATAGTAAGTGCTGGCAAGAATGTAGAGAAATTGGGACCCTCATGCGTGCTGGTGGGAATGTAAAATAGTGTCATTGCTGTGGAAAATAATTTGCAGTTCCTGAGCAGTTTGCAGGTCTATGTTAAACATAAGAGTTGTCATATGAACCAGCAATTTCATTCCTAAGGGTATATACCCAAGAGAATTGAAAACATATGTCCACACAAAATGCATACATGCATATTCACAGCATTACAGGCATACCTGAGATATTGCAGGTTCCATTCCAGAACATCATGATAAAACAAATGTTGTGTTTTGCAATAATGTGAATCACACAATTCTTTTCGTTTCTCAGTCTATATAAAAGTTATGATTACACTATAGTGTAGTCTATTAAGTGTGCAGTAGCATTACATGTAAGAAGAACAATGTACATACCTTAATTTTAAAATTTTGCTAAGAAACGCTAACAAGGTGAGTACAGGCCATTAGAAAAATGGTGCCTGTCGACTTGCTAGATACAGGGTTGCCATAAACCTTCCATTTAAGAAACTCAGTGTCTGCAAAGCTCATTAAATCAAAGCACAACAAAATGAGGTATGCCTGCATTTCCTAATAACCAAAAGATGGAAACAGCCTAATTGTTCATCAGCTGAAAAATAGACAGACAAAATGTGGTATATCCATAGTATATCCATACTATTGTTCACCCATAAAAAGTAATGAAGTATTAATACATGTGATACCACATGGGGGAACCTTGAAAACTCAGGGTAAATGAAGGAAGTGAGTAACAAAAGGCCACATATTGTATCATTCCATTTATATGAAATGTTCAGAATGAGCAAATTTGTAGAAACAGAAAGTAGACTAATGATTGCCAGGGACTAGGGAGTTGAGGGGGTGATCCTAGGGCAAGGGCGAAGTGTCTTCTGGGTTTTTAAGTATAACTGTGCAAATCCAAGGGTGCCTCTGGACTACTTGAAGACGGAATGGACAGCATAGGTGTCCTGTAATTACTTTCTGCTCCCTGGAACCAGGGAACAGGAGTGCAGAAGGGGAGGTGCAATAACACTTAAACAGTGAAACAGGATTCCAGGGGGAGAGAAAGAAAGCGCTTACTCCTGAGTCAGAGTTTGGGATGTGGTCAGGTCTGGCAGCAGACTCTGTGGGCTCTGACTCCCAGACAATCCACCAAAAACTCTAGGCAGAAGGTCTGGGCATTCCTGCCCCTTGAATAGAGGTAGCCCCAGTAAGAATGCAGAGAGGCTGACAGTCAATGTGGAGGCTCCCACCCACAGCTCCTGTTTGAGGAAGTGGCTTTGAACCCGGTTCCTCAGAGCTGTTGGGTTTCACAGCAGCACAAGGCCTCCTTTTTCCTTTTCTCCCCTCTTTCACTTTTATCCTGAGTATACACAGGAGATTTCATTTGAGGAAAACATCCCGGTTCCTAAAATATCTGAAAATCATGGAGGTGATTCAGGAATTACACATAAATGCTATGGTGCCTTCCAGTCAAGGGATACTAACAGCGTTAATGAAGAGAATTCTCTAGAGAGCAAGAACAATTCTCGGAAGAAGCTGCTTGTATTTTCAACTTAGAGTTTGTGGAAAGCTACCTGTGATGGAGAGGACCAGGCTGAGAAGGCAAAGGAAGCTGGACCCCTATTTACTTCCTCCAGCCACTCCCCAACCCAGATTACCTCCAGAGAACCACGATGGCTCTGAGGAACCCGGTTTCACAGTCACTTCCTGACAGGAGCTGTGGGTGGGAGCACCCACAATGACTGTCAAACTCTGCCTTCTTACCGGGGCCACCTCTGTGCATGGGGTGGGAAGTCCCATCCTTGTTGCCTAGAGTTTCTGGTAGATTGCTGCGGGGTCAGAGTCCAAGATTTCATAATCAGATGATGGAGACCTCTCTGATGCCTTGCACTTTGGGTTCTGTTTTCCCAAAGCTCTTCTTAATATTTGACTTTGTTTTATTTTATTCTCCAAAGTAGGTTTGCTTATAATAGAAAATTTGGATATTTTCTACAGCAGAAGATACTACCATAGTGTCTCATCAGTCAAAGATAATAGATGCGAACACTTTGATCATTCCGACCTTTTGTTCTATATATAGGTTTAAAATGTTTTATATAGTTATGATTAAACTATAAGTTAATCGTTTCTTTCACTTAACAAAATAACATACTTTTTCCTTGTTATTACAAATAGCATGTTAATGCTTAAGTAACATTAATGTAACTAATGTCACTTAAATAGTCCACAATCAATCCTCAGTTATTGGACATCCATCTGTCTAAGAGGTTTCTATTGCTAGAAATAATTCTTCAGGTTGGGCACAGTGGCTCGTACTAGTAATCCCAGCGTTATGGGAGGCTGAGGCTGGAGGATGCCTTGAGCCCAGGAGTTTGAGACAAGCCTGGGCAACATGGCAAAACAAAAAAACAAAAAATATACAAAAATTAGCTTACCAAAAATACAAAAATGGTGGCACAGGCCTGTAGTCCCAGCTACTTGGGAAGCTGAGGTAGGAGGATCACTTAGGCCCAGGAGTTTGAGACAAGCCAGGGCAACATGGTAAAACCCTGTCTCTACAAAAAAAATACAAAAACTAGCTGGGCACGGTGGAGTGTGCCCAGCTAGTCCCAGCTACTCGGAGGCTGAGGTGGGAGGATTGATTGAGCCTGGGAGGTTGAGGCTGCAGTGAGCTGTGATTGTGGCACTGTACTCCAGCCTGATTGACAGAGTGAGACCCTGTCTCAAAAAAAAGGAAAGCAATAATTCTTCAGTGGCTATCTGTCTTCAGAAGCACTGTATCCACATGGCCTTAAACAGTGCCTGGCACATACTAGGGACTCAGTATATAATCATTGGATTAATATTTATACCTGCAGCGTTTCCATATTTTTTAATTTTATTTTTGAGATGAGTTCTGGCTCTGTTGCCTAGGCTGGAGTGCAGTGGTGCAATTTCGGCTCATTGCAACCTCTGCCTCCTGGGCTCAAGCTATCCTCCCACCTCAGCCTCCTGAGTAGCTGGGACCATAGGCATGCACCACCACATCTGGCTAATTTTTGTATTTTTTATAGAGACGAAGTTTCGACATGTTGCCCAGGTTGGTCTCGAACTCATGAGCTCAAGGAATCCATCCACCTTGGCCTCCCAAAGTGTTGAGATTACGGGAGTAAGACACCACAGCTGGCCTGTTTCCATAGTCCTGAAGGCAGAATTACTGAGTTAAAGAAATGGGGTCATCTTTAGGCTGGGTGCGGTGGCTCACGCCTGTAATCCCAGCATTTTAGGAGACTGAGGCGGGTGAATCACCTGAGGTCAGGAGTTCGAGACCAGCCTGGCCAACATGGTGAAGCCCCGTCTCTACGAAAAATACAAAAAATTAGCCAGGCATGGTGACTGGTGCCTGTAATCCCAGCTAGTCCGGAGGCTGAGGCAGGAGAATTGCTTGAACCCAGGAGGTGGAGGTTGTGGTGAGCTGAGACCACACCATTGCACTCCAGCCTGGGCAACAAGAGTGAAACTCCATCTCAAAAAATGGAGTCATTTTAAATATAATAAAATGTACTCATTTAAACATCTTTTAAGTAAGAGAAGAAACCCATAGAGGAATATTGGAGTGTCTCCCAGTCCCCAAAGGCAAGAATGCATATTGGCCTTGGAAAAAGGCTGGAACAGAGAATTTGCATGACATCAGTATTCAGTTCTGCATCATTTATGTCTGCCCTCTTCACATACATATTTTATTCTTATTTGTCTGTAAAAAGGCCTTCCCTGCGCTTCTTGTCCATGTGGCAAGAAGAAAGATGACCAAGGCTTGAGGCCCGATCCACGTAATATAAGAGAAAGAATGGTTGAATCAGGAGACCACCCAGCAGGTGTCTACTACATACGTAGGCCTTTTAACCCATTTCCTGTTTGCCCTGAGAAATGTGTGCTGGCAGCGAGCTGCATTTTTTTTTTCTAAACAGGAAATGGGTAAGATATGTAAATAGAAACATCCTTAAAAAAAAAAAACAGTATCCATTCAAGAAGTCTCTCATCTTCTGGAAGCTTGTCATATTTATATGCTTAAGTCTGTATGTCTTTTATAACTTCTCTAATCCATGTCATATTTAGACTGGACTCCCCAATATAAGATTATAGAAATATTATTCTTTATTTTCTTATAGTATAGTTGTCCCTTGGTATATATGGGGGATTGTCCCAGGACCCCCTTCAGATATCAAAATCCATGGATGTTCAAGTTCCTTATATAAAATTGAATAATATTTGCATATGACCTGCACATACCCTCTGGTATATGTTAAATCATCTCTAGAGTACTTATAATATGTAATACAATGTAAATGCTCTGTATATAATTGTTATATTGTATTATTTAGGGGATAGTGACAAGAAAAAAAGTTTGTACATGTTTGGTACAGATGCACCCACATTTTTTTTTTTTTTTGAGACGGAGTCTTGCTCTGTCACCCAGGCTGGAGTGCAGTGGCACAGTCATAGAGACGGGGTTTCACCGTGTTAGCCAGGATGGTCTCGATCTCCTGACCTCGTGATCTGCCCGCCTCAGCCTCCCAAAGTGCTGGGATTATAAGCATGAGCCACCACACCTGGCCGCACCCACATATTTTTTTAAGAAATATTTCTGATCTGTTGTTAGTTGAATCCACGGATGCAGAACTCACAGATACGGAGGTCCAACTGTTCTTTCATGACTTTATTTTCTATTTTTAAATCTTTACTCCATCTGAAGTTTATTTCTTGACATGATACAAGGTAAAAATATAACTATAATTCCAGAAGACTTTCATCACACCCAAAAGGCTTTCATACCCATTAGCAGTCACTCCCCATTCCCCCTTCCCCCAGTCTCTGGCAACCACTAATCTACTTTCTGTCTCACGGATTTATCTGTTCTGAACATTTTAATGGAATAGTGCAATATATGGTCTCTTGTGTCTGGCTTCTTTCACTTAGTAGAATGTTTTCAAGGTTCATCTATGTTGTATTGTATTATGTATCAATACCTGTAGAAGTAAAGAGGAAAGCCTCATTTTTTTTTAAAGTGACAGGGTCTCACTATGTTGCCCGGTGCTCAAGTGATCCTCCCTCCTCAGCCTCTTGAGTAGCTGAGACTACAGGTGCATGCCACCTCTCCTGGCTACATTCATTTTTATGACTGAATAATATTCTATTGTATGGATATGCCACATCTTATTTATCTGTTCATCAGCTGAAGCACAGTTGTGCTGTTTTTGCTTTTTGGCTCTTATGAAATAATGCTGCTGTGAATGTTTGCATACAAGTTCCTATATGGACATATGCTTCGTGCAGCTGTATGTTGTTCCTTACGTTTTAATAAGTGTACCTTTATGTCCTGTTTTAATATTTAGCAGACCGTGTCATCACTATGCCCATTAGTTTACTTTATAAGTCTTTTTTTTTTTTCTTTGAGATGGAGTTTTGCTTTGTCACCCAGGCTGGAGTGCAGTGTTGTTATCTCGGCTCACTGAAGCCTCCATCTCCTGAGTTCAAGCGATTCTCGTGCCTCAGCCTCCTGAGTAACTGGGATTACAGGCGCGTGCCACCAGGCCCAGCTAGTTTTTGTATTTTTAGTAGAGACGGGGTTTCACCATGTTGGCCAGGCTGGTCTTGAACTCCTGACCTCAAGTGATCCACCTGCCTTGGCCTCCCAAAGTGCTGGGATTACAGGTGTGAGCCACCACACCTGGCTATAAGTGTTAATAAATCTTTTCTTTCTCACTTTATTTTTTTAATTATGATATGGAATAGTTGACATATTTTGGAGCTACACGTGCTATTTTGATACATGTATACAATGTGTCATGATCATATCAGGGTAATTGGGATATCTATAACTTCAAACATTTATCTATTGTTTGTGTTGTGATCTCACTAGATTTTTATACCAGTTGTGCTTTGGAGTTATTTGATTAACTTCACTCAAAAAATATATTTGGGACTTTTTTTGCATGTGTCAAACTTGTCAGCATCTTGAGACTAACTTGTACCTTACAGTTACTCAATCTTCTACCCAACAACCAAGCAGGTCCCACTTGTTCAAGTGTTCTTGAAGATATAAACAATGATTAATAAAAGCTGTTTATTTTTTTTTCATATAGGTCCATGCAAGGTTGGTTAAAGTTACTTCTTGAAACTATGTTTCATATTTTTCATTACTTTTGTGAAAGGAGTGTTTTTTCCATTATATTTTAAAGTAGTGTTTCTGGTATACAGTGGAAGTATCAAATTAACTCATATTCACAATTTTATGCTCATTCTTTGCAGATTGCTTATTAATTAAAGGAATTATTTATTTGATATCTTGGTAGTACTGCTTCTCTTTGAACAGAATTAAAAGTTAGTTGTTTCTAACCTTTTTTTTTCCCCTCCTCAATGATAGCTTTCTATTTGGCTGTTTCTTGTTTATTCTGAATTCAAGGCCAGTTTGAAGGTCTCATGGTTACATAAGCTAGTATTTTTGAGGTTTCTTTTGTCTTGAGTTTTTAAAGTAGTGATTTTCATACTTTGTTGCTTTGATTGGCAGGTGCGTGGATTGTACTCCGGGTGAAGGGAGTCAAACTGTTCCTGTGGCTGCCATCCTAAATCACCACACACTTGGTGACTTTAGCAATAGAAATAGTTTTACTCACAGTTTTGAAGGCTGGAACTCCAAAATCTGGCAGGGTCACACGCCCTGAGGGAGAGCCAGGGGAGAATGTGTTCCTTGTCTCTCCCAGCTTCTGGTGATGCCCTGGCATTCCTGGACGTGTGGTCATATCTCTCTAATCTTTCCCTCCCTCTTCACATCACGTTCCCCTCTTTTGTCTCGGACCAATCTTCCTCTGCCTCCCTCTTATAAGGACATTTATCATTGGACATAGGGCCCATCTGGATAATCTGGAATGATCTCTTCAGCCCCAAATCCTTAACTTACATCTATAGAGACCCTTTTTTCCAATAAGGTCACCTTCCTAGGTTCTGGGATTAGGACATATCTTATTGGAGACCACACCATACAACTTACTACAGAAGCCATCCTGCAGCTACCAGTGCATAGGATCCCTCTCTTGTGTCTCATCTTGATTTGGTACTGCTAGATGTTTTTTGGTATTTTTATATGGTGTATAAAATATTACATTTTGCACATGGATTTAGAGTTTGGTGAAAGGTATATTTTCCAAGTAATTTTCTTTGGAAATAACATGGCAAGAGACTGGCCATGTCATTTTTGCGTGTACTATAAACTAAGTGAAAAAACTGACATATCAGTCACAGTTTTCTCATGCAGAATTCATGGAAATCTAGTGGTGATGCGGTGAAAGTATAGCGACTATCTGCTCCAACTGCAGGTGCGTCGTTGCTCCTGGATATGTTCTCTCGGAAAAAACCACCCATCATTTTATTCCCATGTAATGCAGAATAGTGTTGTGCAAGTCATTCTCAATAAAGGATATGTGGGTTTTGATACCAGGAAATTGCCTTCAGGATCCTGAAAACAAGCACATTTAGTAATCTTGTAAAATTGCATTTTATAGAGCTTTGAAATTTTAAAAACTATGCTTGTATTTATTTTACTTTAGATATGTTGATAAGTAACCCTAGGACATCAGTTCCTCTCATTCAATTTTTATAGCTTGGCCATTGTGTTAAGTATGACTCCTGTGGGGGGAAAAATACAGCCACCTAAAAGTGTGTATCTCTGTTCACATCATCTTTAATATTTTTTATTTATAGTTTCACATGCAGTTATGAGAATTGTTACAGAGAAGTGCCTTGTATACTTTGTCCAATGTCCCCAAATGGTAATATTTTATAGAAGGATAACCAGGATATTAGCATTGATGTTAATCCACTGATCTTATTCAGATGTCCCCAGTTTTATTTGAATTTGTGCATATTAAGTTCTGTACAGTATCACCTGCATTGGTTCACGTATCTACTATCGGATTGAGATATGGAACGTTTCCAACACCAGGAGACTCTCTCATGTTGCCTTGTTATAATCACACACATGTTCCTCCAGCCCCTCTACTGGTCCCCAGATGCTGGAAGAACTGATCTATCCTCCATTTTTAAAATGTTATCACTTTAAAATGTTCTATAAATGGAATTTAAAACCCAAAACAGAATGAAACTTTTGGGATTGGCTTATTTTACTCAACATAATTTCCTAGAGATACATCCAAGTTGTTGCATGTATCAATAGTTTGTTCTTTTTATTATTGAGTAATATTCCATGGGGTGAATACCACAGTTTAACCATTCACTTATTGAAGAACATCTGGGCTGATTCCAGTTTGGGGATATTATAATTAAGCTGCTATGAATATTTGTGTACAGGTTTTTGTGTGAACCTAAGTTTTTTTGTTTTTTTTTTTTGAGATGAAGTTTCGCTGTGGTTGCCCAGGCTGGAATGCAATGGCATGATCTCGGCTCACTGCAACCTCCGCCTCCCAGGTTCAAGCAATTCTCCTGCCTCAGCCTCCCGAGTAGCTGGGACTACAGGCATGCACCACATGCCTGGCTAATTTTGTATTTTTAGTAGAGACGGGGTTTCTCCATTTTGAGGCTGGTCTCAAACTCCTAACCTCAGGTGATCCGCCCACCTCGGCCTCCCAAAGTGTGGGATTACAGGCGTGAGCCACCATGCCCGGCCCTAAGTTTTTATTTTGCTGGGATAAATGCCTAAGAGTGCAATTGCTGGGTATGGTAATTGCGTGTTTTGGATTTTAAGAAACTGCTAAACTGTTTTCCAGAGTGGCTGTACTATATCACATTCCCAGCAATGTACAAGTGATCCAATTTTTTCACATCCTCTCCACACTTGGTGCTGTCACCAAATAGGTATGACACTGACAGGTATGCAGTGATGTCTCATTGTGGTTTTAATTGGCGTTTCTCTGAGGAATAATGATGTTGAATGTCTTTTTGTGGTCCATTAGCCATCGGAATATCCTGTTCAATGAAATGTCTGTCTTTTGTTCATTTTTTACTTGGGCTGTTTGTTTTTTTACAGTTGAATTTTAAGACTTCATTGTATATTCTAGTCCTTTGTCAGATATGTGGTTTACAAATATTTTCTTTCATTCTGTAGCTTGTCTTTTCATCCTCATCACAGCTCTTTAGCAGAACAAAAAATTTTTAATTTTGATGATGTCCAGTTTATCAATATTTCCTTTTGGGAACTGTCCTTTTAGTGTCAGGTCTAAGAAATTTTTGCCTAGCTTGAGAGCTCAAAGATTTTCTCATTTTTTACCTTAAAAGTTTTATAATTTTATAATACTTAAGTGTCATACATTTTGAGTTAACTTTCATATAAGGCATGAGGTTTAGATCCAGGGTCATTTTTTTTTGCCTGTGATTGTCCAGGTGCTGTAGCACCATTTATCCAAAAGGCTATCCTTCTACTGAATTGCTGTTGCACCTTTATGAAAAAAGAGTTGGACATATATGATATAGGTAGAAGGCAGATGCCACCATGCCTGGCTCCCAGGCATATTTGCATAGGATTATTTCTGGGTTCCACTGATCTTTATATGTATCCCTTTGCCAATACTACATAGTCTTAATCATAGCTATATAATAAGTCCTGAAATCCAGAAGACTGATTTCTCCCATTTTATTTTTTTCAAAATTGTTTTAGCTAATCTAATTTCTTTTCCTTTCCATATAAGCTTTAGAATAGTCTTGTCTATATCTACAAATATCTTGCAAGGATTTTTATTGGCGTTGTTCTTCTTTAAATGTTTGGTAGAATTCTCTAGTGAAACCATCTGGCCCTGGAAACTTATCTTTTGGGAGTTTTTAAATTAGATATTGGTTTTTTAAATTGGTAATAGGGCTATTCAGATTGCCTGTTTCATCCGTGTTGGCTATTTGTGGTTTTTGAGGTATTTGCCCATTTCTTCTGAGTTATCAAATTTCAGAGTATAAAATTGCCTATAGTATTTGGTTATTATACTAATAACGACTGTAGGGTCTGTAGTGATATCCCTTATTTTAGTCTTAATATTTTTTATGTTTCCTTGCTTTTTGTTTCTGTCAGTCTTGCTAGAGGTTTATCAATTTTATTGTTTTTTCCCTAAAGAGCTGGTCTTTTCTATAATTTATTTTATTTTTAAAATTTTTATTTTATATGTATTTTTTGAGGCAGAGTCTCACTCTGTTGCCCAGGCTGGAATGCAGTGGCACAGTCTTGGCTCACTGCAACCTCTGCCGCCTGGATTCAAGTGATTTTCCTGCCTCAGCCTCCCAAGTATCTGGAATTACGGGCACATGCCAGGATGCCCAGCTAATTTTTGTATTTTTAGTAGAGACAGCGTTTCACCATATTGGCCAGGCTGATCTCAAACTACTGGCCTCAAGTGATTCACCTACCTCGGCCTCCCAAAGTGCTAGGATTACAGGCGTGAGCCACTGTGCCCAGCCTATATTTTATTTTATTACTTATTTGTTTTTTCTCATAGAGACAGGGTTTTGCTCTGTTACCCCCCGGGCTGGTCTCTACCTCCTGGGCTCAAACAATCTGCCCACCTCAGCCTCCCAAAGTGCTGGGATTGCAGGTGTGAGCCACTGTGCCCAGCCTATTTCATTATTTATTTATTTATTGCTATATAACAAAAGTTGGTGGCTTAAAACAATAAACATTTGGCTGGGCGCGGTGGCTCATGCCTGTAATCCCAGCACTTTGGGAGGCCAAGGTGGGCGGATCACGAGGTCAGGAGTTCAAGACCAGCCTGGCCAACATGATGAAACCCTGTCTCTACTAAAAATACAAAAATTAGCTGGGCATGGTGGCGTGTGCCTGTAATCCCAGCTACTTGGGTGGCTGAGGCAGGAGAATTGCTTAAACCAGGACCTGGGAGGCGGAGCTTGCAGTGAGCCGAGATTGCGCCACTACACTCCAGCCTGGGCTACAGAGTGAGACTCCGTATCAAACAAAAACAAACAAAAATAAACATTTATTATTTCACAAAGTCTCTAAAATAATATTCCTCACAATAAATAGGACTCTAGAAGCAGCTTAGTTGAGGGGGTTCTGGTTCAGCACTTCTTGTGAAGTTGCAGTCAAGACGTCAGCGAGAACTACAGGCACCTATACTTAAGTGTCATACGTTTTTGAGTTAATTTTTGTATAAGGTGTGAGGTTTAGATCCAGGGTCCATCCAAGGCTAGAGGATCTGCTCTCAGGTTAACTCCAGCACATGGCTGCTGGCAGGAGGCCTCAGTTCTTCCCCACATAGACCACTCCAGGGTGCTGCTTGAATGCCCTCATGACAGAGCATCTGGCTTTCCCCAGAGCGAGTGATCCAAGAGAGAACAAGGAACCCACAGGGCCATGCATGACCAAATCTGCAGGACACGCCATCACTTCTGCCTTATTCTGTTTGTTAGAAGTGAGTCACTAATGGCCAGGCGTGGTGGTTCGCGTCTACAATCCCAGCACTTTGGAAGACCGAGGTAGGTGGATCACTTAAGCCCAGGAATTCAAGACCAGCCTGGACAATATGAGACCTTGTCTCTCTTTTTTTTTTTTTTGAGACGGAGTCCTCTCTGTTGCCCAGGCTGGAGTACAGTGGCACGATCTCAGCTCATTGCAACCTCCGAACCTCCGACTCCCGGGTTCAAGCAATTCTCCTGCCTCAGCCTCCTGAGTAGCTAGGATTACAGGCACATGCCACTATGCCCAGCTAATTTTTTTGTATTTTTAGTAGAGAGCATTTTGTCATATTGGTAAGGCTGGTATCAAATTGCTGACCTCAGGTGATCATCCCACCTCAGCCTCCCAAAATGTTGGGATTACAGGTATGAGTCACCATGCCTGGTCTTTTTTTTTTTTTTTTAAATAAAATTTGTTTTTAAAAAGAAGTGAGTCACTAAGCCCACATTAAAACAGTGGGGGGTGCGGGGTGAGTGGAATAAACTCCACTTGCTGAGTATCTAAGACTTTGTAAATATATGTTTTAAAACCAGCATACCATACATGTGGCTGTGTACAAACAATGTAGTAATACTATTAAAACAAACATACATGTAACTATAACACAAAATGAAATGTGGCAAATATAAGAAAGGTAGAAGTGCTGTATGTAGATTTCGTGAAGAAAATTATTTTTTAGCCAAGGGTCAAGCCTACTAGTTACTCAACAAAACCTACTCAAAACATTAATTTTAATGTAATTAAATTTAAAGTTTCATTTTGGTTCTACTCTTTTTTTCTCTTGTTTATAAGATATGTTTCAGAGATGTTACATTATCATTTAGAAGTCTTTACTGATGATATGTCAGCAAGTTATTATATATTCTATTTATCTTATGTGAAAAAGAGTATTTTATAAAAACGTAGCACCATCAGTTCTCCATATATTTAAAAAAAACCACAGAAAATAATATGTTGGGATAATAGTTTCTTTTTTTTTTTATTTTGAGATGGAGTCTCACTCTGTCGCCAGGCTGGAGTTCAGTGGTGTGATCTCGGCTCACTGCAACCTCCGCCTCCCTGGTTCAAATGATTCTCCTGCCTCAGCCTCCCAAGTAGCTGGGACTACAGGCACATGCCACCATGCCCAGCTAATTTTTGTATTTTTAGTAGAGATGGGGTTTCACCATGTTGGCCAGATGGTCTCAATCTCTTGACCTTGTGATCCGCTCGCCTTGGCTTCCCAAAGTGCTGGAATTACAGGCGTGAGCCACCATGCCCAGCCAATAGTTTCTGCATTATCTATACTGAAAGTTTTATTTTTAAATTTGTCTCTAGTCAACTTCCTCTGTTACTACTATAAAATGTATCAGGCTGTCTACATAGATAATATCTAGAAATAGAGTTTTCAGCATTTTAAGATATGCTTAATATAACTGATACTTAAAATATAAATGTTCATATGCACCAAACACCATAGCCTCAAAAATGCACAAAACAAAAATTGATAAAGCTGTAAAGAGACCTAGACAAGCCCACAATTATAGTTGAGGATCACAGCACCCTCTCAGCAACTGAGAAATACTAAATAGTAAATCAGCAAGGGGAAAGAAGATCTGAACAACACAATCTAAGAGGATCTGATTAACATCTGCAGAACAGTAACCCAACCCTCAGCAGAAACTTTTTTTTTTTCAAGCACTCATGGAACATTCACCAAGAAAGACCATATTTGATCATATCTTGGGTCATAAAACATGCCTCAGGAAATTTAAAATAACTGTAATCATGTGAGTATGTTCTCTGCCACAATGAAATCAAACTAGGAAACAGTAACAGAAACACAACAGGAAAAAGCTTTAAACGTGGAAATAAAACAACACTTCTAAATAATCAATGGGTCAAAGAGAAAGTTTTCTCAAAGAAAATGTAAAAATACACATAATTGGAAATAAAAACATATGTTGAAAACATATTCAAAATATGTGGGATGCAGCCATAGCAGTGAATCAGAGGGAAATGAATAGCACTAACCGCTTACTCTATTTTTTATTTATGTTATTTTTATTTTTATTTTTTTGAGACAGAGTCTAGCTCTGTCACCCAGGCTGGAGTGCAGTAGCGCGATCTCTGCTCACTGCAACCTCCGCCTCCCGGGTTCACACCATTCTCCTACCTCAGCCTCCCGAGCAGCTGGGACTACAGGCACGCACCACCTCGCCCGGCTAATTTTTTGTATTTTTAGTAGAGATGAGATTTCACCTTGTTAGCTAGGATGGTTTCAATCTCCTGATCTCGTGATCCGCCCACCTCAGCCTCGCAAAGTGCTGGGATTACAGGCGTGAGCCACTGGGCCCAGCCCAATTGCTTACTTTAAAAGTGTAGAGTGGCATCAAATCAGTAACCTAATTTACTACCTCAAGAACCTAGAAAAAGGAGAGCAAAATCAGCCAAAGCAAGCAAAAGAAGGGAATAATAAAGAGCAGAAATTAATAGAATTAAAAATAGGAAAACAAAAGAAAAAAGCAAAAAATCAAAAGGCTGGTTCTTGGCTGGGCATCATGCAAAACTCGTCTCTACAAAAAAATACAAAAATTAGCTGGGTGTGGTGGTGCGCACCTGTGGTCCCAGCTACTCTGGAAGCTGAGAGGAAAAGATTGCTTGAGCCCAGGAGTTTGAGGCTGCAGTGAGCCGTGATCATGCCACTGTACTCCAGCCTGGGTGACAGAGCAAGACCCCGTCTCAAAAAAATTAAATAAACAAGTAAACAAAAGTAAACTATGTATCGTTTTGTACTATGTTGCTTTGCATATAGTAAGTGTTCAATAAATATTTACTGATTTCTTCCAAACATTACTTGAATCAGGCATTGATATGTATTCAGACCATTTTCCTTGATCTCGGCCCTTGTTTTCTTTCTTTCTTTCTTTTTTTTCTTTGAGACGGAGTCCCGCTTTGTTGCCCAGGCTGGAGTGCAGTGGCACCATCTCGGCTCACTGCAAGCTCCACCTCCCAGGTTCACACCATTCTCCTGCCGCAGCCTCCGGAGTAGCTGGGACTACAGGCACCCGCCACCAGGCCCGGCTAACTTTTTTGTATTTTTAGTAGAGATGGGGTTGCACCATGTCAGCCAGGATGGTCTCGATCTCCTGACCTCGTGATCCGCCCGCCTCGGCCTCCCAAAGTGCTGGGATTACAGACGTGAGCCACCGCATCAGGCCCCTTGTTTTCTTTTGTAGGGCTGATATGTTGACCCCTGGCTCTTTAAGATTTCCACTGCTCCAATTTACCTGGACCTCCCTAACCTCTTCAATATGTCTAGAATGAGTGAATAAACTGATCATTTTGCTCTCTCTGCTTGTCATTTCCCCCTTTTATCCAGGTCTCCCTTCTCTTGTGTGTAACTCCCTGATATCAAATCAGCAAGTGAATAGAGAAGTAGTTATTAACCGAAAGCTTTCTAATGTGCCATGTCAGGCACTGGTGGAGAAGGCAATGAAAGGCGCAGCATAGGTGCAGGGCCTGAGCTGGGAAGGAGCATGGTGCCATCCTAGAACTGGGGGGACCCTCACTGGGGCTATCGCAGTGAATGGAAAGACATTGGACAAGCCTGGGAGGAAGGTCTGATCTGCAGGAGCTGTAGGCCATATTAAGGATGTGGGCTTCAGTTTTGCAGGATTATAAGCAGGAGAGGTTATGGTGATG